>NC_000010.11:129105187-129416667 GCF_000001405.40 Homo sapiens | reverse complement strand
TCGGAATGATGGCATTCATTCCCCTGGCAGCAGGTCTTCCCACATCAGATCGACAAAGGGTTGTTTAAGGCAGAGAAAGAGGTTGCAGTTTTTGGGGAGGCTTCTCCAAAATTTCAGAATTAGAAATGTAGAGGATTGGACATGCTTTTTTCTTCCAAGGGCATTTTCCCCCTGACTGTATCTCACCGTTTCTCTGCTGTGTTTTTCAAGCGGCATTTCTTCTTGCACACACAGTGGAGTTGCGTTTCATGCTATGCCATTGCCTGAAAATAAGGCCACTTCAGGTATAAAATATTCCACCCATATTCCCTGGGGCAAATAGCTGACATGCAGCAACTCTTCAGACGTGGAGCCACTAGGCCGGCAGACGTGGAGATAGTCACACATCGACAGCATCGAGCTCCACAGCCAGAAATAGCATTAGTCAGAGTGTGAGGGTTTTAATTTCATTAAGAATTTTTTTGACAGCATGACACCCCAGAGTCTTGTTCCAGTTGTTTCTTATCATTTAAGGAGGGGAGGGCGCTAAGGAGGTGGGAAATAAATCCCTAGGCTGGACTCGTAAATTTCATTTTTAAAGCTGAGAAGCACAACTTGATATTCATCCACTCATAATGCACTTGCTTGAAAATTCCATGGACCTCCGTGGGAATGTTGAGCAGGCTGGGCAGGGCCGGGTGCTGCCCCGAACGGAATGCTGGCACTGGAGGGCATGCTGCCCCGAGATGCCTGATTGATGCATGTCACCACAGTGGCACGTTGACTAAAATGTACAGAAAGACAGGGGATGTGTCATCCTGTGCAATTTCAGAATGAAAATAACCAAGGCTTCCATTCAACAGATGGAATGAAGAAGCACCCGTCAATAAGGGCGTGAGTGACATTGGAGCTGGCAGAATCAGCCGAGTTTCGATCGGTGTGCACCACATTCTCTTGATGACGAGGTTGCATTTCAGCTGCCAATCCCCCCTCACTCGCAGATCGTGCTCCCTGCATCTGCTTAGGATTGTTGACAAAGACTACAATGCCAGTGCCTGACAGTTAACGACCAGTCCTTACAGCCGAGACAGGCTATCCTGCTTCCAGTGACCAGGAGGCTAGCAAAACTAGCGCACGTTATTTCTTCCTCTCGAGATCCCGGAATCACAATGCCCCTAGGACCCGCAGTTGTCAAGGCCCCTGGGGCTCAGGGCTGTCACCCTTCATGCTTAACTAGTTCATGAGGACCATAGTGAAGATTAATAGCTGCCACGGCCTTCGTTGTCATCAGTGCAGAGATGAAACCCAGCCGCACATTTGACAAGGCAAGTGGCCCGGTGACTAAAGAGCACTGGAGTGGAATTCGGGAGGCCCCGGACTTTTCCCGGCGTTAACCTTAGAAAAGCATTTATTTTTTTTTCAGCAGAACCCTGTCTTCTACTCCGTCCTACTGTCTAAAGTTGGACTATTTGTACTGGGGTTTCCAGTTGCTTACGGAATGCATCCGTGTTGAAAACAAATGAATTAGAGAATGAATGAGAAGTTCTCCTTTTGCAGGGAGACTTTGGTCTATCCATGACTGGGCCAGAACCACAGTTCCTGGTACTGGGGTGGGCTCTTGAACCAAGCCCTAGGCTCTGGGTGTTTTAGGTTTTCCAACTAAGTCCAGACACCATGTCAATACGCTGCCAATCCCATGCTCTCATTCCAACTGGGGAACCTTCCTTTCAGCTCAAAGACACCTCTCCAGAACACAGTCCCAGCATGAACCTTCCTTCCAGCCCAGAGACACCTCTCCAGAACACAGTCCCAGCATGAACCTTCCTTCCAGCCCAGAGACACCTCTCCAGAACACAGTCCCAGCATGAACCTTCCTTCCAGCCCAGAGACACCTCTCCAGAACACAGTCCCAGCATGAACCTTCCTTCCAGCCCAGAGACACCTCTCCAGAACACAGTCCCAGCATGAACCTTCCTTCCAGCCCAGAGACACCTCTCCAGAACACAGTCCCAGCGTGTTCTGCAGAGAAGCCGCTGATCTGGGGTAACACACTGGACAGTGGGGCTGGGGGACAGGTCCTAGGCAGAATTTTGAAAACAACCTTGCATAAAGGCCCTTTCATGATTTTATATTTCAACTTGATTTCCATGAGATTTCCCATTTGTTTCCCCACAATACAGAGCCAAGAGCTCCGTCTAATTTATCTGCCCTACCAGCCAAGGGAAAAGGAAGTGCCGACAAATCCCTGAGTTCAAAAAGGGACGCAGGATTATATCTGAGGAGGAGTGTGAAAAGTGAAGTCTGAGTGGTTTATTTCATCACGAAGTCGTCTTGGGCTTGTTCCATGCGCAGGCCCTGTGGCACAGAACAGGATGACGAGCAGTGGGGTCCTGTGCCTGAACCAGCCTGTGTTCCAGGGTCACACGGCCGGTGCTCTCAGCCCACACTGTTGTTGTATGGACTTTATTTGCCTTTCATGCACTAAAATGTGCTTGGGTCCACTTTGGTACATGTGTGCACACACAACAAATCTACATAATATCTGAAATCCAGAAACGAATAAGAAGTCAGTTTAAGGTTTGCCTCGTTTATATTCATTCACTCACTCATTCATTCATTCACTCATTCATTCATTCCAAAAGGGAAGCCTCTCCACAAAAACGAGTGGGGTGGGGGATGTCTCTGGAGCTGCCCAAACTCCCACCCACTTCTCAAACCTGAGCAAAGCACCAACTCATCCTTGAAAGTGGCTGCCTCACTTCAATTAAGTTTGAATTAATTCTTGCCGGTTTCCTTTACAAAACATCCAGGTTTTAATTGTTTCACCTAATTACTGGACTGCGACCCAGATTTAAGACCTGACACAGGTGATAGGAAATGATGGGTTTCCTTTGATTATTTTCATTTATTGTCTCAAGAGCGTTTTGGAGCAGAATCTTCCTCCTTTTTCGTTACTAGTTACTTGCATGTCTGACCTTGCAGACTCAGACTGGATGAAATTTCCTCAAATCAACATGTAATCTCTAAGTGCCTCTACCTTACCTTTAGAATCAAATTCAGTTATAATTGTCCTCAAAGCCAGGCTACAATAGTGTGTGATCAAATGAGAAAAATCTGTGCTTAGATCCACAACTTTTGTGTCTACCCAAATTGTGCAGAGGGCTTAAGGAACAGAGACCTGCAAATTCAATGGATGCTAATTATAGTATTTATTTCTAGCTACATATTTGCATGCAAATATCAGCCTGTATAAATTTGGCATTGAAAGCACCCCAAGGCTCTAGTCTGGCAGATGGGTATTGGATCACAATGAAACTTAACAGTACCTGGGGGCTTTGGGGCCAAACAGAGGCTCTGAGCAACAGGAGAGCATCCGTCTTCCCTCTTCTGAGATGACAGTGTGGGCTTTATACATTGTTCTGGCCAGAAAATATTTAAGAGGTGGTTTGGAAAAACACTTTGGGCTGATAGCCAATTTCCCTTAACGTTCTGCAGACAGTCTGTAGATCTTGGAAAGTAGGACATCTTTAAATCACTTTATTTTGTTTTATTTGAGGTTGAGGAGTATCGGCATAAGCTGGGAGGATAGCATAGCCGGCTCCCCGGCTTCTCGGGGACTCTAGTGGGAGGTAGGAGGCAGGTGCTGAAGGAGGGCAGCATAAACCCTGGGATCAATTTCCCATCTTTTTTTCCATGAGGAGTATCGCAAAGCTTCCTGAGCCTTATCCTTTCTTACTTTGCAAAAGAAAAATACTCATCCAGAAAATAAGGTGAAATTAGTGCTTTTCAAAGATGGAGAGGTTTTTGAGAGACCATGGATAGGGTGGGTGCCCTAGCTGGTTCCTGACCTGTAAACAGGCGCATCAGCATGTATTTGCAGAGAACATGGAGTTTTGGGTGCAGCAAAAGGCCATTCTTCCTGCTCAATGGCTTTAAGGAACGAGCAAGGGCCTAGATGCAATGAAAATGAAATGACAAGATATTTGGAAGAAAAACAGGAGCAAAGGAAGGTGTTTGAAAAAGTGCTTTCCTCCTCACCCATAAGAAAAGGCTTTCAGAGCTGGGGGGTAGTAGACATGGCCCTCCTACGAGGAGCCCCGTTTTCTGCAGCTGTAATTTATACACTCAAATTTTTGGAAAGATTTCAGTATCTCCCCCCTCCACCCCTATAACATGAGCTTCAAGGGTCCCTGAACCATGAACTCAGTCTGGCTGGGCTTCTGAAGTGTTATCCTTTAAGGTAGAAAAATGAACTTAGGAAAATGATACCTACCATATCCATAGACGTCCAAGAAAATATATTACTCAGCGGCTTTGAATCTGTATTATTTCCTTGAAAACTTCCTTGCCTTGAACTTGGTAAAGCAAACATCTCTGGTTTTCCCAAAGTCTTAGGTAAATGAATAAAACTGGGCAAAATATCAAGTATATGTATTTTAATTTATCATAGTTTCCAAAGAATTTTAGAATAAAATGCTAAATCCCTACGTGGCTGCATGCCCTGCGTGATCCCAGCCCCACGTACCTCTCCACAGTTATCCTCACACCTTGATCTCCCGCCTCCATGATTCTTACCATGCTCATTTCTGCTTCAGTACCATGCTGGGCCCATTCCTGGGGTCTCTTCCTCCACCCTCCCCCCACTACACCTCCTGCTGTGCCAGCCTACCCAGTGCCAACTCACAGTTCCCGTTTCAGAGAAAACGTCCCTGGCACTCCTAGATGCAGTGAGGTCCCAAGCCTCTGCTGTTCCTATACACGGCACCTCCCTTCTGTCGCACTTGCCTGGGTCGTCACTGCTTGGCTCTGTCTGTCCATCCTCCTCAACCCTAAGCTCCCTGAGGCAGGCCCCTGTGCTGGGTAGATATTCAATCAACAGCTTTGGAAGGAAGGGAGGAACTCTCCCAACATCCCCAAGCGGGAAGCTGAGACCAGGGTTTACTGCTGTGTTTTCAGCTCACTTTAAAGCTGTTTGAGAATTTCAAATGAGAAAAGTGTTCGACAAACTTTTTTTGAGAAGTTCTCTGGTTGTGAGAACACTTTCTAAGAAGCTTAAGCATGACCCTTACCTCCACCCATCCCAGCTCCATCCTGACAGCTCCTGTCCAGTGCATTCTGGGTGCCAGGGCCCGCTTAAGCCCTTTTCACGTGATGTGATGTTCGAGCGGGGGTAGGTGCTTTGATTTTCCTCAATGTGCGGATTGAGGAAACAGAGGCCTGGAGAGATTTAAGTGAGCCGTGTTCAAGGTTGCCCAGCCAGTGAGAGCGGGAGCTGAGTTCAAGGCTGCACTGCAGGTACCAGGTACTGCGTCTCAGAAGGAAAGATTGCGACTTCTGAAGCGTTGAATAATTGTGCCAGAGGCCAGCAGGGAGCCTCGTCCATTGTCACCGATGGCGCTGCTTTCACATTCAATTCATAACGATCTTGCTTTCCCAGCTGTGGTCGGCTGGAAGCATCAAGCTGGAAGGAATTCGAGAGGACTCATGGAAGATGGCATGATGACAACAGAGATGACGGCTGACAGCCTGACCTGGGGGATGGAGACAAAACTCACGGGCAGTCTCGGGACTGAGTACCAGATAGTCCCAAAATAGATAAGTCCTGCATCATTAAGAAACATTCCAATTTTTCTAGATCCTCTCTTTTACAGGCCAAACACAATTGGTGATTTAAAATCATTATTTTTCTTTAAAGGCAGGAGCTACCGTCATATGGCAAATTAATTTTCTCCATAACCGGCAAAGGAAATAGCACAATCGGAGCCTGCCAAGTGTGCCAGACGGGAGCCTCCACCTCCGGCTTCATCCAGGCACACCACTGTGCAGTCAAGTGTCACCTGCCTGTCCTGGCACCTAGGGACTGACGGCTTCTTGCAGTTGTCCTTTCCCAAATTTTCATTCTGTAATTCCATGTGCCTTTTCCACGCTTACCCATGATATAAAGACTGTGTGTCACCTTTACCTTTGTCTTGCTAGGAAATTTATTTTTACGCTTTTAAAATTAAAAAATAAATAAAATCCCATTGTATTCGTGCCCAGCTTGTCAAGAGAAGTTCCAGGAACACAGAAGATGGAGGAGGATACAGAATTGCTGAAGGAATACATTCTTCAGAGAGTTTTCAAGCAACCCTGCTTGAAAGGGCTTTTCAAAGGCTGAACAAATTTTTTTTCAAGATGTGCTATAAGGGAGGTGGGTTTTAGATACTGATACATTTTTCATCAGTTTTCACTCAGTCTGCTTATTTACAAGTTGGAAAGTTTTCTTTCATGATAATGAACTTTAAATTGGATGGTAAATTAAATTGTCACAACTTTTCTTTCTTAGTGGTTTGACATTAGGAACTTGATAACTTCGGGCACAAAGTATTATCTTTGAGGACAAGAGCCATTCATATAATCTTAAAATCTGTGTTTAAAGGGGCAAAATAATACTTCTAAAGAGTCAAACTAGCCCTGTCACTTTAGAGGAAAGGAAGCAGCGGTACAGGGGGCCGAGGACGGCTGGGTCTTGCTGGGGAAAGAGACCCAGGACCAGGATCCTGATTCCCATCCTGGATGAGCATCTGGCACCTGTCACATGATGGCCTTTAACCCTTTCTTTGGGAAACCAGTATCTTGAACTTACAGTCCTGGGAAAACACGTGTCCCTTCAGCATATATCACAATTTGTAATGTTACAAATATATATATGACATAGGTCTATGGAAAAGAATTGAAGCACCATTCAGCTTTCTTCTCTCTGTGAACTCCTGGTCCTTGTCTTTCCAGGATTCATTCCCTCTTTTTTTCCTGGGGGTCCCCTGGGTACAGGGAAAGGAACCCCATCCAACCCCAGCTTTAGGAATGGGTTATGAAACCTAATCCAAGCAGACACTATACTCATCCTGAGGCTGCAGCGATTAATTAGAGGCAGGTGGGTGACCTAAGCAGTTTCATCAGAGCAACTCTCAAAGTATTTGCTGGGAATTCTGGGCCATAGATAGTATGCTGGGAAGGCAAGGGGGTCTGGATCCTTTGCAGCCATTTTGCTGCTGTGAGGCAAGTCACCCAGGGGAAGAAGCAGACCAGTAAAGGAGGCATGGCTGGGAGATCATCCAAAAGATCAAGCCAGACCCCTGGAGTAAGCTTACCACCGCAAGGCCTGCCTGACTCTGCTCTGCTAGGTATGTAAGACAAGAATACTCTCTTCTTCTAAGCTAGCTAGAGTTGAGTTGGGTTTCTGTTTTGTAGCACTTAGGGTCCTGACTGAGATGCACATTAACTCATTTTCCTTGTGCCACAAGAGGGAAGCTCCCAGACTCCGATTGTCCCCCACAACCTGTCCTATCTCTTTGGCTGTTTTTAGGGAGGGAAATAGACAGTTTTCTCTTTCTTCATGTCCTCCTTGCAGTTGATCTGGTTGACAGAACCTCCCAAAGTTTTGATCTGAGACAACAGGCAGGACCAGGTGGGCTGTACTCCAGCACCCAGCGCAACCAACACCAGCCACGCCCCTGTGCTACCTTCAGAGGCAGGACCTGTTTATCTACACCAGATGTAGCCTTCGAATCCTCTTCACTGCCCTCCGTTTTCAGATGTGATGTCTTTTTCCTGTTGATCTGAGAATGACGCTTATGTATGAAACATATTAACATTTTAAAATATGGGTTGCAAAGATACTGACCTCATTTGTTGTTTATTAATTTTATTCATGGGAGTTTTTCCTGTACAGAATTTTTACTTTTGTGCATAGCCAAACTTAGCAATTTTTTTTTTTTAACAAAAGACATAATAGTGATGTGTGAATATATTTACAGTTCAGCAATGGTAAAACAAAATATTAACATTAATGGCATTTTTAAATTTCGGAAAATAAAAAAGTGGAGAGATGTACAATGAATAATTTAAGCAATACTAATAAATAAGATTTTAACATATTTGCTTCAAGTTTTTAGAAGTTTAAAATGAAAAGGTAAAGATAGTATTGATCCTTTGTCATCCATACCTGGGCTGATTCACTCCCCTCCCTGTGTGTAATTACTGTAATGAATTTTGCATGTTTCTATTAGGTCATAAAATAATAGTTACTTAGAAATGTAGATAGCTATAAAAAGTATCTGGCATTTTTTAATTTGCATTCAAAAATTTATAAACAGCATCATAGTTTTATTTGGTAATTTGTTATTTAAAACAGCATTATTTAGAGATATATCCATGCTGATACAGAAATATACAGTTTATTTTGAAAGCTTGCGTACTGATGGACATTTAGGATTTTTCCAATTGCAGCATTGAAAATAATGATGTGATAAGCTTTGCAAATGTTTTTTAAAAGTTTCTCCAGGCATATGCTTGCATATAAAATTTCTAGGTTGTAGGATATGTGTGTTCTTTGTTCTATTAGATACTGATAACTTTGTTTTCCTAAGTAGCTGACTTGTGCCCAGAAGATATGTGATATCCCATTTCCCAAATCCCTGCCAACATTTAATATTGTTAGAGTTATATTTTTGCCAGTGTGGAAGGTATATTTTTCTTGCTTTGGTTTTAATTTTTATTTCCCGCAGTATTAATGCAAATGAGCAACTAACTTTTCCTGTGTTTAATTGACTTTTTGATTTTCCTCATTCATAAAGAGCTTTTTTGCATATTTGTCTATTGAATTGTTTGTGTTTTTCTTATTGATTTATGGGTCTTCTTTACATAGGCTGGCCCCTAATCTCTTTGTCTATGAAATCTACCACCCATTGTCTTCTTGGTTTCTAGATTTTCAAAGGCTTTTCTCATCTCCATAATATAAAAACATCTTCTGATTAATAATTATATTGTGAAATAGGAATTAAATTTAATGAATGGCATATAGTATATCTGAATTTGTTTGAAAAATGTCAATTTTCCTCATAGCATTTTCAGAGTGCATTTTCCCACTGATTTGAAATGCCACTTTATAATATTATAGTAATAAGCATATGACATATGTCTATTTCTGAACCCTTGTCCATTGATATTTTTGACTCTTCTGGAACAATATCACTGCATTTCAATGAATATAGCTTTAGAATGCATTTTGACATCTGATCAGACAAGTCTTCCCTTATTATTTTTACACATGTCTTACCTAGTCTTGTTATTTTAATCCTCCAAGTGAAAGTAAGGGCCAGGCTTCCCTTCCATCCTATGGAGATTTTGGACGGCATTGCATTTTATATTCCTTTGGTCATTGATTCATTCCATTATATTGAAAACAGAAGATAAATATCACACTCCTGTTAGATTTTGGTGCTAAAGACATGAGAATACTATGGAGAGGTTAGCTATTGGGGCAGAATTTATTTGCTGCATTTGTCTCCTGCCAGTCCAGAGCCTTCACTGGAGGAGATAGTGGAGGACAGAAGCGGGGTGTTGTTCCGGGCCTGGAGGAGAGGTGGAAGGTTGGGGCTTACAGGCGATTTTTTGTGTGATTGTCTCCACATTTCTCAGGAATGACAGGGAAGGAAAGATCTGATCATTTCCATTGTGACTTTAATTCCTTTGAACTTGAGCAATTGTTTTCATGAGGGATTCAGGAGTGTTTGCCAACAGCCCCCCCCCCCACCCCATCTTGTGAATATGGTTATTTTGTTATAGATTTTTAAAATTTTTAATTTCCATAGGTTTTTGGGGAACAGGTGGTATTCGGTTACATGAGTAAGTTCTTTAGTGGTGATTTATGAGATTTGGGTGCACCTATTACCCGAGCGGTATACACTGAACCCAATTTTATCCCTCGTCCCCTTCCCACCCTTTCCCCCTGAGTCCCCAAAGTCCATTGTGTCATTCTTATGCCTTTGCATCCTCATAGCTTAGCTCTCACTTATAAGTGAGAACATATGATGTTTGGTTTTCCATTCCTGAGTTACTTCACTTATATGGTTAACAGTCTCCAATCTCATCCAGGTTGCTGCAAATGCCATTAATTCATTCCTTCTTATGGCCGAGTAGTGTGAATATGGTTATTTTGAAAGTCACTGTTTCCTCTGAGTCAGGAATACACGTTGCCAGTGTCTGTCCCTGAGGAATGTCACATGCCCCCCGCCCCATTGGTGCAGGTCTGGCTGGTGGGCTCTCTGCACCTTCCGCACCTTCCCGCTCTGTCCTTCGTGAAGGGTACCACCCCCTCCAGATTCACGGTCGCTTCTGACAACGTTTCTTTCATGGGCTTCCCTTTGGTGGTGAGTCCATCGGAATGCACTTCCTAAAGCTGCTTTTGCTTCAAGATGGCTTACATAAAATTCTGGCCTGCCTGGAAACCTACCTCCCCAGCCTCTGCAGACCACTCACAGCTCCCTGCTCTACCTCCTGACCATGGCTATGCTTAAACATTTCTCAGATGACAAGCCTGCCTCTCTAGGAAATTACCAGGCTTACATTGAACGGTGGGGGCAGGACAGGATGAGAAGATTAACTTGTGTTTGAGGAAAGCAACATATACACATCCCATATGGCCACCAAGTAGCTCTGAGAGCTTCGTCTCTTCTTTTTTTGCTCAGCAGACCCTGTTGTGAGTCTGGTACCATCCGGGGATCCTTCCATCGGGGAAATGTAAGTGTATGTATGGATGGATACATATTTACATAGACACATACACACAAAACTCTGAGTTTAGTTTCAAGGGTCCTGAAAGTTAAGAATCCAAGGCTAAGAGCATGAATGTGGAGAAAAGTTAACCAGAAGGTGCTCGCCCTCTAGAGCTCAAAGGAGCTGTATTTGCAGTTGCAACTATTAATAAGAAGACATTTTTGAGGGCTTAATGGTGCTGAGCCCTCTGGTAGGAATTTTATATGTATCATCTCTCACAGGAGCCCTGTGCAGTACGTACCATTATTACCCCCAATTTACAAGCTGAGACAGTTTCTGTGGGGTCAGGTAACTCACCCAAGACCAAGTGTGGGAAGTGACCAGGTCTGCCTGCACTTACATCCATGCAACTGACCACTGTGCACTCTGCCTCTCTTCCCAGATATGCCAGGCCTGGTTGCAACCCCTGGCCTTGGCTGAGTCATTTCTTGCTGTCACCACTGCAGCGGGATTGGGTCTTTCAGGACTTTCCCGCTACCCCTCCTCTTTGACCTTGGCTGAAAAGGTCTCTGGTGGAGAAGGAAGCCCCCTCGGGAAGGCCCCTTCCCAAGTCACACTTGGACTCTCATCCTCTGCAGATGCCACCAAGATGCATGGGGACCACCTCTAGGGCTGGCCAAACTCAAGTCTAAGAGTAGAACTTAGGGACACCTGATAGAAGCTGATGAGTCTTCTAAAGAATAACTTGGGCTGGGCATGGTGGCTCACGCCTGTAATCTCAGCATTTCGGGAGGCCGAGGTGGGTGGATCACTTGAGGTCAGGAGTTCGAAACCAGCCTGGCCAACATGGTGAAACCCCGTCTCTACTAAAAAATACAAAAAAATTAGCTGGGTGTGGTGGTGGGCACCTGTAATCCCAGCAACTGAGGAGGCTGAGTCAGGAGAATTGCTTGAGCTTGGGAGACAGAGGTTGCAGTGAGCCAAGATCATGCCACTGCACTCCAGCCTAGTTGACACAGTGAGACTCCATCTAAAAAAAAAACCAAATAAAAATAAAAATAAATAAATACATAAAAATAAAAATAAAAGAATAACTTGACTTCACATTTCGACCCCTGACTTTGCTAGGGCATATGTTTACTTTTTTCTATATTGTGGCCTATTTAAATGGAGGTGTTCTTTGGAAAGCCACCGTTGCAGATTTTTTTGTTATTGTCAGGTAGCTTTGCTATGTTTGCTACGAACTGGCCTTTTTCCCTCACTACGGTTTTAGGGATGACTTCTGTGACCTTCAATTCTAAGTTGTCCATGGAAATGCACGGGAACAAATCCCAAACTCCAGCCAAGCTTCCCTTTGATATAACTTTTAACTATGATCTTCCAGACATCTTCCAAAACTTCGTCATCTGGAAACAAGGAGATGGCCGCGTAAGCACCTTCAGTCCAGCCGTGAATTCACCATTGGTATTTACCATTCTCTCCTCATTAGTTTTGGAGGAAGAGTGAATGGCTTTTCTATTTTATATACATAAAATATCTTTTTTTCAATAGTTTTTGGGGAACAGGTGGTTTTTTGTTACATGGGTAAGTTCGTTAGTGGTGATTTCTGAGATTCTGGTGCACGCGTCATCCGAGCAGTGTACACTGAACCCAACGTGTAGCCTTTTATTCCTCAACCCCCTTCCCCCTCCCCACGGAGTCCCCAAAGTCCATTGTATCATTCTAAGGTGAAGGGCTTTTCTTGAGTAGCGTGATGTCTTCTCGCACTTTTCTGGGGTGTGGGAGTGAGTGTGGTGGGTGCCCCCCCGACGCCTGTCGGTGGCGGCCTCTATGTGCGGGCTGCACAGGCGAAACCCCATCTTCCGAGCTTCTGTTGCAACTAGGGCAGCCATGTGACCAGTTTCGACCAATAAGACACAAGCAGGTGTTTGCGGGCATTTCTGGAGGCTTTTGTGTGTTGAATGTAAGGAGATAAACATGTCTTGTGCCGGCTTCACCTCTTTCTTCCTCATGCTTCACAGATATGTTGTCTGGAGCTGAAGCAGCCATCTTGTGACCATGAGGGAGATGCCGAGAGAGATCTCAGAGCTTCCGGCCGCCTCGCCACGGCTGGTCACAGCCTCCCTCCAGAATGCTGAGATGGGGGCGTTGTTGTGTGAGGGAGAAAGACCCTGTTGCTCTAAGATTTTTTTTTTAATGTAACTTGCAACAAAAAACTTTCCTAAATAATATGGACGTTAAAAGGCCTTCAGAGAAACACAACCAGCCCACCAGCCCCTCATGTTTTCTGATTTATTTATAATTTTTACCTCACCTGTTTCCTGAAAAAGAACTGACGAAGCTGAGAGACGCTGGTCACTGACCCTGAGCCTAAGGTTTAGCTGGAGTTTTCTTGTTGACCTCACGGTGATGCTTCTGGTACCACTGTTTTCATCTAGTCCTAAAGCAACCACAGAGAGTGAATGCCACCTGTTGACCTGGCAGCGCAGCATGAAGTCGGTGAAATCCTCTTACTGCTCCGTATGCCACCTCCTCCAGGAAGCCTCTTGGATTCTCCCAGGCAGAAGGTGTTGGTCTCTCTTCCATAATCCTATTGCCCCCTAAAGATTATGCTAGCATTGCTGCCTGCCTTGGACCTGTGCTGTGCATGGAAAGCCCAGCCCCACGTCACACCTAGTCATGTTCCATGGAGCCTTGTTAAATGGATGCAGGAATCACGGGATGCCCTGAACGAGATAGGTTGGAGGAGCCTCCACCTGTTCACCATCTGCCTCCACAGCTTCCCTGCCACCTGTCCTGGGAGGATGACCTGCAGGCTGCTGGGCTTCTGACCCACCTGGGATGGCTCAGGCCACCCTCTCCCACTTGGCTGGGGTTCCTACCTTCTACCTGCTGTCTTCCTCTCATGGGGTAGTTGGGAGGAGGGCACTTAGCTTTGCCCTGGCTGACCTCTCCCACCCCACTGGCCCAGCTACCTTCTTCTGGTTAAAGCTTCAGGCCTGGCATGTGACCCTGGGCTGGGACCCACTGCAGAAAGGGTCGGTGTTGGCCCACAGGTTCTGTGGCTGCACCTCAAGCCCAGGAGGCAGGAGGGGCACTAGTCTCCAAAGTCAGCCCCAAAACCGTGTTTTTTTTGACATCACATCATGATTTTTCCTCCTAGATTTGGTGGCCCAGGGAGGCGGCAGGCCCCTGGCGGAAGCCCCCCAGGGCACTGTGATGAGTTCAGCCGCCTCCCACAGAGGATGAGTGGGTCGGCCAAGGCTCTGGCGGAAATTGCAAATTAAACTTAAAAGGTAACCTAGCATTTAGTTAGCTTTTTAGAAAAGAGCTGTGGAGTGGCCAGAAGGACGGCCACAGAGAAATGACAACAGTCACTGTCACACTGAAGCCCGAGTGCCTTTACCAGGGTGTGAGCGATGTCACCACCGTTTCCTCCTTCTTCCCAGCCACCGTTCCGGCCTCTCAGAAGCTGATTTTTTCCACCTCCACCTCCTTCCTCTGCTGCTGTGGCTGCACTCCAGAGCCTGCCCGCCCGAACCCTTCTCCAAAGGAATCGACTCTTCTGCAGTTCCCCTCCCCGTGGCCTGAAGACACAGTTTTCCTAATAGAGCGTTTCATAGCAGCAAAGCGGTTGTCGATAAACCCTTCAGGTCGAGCAGAGCCCGTGAGTCAAAGGAAATCCGTGCTAGTCATTGAGCACTGAATGACTTGTTTCAAACTCAAGTACAAGCCTGGCTGGGAGAGAAGATTATTATTACTGTTATTAAGTCTTCCTGTACCTCCTATTGAACATCTTATTAGCAATGTGTGTAAGCATCTGCTCCTGGACCCAACTTCGATACTACACTGTTGACTCCAATTTTATAAATGTGTAAGAAGTGAGTAAATTAAGCGGTGTGAACCCTGCCGGGGCCCTGACCCTGCCAGCCTGGTGTGCAGGCCCAGGACTGCTGTACAGCATAATGATTACATTACAATCTTGTGATATTATTCACAATGACTTCAGATGAATGAATGATAAACTAGGGGTTATGCCGCCTTTATTACAGAGCTGATACGATAGCTAATCAGTGTCCAAGTATATGTCATTACATAAATTATGAACCTGAATTTGATGTGAATTCCCAAAGAGGCTGGTTCTGAACATCATCCAGTATAAGGCCACAGGCTGAGCTCTGAATTCTGAAAACAACAGCCCTTTTTGCTCTCATAATTTCTGTAAATTACTAATAGATATCTTTAAAGGCCCAGGGAATATACTTTAATCCACTAAGACTTTCTTTGTGGTAAATGATCAACACTTTTTTCTTTCAAAGACTTTTTTCCATCCTCCGTGTTCTGCGTCTGTTTAACGAAGGTTTTCTTATTCCTTAAGCTGATACGTGAAGAATAAGAAAGACTACTAAATGACCGGTCAATTACAGATGGGAGAAGAGGCATTAAAAAGTCAAGTGTGGGATTCTCCAAAGCAGATCTAAAGCCAGAAGCCAGGCTCTTGAGGGCGAAGACCAGGGCTCCCTGATCCTGTCTTCCCAGAGTAGGCACACGCTAGTATGGGTGAGGTTCCCTGTATTCAGGCTGGGTGAATAAATGAATGACTTCCTCAAGGAAATGATACTTCTGGTTAGAACACTGCAGCCTGAGAAGCTTACACTGATTCAGGGAGGCTGGGCAGAAGTGAGCAGATCTGGGTTTGAATCTCTCATTCACTTGCTAGCTCAGACCCAGGGAAAGTTGTTTTTTTATTTTATTTTTTATTTTTTCGAGTTGGAGTCTTGGTCTGTCGCCCAGGCTGGAGTGCAGTGGCATGATCTCAGCTCATGGCAGCCTCTGCCTCCCGGGTTCAAGCAATTCTCCTGCCTCAGCCTCCCAAGTAGCTGGAACCACAGGTGTGCACCATCATACCCAGCTGATTTTTGTATTTTTAGTAGAGATGGGGTTTCGCCATGTTGGCCAGGCTAGTCTCGATCTCCTAAACTCAAGTGATCCACCTACCTTGGCCTCCGAAAGTGATGGGATTACAGGCGCGAGCCACCTTCCCTGGCCTCAGGGAAAGTTATTTAAGCCCTCTGACCTTCACTTTCTTTATCTGGAAAATGAGAAAAGATAATATCCATGTATACGATGGTGAGGATTTCATGAGATACTGTGACACTTTGACAATTGTTGATTGCTGCCATTTGTAATAATAAGCATTCAACAACTGAGAGCTAGCGTTCCTATGAGCATCATTGTTGTCTATGGCAAGACATGGGGCAGCTTTAGCCTGGAAATGTGTATCAAGGAGGCCACAGTAAAAACTGGGTTGGGATAAATTGTACCTTTTGTTCAAAGTTCCTTCTGTTAGATTTTTTTTTTTTTTTTTTGCATGTAACTTGCCAAATTTCTGGAATAATTGTGGCTTCCTTCTTTTGCATCGTAAGATGTGAGACCTATGATGACACTGACTAGGAAGGGCCACTCCACCAGCAGAGGCCAGGTGACTCCTGCATCGGGAGGTTGTCTTTAGCAGCTGCCTGTGGGAGGTGCAGGGCAAAGAGTCCTGCTGTCGTGCACCGGTGTTGGTAATACTATTAACTGGCCGTGTGCCTCTGATTAGGAGGCTTCAGCATTCTAAGCCTTTGCAGAGTGGTGCAGAGGTAGAGGTGAGGTGGGGGACAGATAACCTCTGAAGTGTCTTTCAGCTCCATGAGTTCTAAATATTTAACAAAGATTTTTACATTGACTGCCTCTTCATTATACATATGACTTAGAATTGTACATTTATTTCCAAAGGATCCAAAAAGGACCTGGCCAGCATTTTTCAGCAGAAGGTGAATGACAATGGGATTGACAAAAGAGATGAAGAAGTCAGGGAGCATTGAAGATTGGAAGGGGACAAAGTGCTGGAGTCACAGGGCAGAGCCCAGTGAAAAGACAAATAAAATGGGGGACCTTAAAAAGATTTTGATTGAATTTGAGAAATCAGGCCAAGTGGGAGAAGAGACTCAACCACATTATGTTCAAGGGAAGGAGGAAAAAGAATGAAGAGAATTTGTCACTTCCAAAGATGGCAGTGACATTGGGAAGGAGATTAAACGGTGTGAGTGTGGTTCAGGACATGCAGTGCTTTCTCTGTCCGGCCGTAGAGAATCGCTAACTGGCAATGGTGCTAGTAACTGAATATTGGGATGGCCTGTCTGCTACTTATTTATTCATCAAGGTGGCATAGATAGGGCTTGGAGGCTGTGTTTTAATGACAATTTAGAGTTAGATGTTTATTGCTTTTTAAAAACTTCATAAGGGAAAAACTTAAGACAATTCACTGACGTACTTCGTGTGTGTCGTTTTCCTTCTGCTTGGAGGGTATCAGCTAAGGGTGCTAATTACAGAGCCCGGGGCCAGGAGCTGGCTCTGCACACACTGGTCTCATCCCGGGTGCTACTGTTGCATGAAGGGCAGAGGTGTTGGTAACCCTGATGCTGGCATATATGCTGTCAAGTTGGCCTATGATTTTAAGAGTATTGATGAATATTAATATTCCAGGTGAATAGTCTGAACTATAACCTAAGTTTAATGAGCTCACCACATATATTGTTGGGCTGACTTGTTAAAACACTCAAATGTAGTTTTTGGAACTCTAGAGATTCACTAATATCCAGGCAGTAAGATTAAAAAACAATAAAGGATAGCTGTTGAGAAACATGATTTTAGATGAAGCCAGAGGAGAAAATTAGATCCTAGAGTAATCAGCATCATCAATGGGAGTTTAACTGGGTTTAGCCATTACGGAATCACTAGGCAGCCTCGAATATTAAAATATTAAAATGCCATGATTCCTTATGTCTGGATCTTACATGATATAAATGCTCTTATTTGTTTAATTATGCTATTAAAGGGAACCAAACAAGAGGTTGACCCACATTCAGGTTGAGAATCAGTGTGACAAATCAGTATTTGTATTTTATAAATATTGTGTATCCTTCTAATATGATTTTTACAAATTCAATATGCTAGACCACATGGTGCGGTCCATGGGATCAGAATTATGTTGTTTAGATTACACTGTGGGGTGTGGTTCCAGCTTTTGGCTGGGCCACATCATCTATAGTTAGGAGGGACTTTACTGAATAGCTCCCTGCTGCAGGGAACAGTTGGTTTCTGTTTATTTGTGGGCTGAGGCTAAGCACAGATAATTGTATTCCCCAAAGATATTTTTCTCAAATTTTGATAAAGTCAAAATAGAAATTAAACTGGAATTCTGTAGCTGATGGCATTTATAGGAGTTTTTGCTAACACAAATGTTATGATATTTTTAAAATGAAGAAAATTGGCCTTTCTCCCAGAAAGGCAATGCTGGGAGAAATTGGCAGATCTATTGAAGCATACACATATGAAACAACAAGTACAACGAAAACCTCTTTCTCTTGCAGACACACACGTGCACACACAAACAGGCTTTGCTGTGAAATATTCAGCAGTGGAAAACCACTCTCTTTCTGTGAAATCTCCAAAGTTTAATTTAACAGAATTTCTTAAGTCACAGCCAAAGTTGAGTCTGGAATTTACAAGTGTAAACTTGAAATATCTCCACCAAATGGCCACAAAGGCCTACAGTTGCCTGTTTCTTTTCTAAACATGCCAAGGTGTGTGTCCATGTGCTTGTGTGTGTGTGCACGCGTGTGTGTGTGTGTACATGCACAGATGATGCTTTTTTTATTTTTAGTAATTCCCAAAACTTATTTTTCTGGATCTTAATACTAGGTTCACATAGCCCTAATTACCATGAAAATTTAGACTGAGTAGGCAAATCATTCAAATGATTCATATGTACTTGAAATTTATGAAGAGAGTAGGTGACCATGTGAAGGGATGCATTCGTTAATTAGTTTGTGAACATCATTTCACATATATATCAAAATGCCACCACCTATGCCATCAGTATATACAACTCTTATTTGTCAATTACACCTCCAAAAAAGCTGGAGGAGAAAAGGCAATGAAAGTTTAGTAAAACCTTTTAGGCTAATTTCCTGCCTGTCTATAAAGACCAAGCAAATCATACGTATTCATTCATGCAACAAATGATCGTGGCACACTTGCTGTAAACCGGCCTCTCTCCTGGGGCTGCGGAGGGAAACACCCAGCGCCCTGCTTTCTGGGAACTTCCCACTTGGTGAGCGGAGGCATCAAAGCACCAGGTTTCAGCCAGCCCTGGGAGAAAAGCCCTGGAAGCGGGGAGAAGTCAGGAAGGAGCATGACCTGGAGTCTGCCGTGGAAGGCTTCCTGAAGGAAGCCGCATTTTAGCTACCAGCTGAAACTAGGCCAAGAGAGAAACTGACATCCGCCAGGCCGGGGAACCAAACATGTAGCCATTCCAGGAGTGGGGAGGGCAAGGGCCCTGCCCAGGAACGAGGCCGGGGTGACCCAGTGCAGGACATGCGACACAGTGGGTCTTGTAAGGGGCATCCAGGTCGGTGGAGGCGGATCCTGCAGGACTTTGTGGGACATGTTTTGGGGTTCTGCCTGCAACTGGGTCAAGGAGCATCCCTGGAAACGTGGTTGAAATGACACGGAGGCTGGCTCCCGGAGTCTCCCACAGGAGAGCAAGGGGATAACAAAGTAAACCCTGCTGGGTTTCAGCAGGGTTTGGAAGTTGAGCACCCCTTTGTTCTCATTTTAGCCCAGTTGCTAGAGAGGCAGAGCCCTGTTTATAGACAAGTTCTCTCGGCTCCTTGGCCCCTCACCCTCCTCCTCTGCTCCTCCCTCCTCTCCTTTTCCTGCTTTGCTGCACCCTGATACCGTGGGATGCTGCCAGGCAAGTCTGGATTTCCTTCCTTGAAGGAGGTTCTTTCCAGCCCAAAAGGATGGGGGAGGTCTAGAATTAAGATGACAAGACTAACAACCACGTCAAGTGTTTGTCCCCACCATTGACTGTGAGACAGACCCCAGAGGAGTGGAGGAGGCTTGGAGAAGTGGAGAGGGCAGGAGGGAGAAAAGGGGAAGAAGGAAGAGAGGACCAAGGTGGGGGCTGGGGTGGCCAGTCGTGGCTTTGAATCGTGACTTTTCAAGGAATGTTCAGGCATGTGTTTTCTCAGATATAAAATAGGAAGAGCATTGGTCTCTGTCTCAGACAGTGTTTGGCACAATTAAACGAAATCATGCAAGTGCACACTGGAAGTGTTCGATAAGTGCATCAAGGTATATGATAATAGCATGATATAATACTACCCTAGTTTTTATTATTTAGGTTAGGAAATATTATAAGTGTGTTTGAAAGTGAAAATGCATTCTCTTTCTCACAACACAAGGAACAAAAATAAACTTCACCAGTGGAAAATGGAAATAGACATCTTAGAATGGTCTTAACAGTAATGATGCTTTAAAACATGTTTTGAAATGCAGGATGTTCAAATTGTAGGTGCATTGCCTACTCGTTCCCCCTTTCAATGATAAAACTGTTTATTTTCACATGGAATTGGATCACTTTTTCAATAATAGATTGTGTAGAAACAGTAAAATATGACTACAACTTCAGTCCTCAGCACAGGATAGGTTCTATGGCATCGAGGAACCTACCAGAAACCCCAGTGACCAACACAATTCAGGAGGGGGACGAAGGGTCCCTGCTGAGTCGCCGGGGCTGTGTCTGTCACCTGTTTTCTTCCTGTGCCTTCTGCGGCACTGATTGCCGTGAATAGGCATTACGTGTGAGGACGATGTGGAAAATGGAGTCTTGGGATAATGTTTGAATATTTGTTTCTGCATTTACATGCTCCATTGATGAATGAAATAGTAAATATTTAAAGCCTGAAACTCTTTTCATTTCTCCTTCAAAGACCCACTTCGAGCCTCTCTGGTCGACGTGGCACTGCGACTCCTCAAGTCATTAATCACTCTTTGTTTGGGCCGGGTTTTATTGTTCGGAATTGTCCAACTCCTGCTCGGATGGGAGAACACCGGGGCACTGGGTTCTTTGTTCAATCCGCGGGTCCTGTGGACACACCTGGGGGCCCCGGGCTTTGTGCAAAGGGCAACGGCATTTTGACTTTGTTGTGTATCTGAGCGCAATTCCTGTACATCTTTCAAAATACAAAAGGTAAAGTGTTGACGTATTGTCTGTAATCATGCAGCTTGACAAATACCTGGCTGCAATTTTTCAGCTCTCTCCCTAGGAATGATCACCTCTTAAAAGCTCTGCCTAATTAATTTTAAAACACATATCAAAATCGAACCACGAACGTTTTATTGGTGACCAATTATTTCTGAAGATTTATTTACGGACAGAACAGGGGAAGAGATCGATATGATTATGTGGTGTGCAGAAATAAAAGAATTACCAGAAGCACTTGATGTTTGCAATTTAATTCACAACTTGGAATTATACAGTTAAACTTGGGTCCTAGGAGGCCCTATGATACAATCCATCATTAGGAAATATTTAGGAACATTATTGGAGAGCTGTGATAATGTATGGCTTTGTAGCTATGTTAATGTGGTTTAGGAATAAAAAATAATAACTTTCACCCCAAAATCATATAACATAAAATTTTTTCTGTCAGCGCATGATTTGTAGGAGGCATCCTGCATGTATGTATGTATCGGCAGTTCTTTATAAGATGCATACATTTTTATTTTGTTTACCAGTATGCAAGGCACTAAAAAGGGTTTTATTTGAAGCACACACTGCAGATTTACAATATTATATTCGAGTGTATACATTTTCTAGCAACAACAAAAAAAGCCCTCTACTGTATCCATACCAGTGACAAATCTGCCAGGAAGTGACTAGTTGATATGCCTTTTTATTACCGCAGCTGCCTTGTTTTTTCTACTCAAAATAAAAGAAAATCACAGGATCCTTAAAATAATAGCTGGCAGCAGGTAGTTACTGGGAAATGCATGTCCCGGCTCTTCACTTTGTAGCATCCATCCGGATGGCAGATTAGAGGCTGGGATCTGCAGGTCGGTGACAAATACACGGGTAATAGCATTCAGCTTGCCTAACTGTAAAAGTGAATTCACTAGTCCTCTTTGTTTGATTGTAGACCTGACATGTCAGATGAGAAGGGGCCTTGGATAACCTGCCAAAACAACAGCACAAATAAACGCCAGACACCGGGGCTGCTTGATGTGGAATTACAAACATCGCTCCCATCATCGATTCAAATGCAGCTGATATGTAAAGCTCACGTTGTGGCTGCCTTAGATGAAGGGGGATCTCGCAGCCCAAGTGCACCCGGCGGGGTGGGGCTGGCGGGAACAAAGTGCCTCCCTGGTACCCCGGCTGCTCATTTTCCTCGGGCAAGGTGGGAGCCGAGGCTCTGCACGCAGGACGGCGATATTTAACATGCATTGGTTTTCTTATAAAAGTTCTCTGATTGTCTAATGTGACAGACTCTGGCATGGGAGACACTGCCACGAAAATTGCCTCCTGTAGCACCGCTTGATTTAAGGGAGAGGCAGCGCTTGGGAGAAAAAGAGTCAAATGCATGCAGCTGGTGGTGTCTTTCTTTACATATTCCCTTTGCGTTCCTGCAGAGCCCCGCGCAGAAGGTGGCAATTGTGGGAAGAGGGCAATATTTACTGGCTGTGTTTCTTTAAGACCCAAAACCACAGTGGTGGTGATTACATTTCTGCCTCATGTTAATGCAAATCCCTATGGTTGATTGCAAGATTTAATTTTTTTTAAAAAAATTGATGCATAATAGATGTACATAGTTTTGGGGTGCATGTGACAATTGAATACATTCATAGAATTTATAAAGATAAAATCAGTGTACTTGGGATATCCATTAACTTCAATAGTTGTCTTTTCTGTGTGCTAGAACCATTTGAACTCTTCTCTCGTTAGGATTCATTCTGTTTTGTAGGTTACATAGGGATTATCAGAAAAGGCTTTTTAAAAAATTCTATCTTAAACTATAGAAAAGGAATCTTTTATGATTTCTTTTGAAATTTTTGTACCAAGCTTTGGTTTTTACCACCTCACTCCAGAATGGCTAAGCTGACATTTTTTTTTTTTCCCACAATGTGCAGATCTGAAAGCTGTAGGGAAAATAAGTTACAAAGACCTGCCCTTGAGCCAGGACTTTTCTGCGTTCAGGGCGGGTCATCGGGGCCGTGGGTTGGGCCACACCGCCACATTGACGGCAGATGACCCCTCCATGGCGCTTGCCTGCCCCGGCACCACCACCCACACTGCATCCTGTTCTGTGCCACCTACAAACCAGAGTCAGAAAGATCTCTTAGCCGAAGTGGTATGAGTGAGATTTAATGCAAGGATTAAATGACCAGTGGTGCTCAGAGAGATTATTGACAGCTGGTTTGCCTCACGGGCAGTCCATTTTGAAAATAACCTGCACATTGAAAATATGCTGTACATTAAAATACACATTCTCTATTTTCAGCCCATGATGTAAAGTTCATCCCAATAACAAAGTACTAAATGATTGTGGATCACTCTGTTTGATCGGAATTCCTTAAAAAGTACAGCCAAAGGCTGTGAGTTGTGATTTCCAGGTCAGCAATCATCCCCAGCAACATGCCTGGATTTCCGATGTTTCAAAAAAGAGCGCACGTGAAATTTACATGCGAATGTTTAGCATCTGCAATGATTCGCACTTTTCTTAGCATGCTTGATGGTGCGTCCCAGGATTTCTAGCCAAGTAGAGTCTTTCAGCATCCTGGTGACATCCTTATTTAGCAAACAGACTCTTCAATCAGAAAACTAAATTTAGGTCTTTGCAAGAAGGTTATGAAAACTAATTTTTCTGTTGCCAATATTGATGATTAAATCACCCTAATTTACATCCTCTGAACTAATCATGGGATGATGTATTTACCTGCTATGTTTACAAGAAGTAGATAGCAACAATTAAGTTTATTTTAACTGTAGTTATGAGAAATACAGTAAACGGTAATAGATGCCAGAAGCAAATAAACATATTAGCAGGAAATGTTCAAATGATCTGAGTAACCCTACAAGCCAGCATAGCAGGTGGTGATATCCTGTTTTTAAATTACATTTCAGCAAGTGAACATAATAAATCCTCCTGTGTTATACATTTCGCTGGTAGCGACTTAGACTCACATTATTCTGTTTGACCTCATTCCTGCTAATCACCATCCTGGTTTTAATAGCTGCCACAGTGAGTGAAACAGTTAATGCAGTATTTCTTGCCGAAAGAGTGCCTGTCAGGCTATTGATGACAAATTAAAATTAATAAAGAAGATCTGTGTTGAATTGGAGGGAATGGAATAACGACGGCATCCACGTGACGGCTGCGGCCTCTGGGGCGCTCTGTGAAGAATAATGTTTTTGGTGTACGTGCATTGTCTTGAAAGGAATGCTAAAACTGCCAAATCTTTGCCTGGAAGACTTCCTGAAATGGGAGCTGTATCCTTTCAGCCATCATCACATGTAATTTATCCCTCAGAGAGTTATTTCCCGTTCTGCACACCTTAGCTCTGTGCTGTAATAATAGTATGTTTCCAAGGTTCTACAATTTTATTTACCTCGGTAAGAACCTTTACAAGAACAATCACATCCACATAGGAGTCCAGAAAAGACGGTAAATAAGTAAAAGTTCCGTACGGCATTTCTGCCTAAAACACCTGCCTCCATGTTGAGGGGCTGGGGCATTTTGTGCAAGAACCAATGCCACTGCTTGTTCCAAGAGCACTGTGCATTTTGGGGCGGTTCTTTCCTTTCTTACAGAAAATGAGGTCTAATCACAGTGCATTTATGTTTTCAGTGGTGGCAGAATGAGAAAGCAAAGTCTTCCGAAGATTATATGAAATTTGCAAAACGCAAATGTTCCTGTAGCTTATGTATGTTTCACATCTACTTATAAATTGCATGTTCAATACAAGGAAAAAAGATTTTGCTGGGAAGGTAGGAGCCGACGGGGAAGGTGAGGCACCATGGGGACGGCTGCTCCGAGATGTCGGGGTCAATGAATCCAGCAAGGCGGGATTATTGCAGCCCCACATAGACAGTGGCCAGTGTCCCAGAGTCAGCGGACATAATTTTGACTGTACCCGGGAGACGCACTCCGAAGCCCGAGATATCTCTTCCCCCAAAGAGGCAGTCCCTAAAGGTCAACGCGGAAGTTGTAGGGAGGTCCGCCCAGGGAGCGCTGGGCATTATGATTGCCCTGGAAAGAGGAAGCAGGACAAAACCAGGGCTCCCAGACCCCTTCTGGAAATCTAGGGGAACCCCAGTGTCACCACCACAGTCCATGAAATGAGGCCTGTGGTCCTCTGGCCCTACGGGGTCAGGAGCCTGCTGTCCAGGCTGGCCTGACCTCAGGCCCGTCCCGCCCTCAGTATATCCTGGATGTATTGTGCCTGTCCCGTCTTCAAGTTGCCAGATCCAGTGTTCTAGGGGAATAAAGAACAGTGGGGAAAAGTCCTGTCCTGGGGCTGTGGGGCCCCGGGACAATGAGCTGACACCTTGGAGACCACTCTCTGGGTGGCAGCCTGTCTCCCCTCCTTCCCTGTTCTGTGCTCCTGACCTGGGGCCACCTGGCCGTGGCTCCTGGACCATCCTCAGGCTTGAGGGTCTGTGTTCCCCCAGCTTTGTGTGCCCAGGTCCATCCTGAGGCTGTGTGCCACCCACCCTGCCCGTTCTCACTGGGCACGCAAGCCATGGTGCACGCCACCACCTTCCTGAACTAAACCATTTTGGGTAGAGATAATCTGAGATTTAACCATTCATTAAAGGACTTGGACATCTGCCTAATTTGGACGGACTTGCTATCTGTGATTTTCCTCTTCTCCCAGCAGCAGGATCTGGGCCACTCCTTGCCTCAGTAGGACTTCCGGCATTGAGTCCATCTGAATGACGCATTTTAAATTTAGAATATATCAGCAAGGAAAAAGAGAATTTGGAATTTAGATATTTGACTAACACAGTGCCCTTCCCTTCCCTTCCCTTTCTTTCTTTTGAGATGAGGGTCTTGCTCTGTCACCCAGGCTGGAGTGCAGTGGCATGATCTTGGCTCACTGAAACCTCTGCCTCCCTGGTTCAAGCAATTCTCCTGCCTCAGTCTCCTAAGTAGCTGGGATTACAGGGCCCGCCACCAGGCCCGGCTAATTTTTGTATTTTTAGTAGAGACAAAATTTCACCATGTTGTCCAGGTTGGTCTCGAACTTCTGACCTCAGGTAATCCACCCCACCTTGGCCTCACAAAGTGCTGGGATTACAGGCATGAGCCACCGCGTCCGGCCCTCTTGCCACATTTCTAAGTCCTGGTCTCACTTCTCTAAAAGTTCATATAGGGGCTTAATTAGAAACTGACATTGTGTATTATAACCTGATGCAAACTAAGAGCCTTCTGCATTTTGTCCAAATGTCTAATGATCATGCAGTACGTTTGATGCGTAGTAGTTGTGTATTCCCTCTGTTGAATAAAGACTCATCCATTTAACAGGGGTACAAAATGATGCTATGTATCCATCTCAGTCCTGAAACCAGGAATTGTTCTACTACAGGATTAAGAGGGTTGACACCTTGAATAATTGAGAGGAGGTCCTTAGCAATTCAGAGGGTTGACATAGACTAGTCAAATTGCTCTGTCTCCGAGTTGTAAAATAAAAATACAGAAAATGAGAAATTAATTCAATTAAACATTTTCCCACCCACATTTTACCTTTCCTCACTGCTCTGGGGAATAATTTATGAAATGTATATCACCAGAAGACTTATTTTTGCCATTATTTTTAACTTAATGAGTATACCTTGCACATCAGAGGGAAAGAACAAAGGTTAAATTTTACATTAACAGCACATTGCAACATGGTATGCAAATATCTATATGCAAATATAAAGCCCCTGGAAGATAAATGTGTTATATTTTTAACCAGTTAACTATGACTGTGAAGTATTGCGTGAGATATTCAGTGGTTTCATTTTTATATCTTTCTTGTAAATAATGCATAAAGTATGTAGATGGTGTCAAAATATGATTAAGCTATTAGCTTTATAGTTTTCATAGTTAAGAATGTGTTCAGCATGGAACCCCTAATAACTCATTTCTAAAGGCAGTGGCCATTATGAAATATTTCTTGTTCAAGTGAACGTTGTCATGTGACATAATGATTTTGCTTAAAACCAAGTTAAATGAGGAGTAAAATTAAACAATATTGCATGAATTGTGTTTGACTAATTTTGTGTCACATTATATTAGCCAAGCTTTCAGAATATGTGTTAATGACAAATAGTGTAAGCCCCAACATACTTTATATGTCTGTACAACCACCCTTAAGTCATTAGCTGTTTAAGGGTTCATTTTGTTTGCAGTTTTTATAGCCAGTGGCTTTTTCTGATGATTTTTGCCCATAAAAGTAGACACCATTTGGAAATAAATGTTACATACATTGCGGGAACTTCATTTTAGTAACAAAAGCTTGGATTTTATAAGAAAACAAAAACAAATCCTTCGAAACTTGAGAAACCCAAGGAGCTAAGCACTATCTCTAAATTAGATATTAAAATGACTTTTCAAAATAGTAATTACTATCTCAGAAGGACTCTTCTCTCACACGGTAGCAGGCTCTTCCAAATAAAATTTGGAGAGAAGACATATGATCATCAACTTTGCAACCTCCTCCAAGGCTAACAACATCTTTAAGATATTCTGATTGAGCTAACCTCTTTGGGATATGCTGTGGGAGGTGGCCTGAATTTGTTACTGGTAAATCATCTGTGATTTGGTCTGCAGGCTGCCCAATCTTGTCGGGAGAGCGTGGGGGGCAGATGGCATTTCCGTGGCAAGTCTGACATAGCAGGAGTGGGGCCAGCGTCACCCGAATAGCAGAAGGGAGCAGGCTAATGTTTGCACTTGCTGCATGGAAGGAGAGCTTGACCTTTACCCAGAGCAGTGGCAACCTCCATGTAGTCATAACCACGATCTTTGCTGATCATATAAAGGGATTTAAAGTGTTGGGAAACACCATGTATGGAGTAATAAAACTGACCGAGTATGAAACAAACATCATGTAGGTATCGATGCTATTCTCCCAAATGTTTGCAATCTCACAGAGCTTTTGCTTCTAGGAGGGGCTCCCAGGTGAGAGGCAGGCTCCTCTGGCCTGTGTGCACGAACAGAAATGGATGGAACTGCATGCCGTGTGCTACCCGTCCGTGCCAGGTGAGGGGGGAGGATGAGCAGGGGGCACAGCCAGCACCCAAATGTGCTAGGACAAGATCAGAAGATTGAGAGACATGAACATAATCCAATCAGCACAGACCTCTCTTTTTTCTACGAAATTCCCTGGACCACCATGAATATCTTGAAGGACTCCGTTTGTAGTCATTAGCAAAACACTGTTATGTTTTAGGCACTTTTTGAGGCTGAATGTGATTAAATGCAGTGCTATTTGGTGCTAAGGCCATGGATCTGCAATCGGATGCTGGTGTTAGGAAGCAGGTGATGAACTGGACCAAGGAAGACCATGGGGTGGGTGGGAGGCATCTGCTTGGGCACAGGTGTGCCCTGTGACTGCAGCACCAAGTAACTAGGAGTGGGCTGGGGACTTGGCACAGTGACAGGACAGAGTATTTGAAAAGGAGGAGAAAGACCCACACACATAGCATGATGATGATGATTATGATGACTGAACACGTTTACACCAGCATTCAATTCACGTGCTCAGGACTGGGTGTTGTATGCACAGAAAGAAGATCTGAACACTTCGTAAAGGCCGTGATGACAGCAACGTAAAAACACGCGCATATCTCCACATGGAAAACTATATGGAAGGAATTGCTACACCTGGTGGACAGCACCTATCCAAGGATTAGTGGATCCTCTCTGATTTCTGTTTTCTTTTTCATTCTTTTTTCTGAATTTTCCAAATTTCCTTCAATGTGCCTTCAATTTTAACTTTGCTTCAATTTTATGGAATTTATTCATTTTCAAAAATTGAGATAAATATAAGGGATAAACAAAATACCTCAAAATTTCAGCACCCAGATTGATAGCCTCTGTTGGCATGAAGGAAAATACATTTCAAATACAATATACATATTAGAAAAGGGCTGGTAGCAGATGAGAGTTACTGTCCTGGAACCTGATCACTTGTTACTCTCAGTACACTGAAGTGCTATTTTGGCACTGAAGAGAATGCAATTGTCAAAGACAGTTAGAAAATGTAAACAAAATGTAGTGTGAAAGCTTTACTCCTTCCATTGTTCTCCTAAAAGTAATTGACACTACTTTTAAACATACTTGTAAAGAGGTGGTTATGCATATACCTGCATGTGTCTCTGTGTGTGTGCTTATAATTTACACATGAGGGATCATATTACATAAACCTGTTGCACCTTGCTTTTTTCGAGGAATATATCTTGGATCTCTTTCCATGTCATCATGGATATATCTACCTCCTTCTTTTAAAAGCCTGCGTGTATTATTATCCTTTTAATCAGTCCTTAGTTTTGGAAAACAATTCCCCACCGCATGTTAATTTTATCACAGGGAAGAAAACCAGAACCAAACAGTATGAATTGTTTTGAAGAGCCCATGCGTGTCATGAACTAGATTATTTCAGTGTGTGGGAAACAGACAGACCATGATTGTTCTCACTTGACCTTGGTGAGTCCCATGCCCCTCTGTCCTCTGTGGGCCCAATCTGTGTACCAGGCCCTCAGGACTCCAGGGCAAAGCACAGCCTTGCACTGCAGCCCAGAGGCAGGCAGGCTTCACCACGTTCTTCGGGATGGCCTGGGACACGTCGCTGAACTTCCCAGGGCTCTGGGTCTCAGCTGGATAAGGCAGAGCTCTGGTGTGATTGATGTGTGCCCCAGTGGCCCAGGGAGCTCTCAAGGTCCTTCCAGCACTGAGATTTCTGATCCTGTATCACTGAGGTGCCACAGGGCCAGAGTCTCTGACAGTCCTAACCCGTCCAATGCCAAAATAGCACTCTGTTGTATTGGACATGGAGAAGTCACCAGTGGTCAAGCCCTATGATGCTAACTCTGGTCTGCTGCCAACTAGTGGGTGATGAAACCGCTCAGGGTCCCCGATGTTTCCTGGGAATGTTTGGCCTGACATGGGAGCTCCTCAGTCCTCTCCTGTTCAAGTGATTGTTTTTCATTTAAAAAACAGTCAAATGTACTAATTGTGAAACATTCAACAGTGAAGTAAAAGCGAATGCCCAGCACTCCTGTGCCAACTTCCCTAGAGGAAACCACCCTGAACTTGTATTTCCTTTCAGACATTTTCTAGCCTAACCAGCAGGCACACATCTATTCAGCTGTGCACATGTGTGTGCTGCCTTCTGCACCAATGAGACCCCATTTTCAGCTAGCTTCTTGTTTTCTTTGCCCTCTGCAGCACACACAGATGCCTCCATTCTTGTCCACAGCTGTGCAGTAGTCCATTGAATGGGCAGGCATTTCGATGGTATAGATAGGATCTCCCACTATCACAAACAATACTACAACTAATATCCACAGATGAACATGTACTTGTATCTGTGAGTGGTTCCATTGGTTACGGTGGGATTGCACCATCAGTGGGAGATCATGCCCAGCATTTTATCGGATGTTGTGAAATGTTCTCCAACCTGGTTTCCCACTGGAGTCCAGCCAGGGTGATGGGGATTTCCTGATCCCATAAACCTTCACCAACATGGGGTTTTATCAACCTTTTCAACCTTTGCCAACATGATATGGTGCAAACAAGAGTCTTGGTTGACCTGATGACTCTCCAGCAGCTTCTCTCTCCTTCCCTTCTCTCCCACTCCCCTTCTCTCCCCTCCCCTTCTCTTTCCTTCCTCCCTCCCTCCCTCTCCCTTCCTTCCCTCCCTCCTTCCTTCCTTCCCTCTTTCCTTCCTTCCTTGCCTCCCTCCCTCTCTGCCTTCCTTTTCTTTCTTTTTTCTTTTCTTTCCTTTCCTTTCTTCTTTCTCCTTTCTTTCTTTCTTTTCTTTCTTTCTTTTCTTTCTTTCTTTCTTTCTTTCTTTCTTTCTTTCTTTCTTTCTTTCTTTCTCTCTCTCTCCCTTTCTTTCTTTCTTTTTCTTTCTTTCTTTCTTCTTTCTTTCTTTCTTTCTTTCTTTCTTTCTTTCTTTCTTTCTTTCTTTCTTTCTTTCTTTCTTCTTTCTTTCTTTCCCCTTCCCTTCCCTTCCCTCCCTCCCTCCTTCCTTCCTTCCTTCTCTCTCTCTCTTTCTTTCCTTTTTACTTTCTTTCTTCTTCTTATTTTTTGAGACAGGTCTTGCTCTGTCTCCCTGCAGCCTCACCCTCCCAGACTCAGGTGATCCTCCCACCTCAGCCTCCTGAGTAGCTGGGACCATGGGTGTGTGCCACCACACCCAGCTAATTTTTGTATTTTTAGTAGAGATGGGCTGGTCTCAAACTCCTGAGCTCAAGCGATCTGTCTGCCTTGGCCTCCCACCGTGCCGGGATTACATGGATGAGTCACTGTGCCTGGCCCGGCAGCTCATTTTCTGCATCTTTGTGCCCTGTGGCTTTTTCCTTTCTGGCCATCTTCTTCACTTTCTGATCTGGGGTCTCTTCAGTTCCCAAGATGTTAGCTCTCATGTCTGTGCTCTGGCCTCCAAGTCTCAAGTTGGGGAGTCCCAGTATCTCTTCTGGTTGCAATCATTGCTTTTGGTCATCTCTCCTTACCCCATCCACATTCCACATGTCCAAACAGGGACCTTTCATCTGCCTGTCTAATCTTGCCTTGCAGACTTTGGTACTCAATACAAATGTGTTGAATAATTACATGAATAAGTGCAAGGATATCAGGACAAGGAGGAGGCAAGGTTTAAATTTTTCTACTGTTTTCTGACCAATCATATATGAAATGGGGTTTGATATAATAGGAAAGACATTTTCTACTTCCCTTTCTCTTGCAGAATGAAATTGACTTTGCATGATGCATCATTATTTAACCAGTCCTCATTTTTAATTTTAAAAAACCCCCTCATGTTAATTTTACATTTAGAAAAAAAACCCCAAGAAAACAATATGTGTTGTTTAAAAAGACTGCACACACTGCACACGTGGTCCCTCCTGTGTGGAAGTGAGGGTGCACTGAAGCTGCTACCGCAGCGCTGTCTGGGGGCCTCGTTTCTCTTCTTCTGCAGGATTTCCCAAATTTGAGTCAAAACTGGTGGCATTTGGAAAAGGTATGATTAACTTTAGGATGTGCATATATATATATGTGTGTGTATATATATATATGTGTGTAAATATATATATATGTGCATATATATATATATAACTGGAATTGTGATACCATTTGATCCAGCAATTTATCTTAAAATTCAGACTCATGTGTAAAGTCAAAAGATGCTTAGTAAAACTCAGTGCCCAAGAGTAGAGGACTGGCTCATTAAATTATGATACAGCCACAGAATGGAATAGATGCAGTCATTAAAATAGCATTATATATGTGCGTGTGCATGAATGTATGTATAGACACGTCATTGTGTAAACATAGATGCATACATGTACACATACATTGATACAAGAAATGTTCACAATATAGTGTTAAACAAAAAAGCACGCTTCAAAACACGGTGTAGGGTATAACTCATTTATCTGAAAAATATATATATTTTAAATTGAGACAGAGTCTCACTCTGTCGCCCAGGCTGGAGTGCGGTGGCGCAATCTTGGCTCACTTCAACCTCTCCCTCCTGGGTTTAGGTGATTCTCCTGCCTCAGACTAGCAAGTAGCTGGGAGTACAGGGGCCCGCCACCACACCTGGCTAATTTTTTGTATTTTTACTAGAGATGGGGTTTCACCATGTTGGCCAGGCTGGTCTTGAACTCCTGACCTCAAGTGACGTATCTGCCTCGGCCTCCCAAAGTGCTGGGATTATAGTCATGAGTCACCACACCTGGCCTGAAATATATATTAATATGCATACATTTATGGACATAAAGTCTAGAGAGATATAGTCACCAAAATGTTAATTATGGTTGCCTTTTAGCACTTTTTTCTTATCTAGATTGTATAGTATTTCTACAAAGACAATGTATTAATTATATAAATAATAAAATAAATATTTAAATGAAAACGCCCAGAAGTTTCAGTATCAGCCAACTACTTGAATGTGTTGGCCCTGGGAGGAACCGCAAATGTAAAGCTACCGATAAGGTCGTCTTGCCCATTCCCCAAAGTTGAACAAAAGACAAACACGGCAAAACTCAATTATCCCCTGCCTCTCATGTCCCCCTTCAGCTAGTGCTTAATTTTACACCTGCCCTCTGCCACGAGCCTCTTGACAGAATACACTCACTGTCTGCATGTCCTGTGCTCCCTCTGCAGACAGCCTCCTTGCAGCTGGATCTGCCCTCACTGCCTCCTTACCCTGATGATCCTCTTGCTGGGTTCAGCAAAGACCTCCAGGTTGGCTTGTCCAAAGCCCTGTCCACAGTCCTCTTCCTAGTCAGTCCTATTGGCCTTGGTGCCTGCACTCTCTTCTGGTCTCTCCCTTGGTGGGTGTGGCTCCTAATATGAGTTGAATTGTGTCCCCCCAAAAATATGTCGAAGTCCTCACCCCCGTATCTATGAATGAGACCTTTTTTGGAAAGAGGGTCTTTGCAGATATAATCAAGTTAAGATGAAGTCATATAGGATAAGGGTGGTCCCTGATCCGGTTTGATCAGTGTCCTTATAAAGGAAGGTGACATGACACAGACAAGCACAGAGGAAAGACGGCCATGTGAAGACAGAGGCAGAGACTCGAGAGATGCTGCCACCAGTCAAGGAAAACCTGGGGCCAGCAGAAGCCAAAGAGACAGGGAATGGTCTTGCCCAAGAGACTTTGGATGCAGCGTAGCCCTCCCAACAACCTGACTTTGGGTTTTTGTCCTCCAGAACTCTGAGAGAATGAGAGTCTGTTGTCATACGTCACTTGGTTTATGCTAATTTGTTATGGCAGTCACAAGAAACCACTATAGCTCCTGAGACACAAGGGACCCGAGCAGTCCGCTGGGCCTGGGAGCATCTTCTCTTTGTGCTGAAGTATAGGGAACACAGAGGCATCGTTTTCATTGATATGTCTAGGAAATCCAACCTTATTATTTATATTAGATTGGTGCGAAAGTAATTGAGCTTTTTACCGTTACTTTCAATGGCAAAAACTGCAATGACTTTTGCACCAACCTAAAGTAAAACTTAAAAAACAAAGTGAAAACTGTTTGTTTGTAAAAAATCAAAGTAAAACTGTTGTTTCTTCATTTGGGCAAAGCCTGGCTTGTTTTTCTGGGATCTCACTGCCTCAGGAGGGCAGTGGCGAGGGCCATGTGATCAGGTCTTAGAATGGAAGCAGAAGGATGTGCAGGAGACAGAGCTGAGAGGCCACAGAGAGAATGGACCCCCACAGGAGGTCAGGCCACATGCTGCACCCTGCAGAACTGAGTCCATCAGGGGAGGCCCAGAAACAGGTTAGTGCCCACAGAGAACAATGAGGTACGTATTAATTTTGTCTGGATGCATGTCCTTCCCATTTTTGGGGGCTGTCCTTGGCCTCCTGCACGGCTGTGTCCCCAGAGCCCTTCCCTCAAGGATCATTAGGATGACCACAGCGGAACCAGCAGAAAGTGATTCTGGAGTACCCAATGGGCAACAGCAGGGGCTCCAAATCGGCTTCAAAACGTTGTTGACCGTTGCTTCAAGGTTGCATTGATGAATGCTGCCTTGCAAGAGGCCTTCATGAAAAAAAAAAAAAGAAACCCAACTTGTTCAAAATTGAAGTTGTACTTGTTCCTTAAAGAAAATTTGAACAATGCAGGGAAGCATAACAATCCGTAAAACCACCCCCGAGTGGGCACCAACGAACCGCTCTTCCCAGATACCGGTGCGCCTCTAGGTATTGCCTTGTCTGTGGGCTTCCGTGCCCGCTGAGCTGAAATAGCCTCTCCATCACCTCCTGTACCTCTTCTTCCTGGCACTTACCACCTAAAGATCATAAACATGATTTTTTCTTCTCTTAGCAGAATATAAGAGACAGAGAGAGAACTTGGTTTCATTTTGCTTTTATTATTTTTTCTTACAGTTAGAACCTAGAGGAATGCCTAGACCAGTGGTTCTCAAAGTGTGATCCGTGGACCCTTGGGGTCCCCAGGACCTTTTCAGGGGTCCACAAGGTCAAAACTATTTTCTTAACACAAGGTCAAAACTAGTTTTCCAACAACTAAGATGTTGTTTGCCTTCTTCCCTTTCATTCTCTCATGAGTATATGGTGGAATTTTCCAGCGTCTACATGAAGTGTGATATCATAACAAATTGAATGCCGAAGCAAACATGGGAATCCAGCTGTCTTCTATTAAGTGGGACTTAGAGAGATTTACAAAAATGTAAAACAATACCACTCTCTTTATACGTTCTTTGTGTTAACATTATATTTATTATTATTTTAAAGAGGAATTAATGAAATATTTTTAAAATGATCAGTTTTAGTCCTTAATATGTAAATATCAATAGCTATGTTCTATATACACAAAAACTCTTTGCAGTTTTCAATAATTTTTAGTTTGATAACTGCTGGCCTAAACCATAGACGGTACTAGAAAATACTTGTTAAATAAAAGAATGAGTGACTCAGTTGAGGTTACTATTTCAATGTCATTTTCAGTTTTCTTTACATGTATTTAAAGATTTTATAATTTTGTGTCTTGCTTTTTTTCTTTAAGCATGTAAGCTGAAAACCATTCCTATGCTATTGAACATCTAAAAATAGCATTTTGAATGGCTGCATCATAGCCCATCCAGTGTAGCAGTTCTCACACACAGGGGAGCATCAACATTGCCTGTGGAGCTTTAAAAAATGATGTAGATGCTCCTGGGTAGGGTGTGGTCATTTTTAGGTGCATTGTCACATGGCTTCCCTGAAGTCGCACGGATTCCTATTTCGCTTCCCCGCATATGAGTGGGCCACACTCATTTTCATTGTCAGCCGCATTTTTATTAAAAAAAAAAAATAGTGTACCACTTGTGTTTTGATGGTCATGATCTTAGACCATTTGCGCTACTATTATAAAATACCGGAGACTGGCTAATTTATAAAGAAGAGATGCTTTATTTTTTCACAGTTCTGGAGGCCTGGAAGTCCAAGGTCCAGGTGTTGGCAGAGTCGACATCTAGGGAGGGCTGCCCCCTGCTTCCAAGATGGCGTCTTGCCGCTTCCAAGATGGCGTCTTGCCGCCGTGTTTGTGTCCTCAGAGGGCCAGAGTAGAAGAAACCAGGTAGCTCTCTGGAGCCTCTTTCATAAGGGCATTAATCCCACTCCCGAGGGAGAAGCCTTCATGACTTAATAATGCTCCCAGAGGCCCCATCTCATAATACCATCTCAGTGAGGTTTAAGTTTTAACCTCTGAACTTTGGAGGGATCCCAGCATTCAAACCATAGCAGGCGCCTCTGGGATTACTGTGGACCGAGTTCTTCTCAGGTGTGCCTGAGGCGGCTGTGTCTCCTACTCTGCGAACCATCTGGTTGTGCTGTCTAAGGAGGCCCCTGAGAAGGCCCACCTTCACCGCTTGTGTTTTCATTTTCTCCTCTACACCAGGTGAGCTACATAATTGCCTCTGGAGCCTGAAACTCTTCTGAAGGTCTCCTGCATGTGGTCTTAATCTGGAATTATAGCAGGTGACTCCCACAGATGCCCTGACCTGCCTTGCTGTTGTTTATACCTTCAGGAAAGGCATCTTCAGCCGCATCTCTGCTGTGGATTCAGAAACCCCCTGACAGGTCGATGAGTAGCACAGTGCTCCATTGGTGACCACTTCAACCTTCCAAGGACCCCAGTCAGGCACTGAATGTGTCCTTGAAATACACTGAGTTTCTAGCGCGTATAGAACATGGCCACAGAGAGAGGGCCTGGAACAGAGAAGGAAACACAAATGGCCAAGAACCATGGGAGCACCCCTGAACCTCACTCTCAAGTAACAGGCACAGCAGGGCAGGCCAGGAATGGTGGCTCACGCCTATAATCCCAGCACTTTGGGAGGCTGAGGTGGACAGATTTCCTGAGCCCAGGAGTTCAAGACTAGCCTGGGCAACACGGGGAGACTCTGTCTCTACAATAAATAATAAAAAAAAAATTAGCTGGGTGTGGTGGCATGAGCTTTGGTCCCAGCAACTCAGGAGGCTGAGGCCGGAGGATTGCTGGAGGTTGAGGCTGCAGTGAGCTGTGACTGTGCCCACTGCTCTCCAACCTGGGCAATAGAGCAAGACCCTGTCTCAACCAGTCTCAAAAAAAAAAAAAAAAATAGAAAGGAAAAGAAAGAAACAGACACAACAAACTAAAGCAATGAGGCGCCATTTTCCCCTGCTGGATAAGCAGAGATTAAATAAATAACCCCTCATGCTCAAGAGGGTGCAGCTGCTGAGGGTGTGACAGGGACACCCTACTGGAAAGCAAACTGCTATTTCCCGTAGAGAAAAATTAACAGACTCCCAAAAGGGGCATCATAAGGTGAATTCTGGAGCATTAGTAAGATAGACGATTATGCTGGCATTCAAGTTAGTATTTTTTTGATAACTTATCACAACATGAGAATGTATATTTTTTAAAAAGTCTGACTTCAAACCTCTATATGTTATTTTTCAAATTATGTAAGAAAGATGGATATATAAAAAAAGTCTGGGAAAAAGACATAAAAATGTTAATGGTGGTAAGTTACACCTGGATGTGGAATAAACGTATGTGTGTGTGTGTATGTGTGTGTGTGTGTATATGTGAATTTTTTTCTCCATTAAGTTTCTGCAATAAACCAAAAATATTTACTTTCCTGAAATCAACGTGACTTGCAAACATGAAGTTTTTAAGGTCCCAGGTTTTTGGAGACTCCTATACGCAGCTGAAATAGATATTTAACTTGGGAACTGGACAAGTTGGAGTTTATTGCAGCAGAAGAGTAGAGAGGTGGGTGGGAGAAAGAGAGGATTCCAGGAAGAAAGAATAGCAAGAGTAGAGGCTCAGAGGGGAGACCACACAGGATCTGTGTGAGAGGTGACCTGGAAATCTATAGAACAGGTTTCAGCAAACTACAGGCCTTGGGCCAAATCCAACCAGCTCCTTGTTTTTTATAAATAAAGTTGTTTTGAACACCATCACACCATTTGTTTATAGATTGCCTATGGCTGCCTTGGGCCATGATGGCAGAGTTGAGCCATAGAGGCTGAAACAGTATGGGCCTGAAAAGCCGAAAATATTTCCAATCTGTCCCTTTACAGGAGAAGTCTGCTGAGCCATGGTCTGGAAGATGTCAACCACAGAGGACTCCTGGGCTGTTCTAGGGAGTTGGGCTGTTGTCCTGAGGGCAATGGAGAGCCACTGACCCATTTGACGGAAGAGAATGACCAGAGCAGATTTGCACCTGTGGAAGATCTCCCTGGCACAGTGGGGAGCACGGGCTAGAGGGGACAAGGCCAGGGGATAAACCAGGAGTTGGCATGAAGGTAATAAATTGAGAGATGGCACTGGGCTGGATCAGAGTAGCAGTGGCAGGGCTGGAGAAACGTGGAGAGACCAGAGAGAGACTTAGTACCTGGAAGTGACAGCAGTGGTGGTTGTGGACTGAATGCAGGGGGTGAGTTGAGGAAGGGCTCAGGGGCGACTGCCAGGTCCTGGCTCAGAGAAGCCCCGCAGGACACAGGAAGGAGGGAGTCTTGGGCGGGTGTTGTGGTGGAGAGATGGCTCTGGGTGGGAACATCCTGTCTGAGGCTCCTGGTCAAGGGGAGATGTCCAGAGGCAGCTAGGCCTGGGGCTTCGGGGAGAGAACTGATTTAGAATCCAGCAGCCTGCAGATGTGAACTTCAGCCTGGGGTGTGAGTGGAGAGAAGGGGAGGGGTCTGGGCCAGAGCACGCCTGTGGGAGGTGGTGTCTGCCAAGGGGGTGGGGAAAACAGTGGTGGGAGGTGGGAAGGAAACAGGGATCATGGACTTCAGAAATCAGGGAAGAATGACTTTGTCAAGGAGGATGCTCCAGGGTCGCAAATGCTCCAGAGACGTCAAAGTGAAGAAGGGTCCATGAGCGTATATACCCATGGGCGTAAAGGATTCGGCCACTAGGAGGTTGCTGATGCCTTGCCGAGATCGGTATCTGTGCAGCAGTGAAGTGGAAATCTGGCCCCCCAGCCCTCCTTTCTTTCCATGTGGTCTCTTTCCTCATCTCCTTGGACATCAAGGTGCGGGCTGAGGACAGTTAGCCAGGGCCATCATCATCAAGGGTCGTCACCCACGTAGGTCTTGGCTGGGGCACTAGCTGGGCCTCTGATAATTTCACTAGCCTTAGTAACAACTTCAGTAATGACATGGGTGCCGCTTCTTCTGTGGGAAACAAAAGAAAGAAATGACCTGCTAGGAATGGAGTGTTGATTCCTGAATCTGTAGATCAGTACCATTCCATAGAACTTTCTGCTCTGATGGGAATGCTCCTTATTTGCTCTGTCCAATATGGGAGCCCCTGGCCACAGGTAGCTAATGAGTGCTTGAAATGTGGTTAGTGCAATTTAGGAGCTAAATTTTACAACTGATTTAGTTTGAATTCATTAAAGTTAAAATTTAAATAGCCATATGGGACTAGTGGCTCTCTTGTATTGGATGATGCAGTTAGAGATGATAATTTTTTCAGAGTTGAGAACTGTTCCTTTAAAATAAGAATATATGATATTGACTTCAAGTAATTACTCTTTTAATACGCTTCTTTCAATGTACCGAGGATGTATTCACAAACCTGACACTCAGATATGTTGGTATATCAAAGCAATTATGTCGTTCTATTTATCTAAGAGTCCATTTAGACAAACTCCTTGAGTGTGAAGGGATTTGAAGGAGAAGGTACAGCATATAAGGAGAGTTTTGCCCTTGCTCCTTCCTTGAGTCCACTTTGAACACTATTATAATTTTATCTGAGCACAACTGACATCATCCCACTAAGTAATCCTGGTGCACAGTGGCCGGGTCCCCTGCCCTGCCCTGATGGACGAGCTTGGTGGAGGCTCTCAGAAAGGCCTCTCACAACAGCTTCTAACTGACCTGGTCCCGAGCTGTGGATGGGCAGATCCCCCTATCACTGGAATGAGGGCCCACAGGAGGAGTAGTTTTACATTTTCAGGTGTAGCTCTAATCTGGTGGCATCCTCACGGGCAGTGTCCCGGGCCCAGAGAGCAATTTGCAGCTCTCTCCTGTGGCCTGCGTTCCTAAAGCCTGGGAAGCGAGCTCCTTGGCAGCCTCACAGCTTGGGGAGCAGGATGAAATAATTACTCCTAAGGTGTCCTTATGCTTCCCACCCATGATTTCCCTGCAAAGTTAACAGTGAGTGCCTTCTCTCTCTGGGGTGGGGGTGGGGGGACAGAAGGAGGGAGATAGATGCCAGGCCTTGGAGAGGCTTGTTCACTCACCTGGGCAGGCCCCGGGCGTGCCTCTGCTGCAGCATGTACCTGCTCCGCATCCCAGGCCCCCAGGGCCACACGTACAAAGCTCAAAAAAATAAGAAGTCCTTCTTAACATCTGGCTCCCAAACTCATCCGTGGCCCCAGCTGACCTGAACTGACATGTGACTCTTTGGGGTCTTTATGCGTCCATCTTGTGCCAGTATTTCTAGGTCACTGTAGAAGTACACAGGTGTTTGTCAGCGCCAGGGCTAGGGTGAGGTGGGTGCGGCACCCAGGCTCTGAGCATTTCCTTGAATCTTGTGCCCTGGGCCCCTCCCTTACTTGTCCTGGTCCCGTGCTGTGTTCGAGGTTGCCCTGGATCCACCAGGTATTTATGCAATCTAATGGGGGATTTATTATGTCTTATGCATAATATCCTATAAATAGCATTTACATACTACAAGGCATTATCTTTCTAAAATCTGAAAAATTTGAATTCCAAAACACATCTGGCCCAAGTTTTCGGTGAGGACTTGACTTGGGTTAAAATCATCCACTTGGGTCCGGAGAGCCCCATGTCATCCTTGTCCATCCCCGCACACAGCAGAGTGCATGGCACACAAGAGGAGCGTGCTGGGGTCTGGTGCACACCAGCGGACTGAAAGGCAGCATCTTGCCAGTTCCTGGAAACATGGGTGGCTTGGGTCCTGGAGAAAGGCCTCGGCCTGAGACCACGGTGGTACTGGCAAGGGTTGGGGCTGGGCACTTTGACCAAGGGAGCGTTGGTGGCCCCTCTCCACTCTGGAATCGCCAGATTTGAAAGGTATTTGCAGCACAATTAATAGTGATCTAGGTCAGTGTCCCAAAGGTTCAGAAAGGTCCCCAGACAATGAGAAGTTTGCAGAAGGTTTGTTTAATCAACAGTGCTGATGTGAGATGACAGCATGGAGGCCAGCAACGGAGTTCAGCTCCAGCAGGGAGGGACTGGGGTGGATTTCAAAAACAATATAGGATAGTTTCTGTGAGTTTCAGACCAGTGAGAAGTTTCTTTAGCATAAGTATGTCCTAGATACTTTAACTAAAGTACTGGGGCATACATATAATAAACTTTTATTTGGGATTCAGACTTGACTGGTGTCCTGTGTTTATCTGGCCATGGGCTGGGAGAAGTTAGCCAAGAAGGTCAAGCTCTTGACCCTTTGGGGAACTGGAGAGGAAGAGAAGACACCAGACGCCAGCACCAAAGGACCAGCCCTGACAAGGGCCCAGTGGCCCAATGGCAGTGAGGGAGTGGCCTGGAGAGGGTGCCAAGGGCCTCAGTCCATTGGGAACCCCCAGCCCCTGCTCCAAGGGCACCAGGATGGGGGCACAGTGGGCTCCTCACTCCACTGCAAGAGGAAGGGGACTCAGGCCTGCTCCATGCTGGATCCACGGGCAACACCACCATGGCCAGTTCTGGGTATGGAAACAGGTAGCAGCTGCCACATGCCCAAGTCAGCCCCTGCTCTGCACAGGTGCAGGGACCAGTCCCATGCTCCACCGCAGCAGGGCATGCAGCTGTAAAAGCTGGTGAGGTGGGGCCGCAGGAGCCCAGCCTCTCTCCCTCTGCCGAGAGGGAGCCTGTTTACAGGCTCCTGTTAGCCCACACCAGAGCAAAGCCCGGACCTCTTAGAGGGCGGCTTGAATCTGCTAATGTGGTACTTTCTTTATTTTTGAGTTTTTATTAACACGTTCTCAGCAAATTCTGTACAGCTCACACTGTTAGACTAACAACCCAAGATTGACTCCACCTGAGCATATTCCTCTCCATTGCAGAGTATAATTGCAATGTGAAGTCAAAACTAAACTGTTGGCAGAGGGTGTCTGTCAACCTGCTTTAAGGCTGTATTCAGAGCCAATTTAAATGCCTTTGCAAGTTACATGGAAGTAGTCTGGGTTGATTTTTCCAGATGGTGGTAGCATTTTTCAGAAGCACCAATGTTAAATTGATATTGTATGACATGGTACAAAACCTTAGGATGTCTTCATTGGAGTTACGGAAACTACTCACCTTGGGGACTTGATCCAGCCCCAAAGCAGCACGGAGCGGGCGGGCCCACCGTGTTTGTATGGGTCTCTCAGGCTACATAGACAGGAGGCTGCTCTTTCTCTTGGCAAAAGAACTCACTCTTCTGTCTCGGTTGTGGGCATGAATCTAAGATAAATGAACAAAAGCCCCATTCCATATTATTAAACGATGTCCTCAGCCCGTCCCCAAGCCACCTCTGGGATGCCCTCTGCATTGCATCTCTTTATGACCTGCATGTGTGGTTGCTGTGAGCTCAGCCTGGCATTACCCTCTATGTGGGATATAAAGACACCTCTCTTTCTGGCCCTAGAAATGCGGCCTGCCATCCTTGTCCTTGACTACCCCACTCAGGATGGTAAATATGGCTCTCAGGAATACATTACTGTGCATCTTGAGCCTCCAACATGGTGAAAGGGACAGAGATTCCTCTTATGCGTGGTTTTAATGCTTCAAGGAATTTCCCCGCCGACGGGGGCCTGGCAGGAGCGTCCTCATCCGGGATGCTGTGACATTATGACTGAATGCCTAAACCAGTGTGAACAGAAAGCAGAGGGCATTAGGAGGAGCTGCTCACACACCAAAGTGTCCCAGTGCATTGGCTCCCTGGGAGAGAAACCGGCCAAGCTTTGAGAAGTGAGAAAGGCCTCCGAGACGACAGGCCCAGTGGTTGGTCCTGGAGGGAGGCCTGGACTCCCGGAAGTGGACCGACTGTGTTTTGGTGGCACAGACAGTGAACCAAGGTTCCTCGTCATCCACTAACTCGCCTTTGCCACCAACCCTCCAGCCCTGGCCTCTTGGGGGACTCCCCAGGGAAGGGACGTGCTGCTCGCATGTGGGATTTGAGGATGTCGTTCTTGGGGCCACGGTCTGTTCTTACTGACTGCTGAACTGACCCTGTCACCATGCAGACCCGTAAGGGGGCGAGGATGGGCATGGAAATCCCACATTGTGTGTGGCTTGAACACCAGGGCCAAGCCCAGGTCCAGGCTAAGTCACTTTGACTTCTGCCTGTGCCATTTCCAAGTTATGACTCTGCCTCCCTTGGTGCTGAGAGCAGCCCTGTGAAGTAGCTGTTTGCATTTTAGATTTTATTTTTCAGGGCAATTTTCCATTTAGGAACACTGAGTGGAAAGTATAGAGTTCCTGCACAGGCTGTCCCTCCTCACACATACTGTGAACATCTTGCATCAGTGTGGTGCATCCATTACAGTGGATGAACCAATATTGGTGCCTTAATGGTAACTAACGTCCAGAGTTTCCATTAGGGCTTGCTCTTGGTGATGCACCTTCTACGGGTTTGCACCTATGTGTGACATCACGTATCCGTCATCACAGTCTCATACACAATAGTTTCATTGCCTACCAAATCCCGTGCTCCGCCTACCCATCCCTCCTTCTCCCGTACTCTGGCTGCTCATCTGTTTCCTGACCCCATAGTTTTACCCTCTCTAGGATGTCACATGGCTGGAATCGTGCAGTACCTCGTCTTCTTTCGCCGCCTGATTTATATATAAGTTTCCTCCGTGTCTTTTCATGGAGCAAAATCTCATTTGTTTTTTTATTGCTGACCACTATTTCACTGTATGAATGTACCACAATTTGTTTAATCTGAAGTCATATTTTGAGTTTTGTTTTACAGATGAAGAGACAGACTGAGCTTGGCTAAGTGTTTTGCTGTAAGTCACACAGTTTGGAAGATTTGGAATTCTGGACAACTGGACTTGAAACCACCATGATGCCTCACTGCATCCCCGACTTGGGAAATCCGAGTCATCATTTGTAATGATCTTCTGCATCATTCAGATGTCATTCAGTACTCACTAATGTGCTTTCTACACGGCTTTTCCGAAATAGCTGGCATCTGCAGCACTCTGGGCCGGAGACTTCCCGGGGGTGAAGATGGTGTAGGCGCATCCAGTGTGGACAGGAGGTGCCAGTTTAAAGGATGACTGTTCATGGCCACCTCACAATCTGTGCACCCCCCTGGTGCCCAAGTAGCAGGGACAGGGCTGTGAACTTCCTGCAGGGACCAAACCCCACTATTGGCAGCTGCTGGTCTTTGTGATTGCTCCTATGTCAGGCTTGGGGGACAGAAGACATTTTTCTTTTGCTGAAACCTGAAGGGGAACAAATCGTGTAAAACTTGGCATCTAAATCTTCCCTTTCCCTCTAAGGAAAACCTCTGCAATCATTCTGCAAAGTATTCTCTCTCCTTTTGTCCTGTTTAAGATTCGGGTGTTGACAACTTCCCTTTGGGAGACCATATTAGGGTCTCAGATTTCACCATCAAGGAAACCTCTAAGTATTTTTGCAGAAAGCTCCTGATTAGATTGATCTCGGCACCGCAGCCTTCCCCCAATCCTGGGCTAAGCCACAGAGAGACTCTGCTTGCTGGGCAGCTGTTTGTGGGTATCTTGCGGCGGTGTTTCTGCTTTCTTGCTCAACCACCCAGATTTAGCTATTAAAGTTCCCCTCATAAATCAGCCACGCCGCGTATCTTCATCATCTCCTTCCAGTTTGTCTATAAGCTCTCTGCCCTCCAAGAAATAAATTACCCGCAATTACTCAAAGTTAGTAATTGAATTTATTTTGGTGGTAGAGAGAAAATTTATCCATTTTGCTAGTAATTTGTAGTCATTTTTAGTAATTGATAGTAATTTTCGAGTAAATACTAATTAACTGTTTCACTAAGTAAAAGAAGTATAGAGTAATGTATTCACTAGGCATTAGTAGTCCCAATTTATCTTTATACCAGCAAGCGGTTTCGGTGGAGCTGATAAGATCCAGTGGCATTACTCTCGCGGTGTTAAGCTCTGAAAAAGTGATCAAGACTGTGTGGCTTGTCCAGAATCAGCTGCACAATCACCGCCAGGAAGGGGCTCCCCAGGCTTCAGACTTTGGCTCCATACAGCGTCTGAGAGGAGGGGGCTGGATGCAGAGGAATGGGCCCCAAAGGAGGGGTTCCTGTCACCCTGCAGGAAGCCGATGTGGCATTCTCCCTGCCGCATGTCACCCTCCTTGCCCATGTCGCAAGGTCCTGACCACCATGTGGATTCCTCCACGTGTAGGTGGACAGGATCTTTGACTGACGTTTGGACCATTCTGAAGATGTGCTTATTTTTCAAACAGGTCTGCAAGTGAAATTTGCTACATTGACCAAAGTAGAAGTTTTTATTTCATGAAATGATCCCATTAATTCCTACTATCTGGCAGGTACTTAGTTTTTAGCCAGTAAGTTATGTTTTCCTTTAAAATCATTCTCTGAGTGCTCATCAGTGAAGCGAAGGTTGCCCGTGTGGGGTGTTGTGGCACTTGCTGCGTGGCCCTGTTATCCCGCCTTTGCTCCTCTGTTTTTCCGGCAGAGGGCTCAAAGCATGTTTGTTGGGTGAGAGAGAGAAGTAGTGATTTTCCCCAGGACATGCTCCTAGTTAGAAAATAATATCCCTCTAGAATTAATTAATTAATGGGAGTTGATACAATTAACAAATACTGAGTGACAAATTCTACAGAGGTGCCATTCTCTAATTAGTGCTGTGGTTTAGGGCACTGCAGAGCCTCTTAGCTTCCATACCCTGACCGGTAAAACGAGGGGCTAACCTGAAACTTCCCACTACAATCTATCTTCCCAGGGTTTTTTTTTTTAAAGTAGAAAAACAATTAAAATGTGTTTTTATATTTATTTAAAATGTAATACACTGTCATGAGGAGTATTTTGGAAACTAAGCAAACAAGCAAAAAGGCACTGACATCATTCATTGTTCCCAGATGTAATTAATATATTAGCACATTTTCTTTCAGACTTATTCTTTCCTGTAGGTTTGTTTTTTCATTGTAATCAATCAGAATATAAACTTCGATTTGTTTAATTCTCCCTTTGATGAGAATGTTCAAAAAACATTATAATATAGTCTGTATAAGTATAGTTTGTAATGATTCCATAATATTCTAGTAAATGCAACAACTGTAATTTGCTTAGCCATTCTTTTATTTATTTATTTATTTTGACATTTAGGCTGTTTTAAAGTTTTTGTTATTATAAATAACACTTCTCTGAACATCTTTATAAAGTTTGATATATTTAGATCGTTTTCTTTGGTTAGATTCCCAGAACAAAATTATGAGGTCAAACGACATGAATATTTTAAGGCTTACATTACTCCCAGCCAAATTTTCTTCCAGAAGTGCTGCGCTGGTTTCTCCTGCCCCCAGCACTATGTGAGAATTTCCGATTTCACCACTCCATCTCAGTTTTGGATATTACCATTAAAAATTTCTGCTGGTTGGATGGGTCAAAAATGGTGCCATGTTTCATATTCATTTTATTATTAACCGTGAGGTTAAATGGTTTTTGTCGCATTATGCTTTGCATTCTATCCCCTTGGAATTGCTTGTTTCTGTCCCTTTCCCATTAATCTATTGGGATGTTTATGTTTTTCTTCCCCATTTGTATGAGCTATTTATATAATAAAGTTATTATCCCTTAATTGTATTTCTGCACACTTTTTTTCTAATGGCATTGATTTCTAAGTTGGCTTTCAAGCTCACAGTAATTCTTAAATGATTTGAGGACAATGCAGCCTTTCTAGTGCTTTCCCTTCTGTTGACCGCCGTGTTTAGAAGGATATGAGCCAACAAAACAGAAACCTGTGCAATAAAGATGTTGGGTGTTTTAAATATCTGCCATGTGAACCTGGCTTTTAAAAACCTTTCTTTCCTAGCCAAGGAATCCTTGTATGAATTAAATATGAAACTTCCTTTCCTTACAAAGTAAACATGTAATGATATACTTCTTGTCCCCATTACAAATCTGAGGGGAGCCTGCTCTCTGATCTCACATGAAACAGGTGACTCTTCAATTAAACATAAATTTTCAATTAAAGCACATCCCTCTGGGTGGCGGATCGCAGTTCCCACCCTGGCTGGGCAGAGCCTGCCTGGGCAGCCTCTCAGCGTCCAGCTGCTGCTGGAGAGGCCAGGCTCCCTGGCGGCTCCCAGGAGTGTGGGCTCAGCCGGCTGCCTGAGGAGCCCGGGCCTGGGCAGAGGGGCCCAGAGCCCTGCTGTGATGCCCACCGTGCAGGGCAGAGCCGGAACCTTTGAAAACCAAGGGAGAGCTCTCTCCTTCTGACCCTGCAGCCCTGAAGTTTCATCGGCTCAGCATGAGGCTCCGAGGTTACTTGAAAATAGCATCTTCCAGGAAAAGATCCAAGGGCTGCAGGATACTTGGGGGCACTTGTCATACTACTCAGGCCCAGCCAGGCCCCTTCTCATTCGTTTCAGCAACAGTGATCTGAAAAGATCCATGTTTATCTGTATAAGAATTTTTAAAAATTCTTGTAAACTTAAGAATGTTCAACAATCAAGTAAAGTCAAATTCCTTGCCTCTCCCATGTCTATCCCAGTGTCCTTCCCCAGGGGAACCACTGATATCAGCTCTCTGTGTGCCCTTCTTCCAGATATATGCACACCTGGAAATATAGTGTGCATGTGCATGTGGGGGTGTATGCATGTGTGGGTGTATGTATGCATATGTTTATATGTGTGCACATGTATACTTATACACACATGCATGTATGCATGCCTGTGTATGCATGTATGCATGCCTGTGTATGCATGCACCTGCATGTGTGCATGTAGACATTCATGTGTGCATGTGTGATGGGGGTACATTATGCATAGTTTGTAGCTTGCTTTTTTCATGTAACCCGCATGGAGACCTTTTTACTTCAGCCCATTTGGCCCGATCTTGTCTTGTTGTGACTCCTGTAGGAATTAGAAGTTCAGGTCAGGTAGTGAACTAACATGCTTCAGCAAACACAGAGCTTGTGGAATCCTGGACTTACTTGGGCACTAGACCTCCCTCACCCCTGGATCAAAGATGTTTCTTCCCTTTTGCATTTTAATTTCTTACCTGTATAGTGGCCCTAAGCTCCTTCCAGTTTTATTATTCTAGGCTAAAAGGTTAAAAACAGTTGTTTGATGGAAGAGTCAAAAGATATGGGGAGATTTTATGTCAAGAAGAATTGAAAACATTTTTGTGTTGATTATTTAAAACGTAAGAATTACAGCAATCAAAATGTGCCATTTCCTTCACATTGGTAATACAGTATTGTTGCAGGGATCTAAAAGCGACTTTACAATGTTACAATCTAGAAATCAGTGATACTTCATGCCACACAGGATGAGAAGCAGTTGGATCCAGAGGTGGGAGTCAGACTAAGACTCAGAGGACCACGGTTCAAGCCTAGGCCCCCTCCCTGCCTCAGTTTCCTCATCCTCGAGATGGATTGTGAAAACGGATGAAGTAATAGATGTGAGAGTGCATGTGTATGCCATGAAGAGACACACAAGTGTTGACGATTGTTGTTAACAAGGCAGCAAGCTTGAAGTTTTGCATTGTGAAGTAACTGAAATTGATCAGCGACCCTGAATTTCCTCCAAAGGGGCCGCTGGAAAAGCTTCAAGGAGCTTCCAGCTTTAGCAACCTGCTACTCAATGCTGTGCAGAATGTTCTGTGAGGACACACCCTCGGGCCCTTGGAGACCATGTTCTGAGGGAGATGCCTTCATAAGGAGTGGGGACCAGTGGCCAGAATGAGCAGCACCATGGATCCTTTTTGCTGATGGAGAGTGCTCTCAGTGAACACGGTGGAAATTCTACAGGGCACATGGAGGGTATTGGTGAGAGCTGCCTCCCAGGCTTGGCCAGGTATCCCAGATGTTCTGTGGCCAACTGTGCAGCTGGAGGCAAGTGGGCTTCACCCTACAGCCCTGGCTGGGTCAGGCCACCCTAGAGTCCTTTGCCTTCAGTGCACAGCAGATTCTGGGGTGGGGACAGAAGAGCTGGAGCCTTCCCCTCAGGTATCTGCAGTGATGGCAGCCCCAAAGCACAGTCCCTCTATACACCATCTCACATGGGCCCTGGCTGTGGCATGGGGTCCTCTCCCAGGCCACCACCCTGCAGGGTGGTCCCGGCAGGCCCTGTGGAGGTTGGTGGCTGCTGTTTCCATTCGGGATGCTCTCCAGTTTCAGTACTAATTTCTGGTTCTCAGTGTTCTTCTGGTCATGTAGAAGGAAAAATAAAAAAGCGGGGGTTAATAATCATTTTTTTCTCCAAAGTATTCTGTTATATATAAGGAGGTCAAATGGGAAGACAGGGCAATCATTAGAACATAATTTCAAAAGGAACTGTGTGGAAAATGCATACAAATAAGTTATTTTAAAAGATTAATCCATTCCCAATAGGAGCTTGAACACAATGTACATTTGAAGTTAAACAAATAAATGTGCGACCTGGCTCTCCCACAAAAGTAATGCGTTTCGTTTTTTTAAAAATATGACTTATCGCACGGGGCAGTCCAAGTTGAGTATGAATAAAAGTATGGCACTTAATATTCAACAATGCCCATCTACTACAGGCTGACGCACTTTTAAAAAGATCTACTTCTTATAAAGATCTCCTCTTTAATTAAGAAAAACTAATATCAAAGCAGTTTTTGCATTTAAAATTCGTGTTTAAACTTCTCCTAGATTAAGTGAGCTTAAACAGTTGCGATTCCTGACTTTAACAGCATTATAAAATACATTAGAGATTGAGAGGATAAAATTCTGCCATGTTAGGTTATAACCTAACTGCTATTTGCAGTTGTAAGGAGTACTAATGGCGCAGGGACAAGATTTATTGTCGCAAAGACATTCTGCTTAACATTAGCCTTGTCATTCCATTAATAATGACTGCTTATGAGCCATCTCTTGGCATCTTTGTTGTCCTGAAAACTTAAAACTCACAGCACAATTCTTTACGACGTGTTCCATTGCCCCCTCTGGGTATTCCCGACCATTATCCCATTTGGTTATATTCAAAACTGCTGCCTCCGGAGAGAGCATTAGGCCGACCTTTCACCTTCCAATATTCTTGGTTCAAATGGCGTAATAACATGTAGTGAATATTTACAAGCACACTTATACTATAATAGAGTACTGCTGTGAACATTAGCACATATTTTCTGCTCAATCAGGCTTTGATGTAGAGCTTGCCAAGCACCCCAGAGAAAATGCAGTCCCCAGTAAGCTGTGCTAGTGAAACACCCTTGAACCTAAACAGCTTTCATAACACACACTGACTAGATGCAGGTTAGCAAGACGACAGAGTTTCTGGGATGCCTGATGTCATCAGGGTCTTCCTAGCAGAGTACTCCAGGCTGGAGGCAGGAGTCCCCCATACCTGGAATTCTGAATGGATCAGTGCGTGGCTTATACAGAAAAGGAAAATTAAAGGCCATGTGATGTGTTGGCACCAGGTGGCCTGGTCACTTTCCCCAGGGCTTTAAAATTTCTTAATTAATTTTTTTAATTAAAAAAATGAGATTCCCCCCACTGAAAGGATAAATTGTGAAATACCTCCTTGGTCCTGCTCCTCCTTCCCACATTAACTCCGTCCCTCTTTCCTAGCTCCACCCCTTCTCCTCCAACCACGTCTGAGAAGCCCTCCCTCAGTTATAACGGTTGGCTCTCTTTACTACCTCTGCCTCCTCGGTTGGCCACGCCCATTGCCTTAGTCCCACCCCTTTCCCTGGATGGCTCACCACTCTTAAATTAGCCCTGGGAAATTCTAGCTCCTCCCCCTGCACTGGCCCCACCCTCCCTAGCATGCCCCACCCATTCAGCACAAGCCCCGCCCCTCCTTGTCTTCTAGAAGCCCAGTGGGGACATTCTCACTCCACCCTCCCCACTCTTCTGGCTTCTCCCAAGCCCAAGGGAGAGGGGAGCAGCACAAGTACAGATGAAACTCTTGTTTGTTTGCTTTGTTTTGCTTATTCCCTCTACTCCTCTGAAATAACAGGGGACTAAAACTTTTTCTGCAGAGCCTGAATCAAAGACCAGAAGGGCTGTTGGCTTTGGGCACCCAGCTAGCTATGGTATGAGGAGCCCTCTGGGCAAGAAGAGCATTTGTCTTTTGAACACAGATGCATGTCTGTCTGTCCATCTGTCTGCTTATAGTTACTTTTTCCCTTTTTGCAGAGCTGGCATAAATAAGAGTATTGGATTTTCAGGCGATTTCTACCTCGCAAATTCAAGAGGTCAGAGGCTTCTAATAAGATTCCTATAATTCAAAGGTACCTCGTGGAAGGTCGGCCATCAGCAGTAATTGCATGGCTGTCCCGGGGCCTGTCTGTCAGGAGTTTCTTAGAGATTTACACTGAAATCTACTGATGCCGCAGGGGTCCCGAGGCCTGGCCAGAGGCTGAGGTCCCCACTTCTGTGTCCAGCCCTGCCCTCCTGCTGATCTGTGTGCAGGGCCGAGCGAGGTGCCTCTCCTTAATTCCTGGCCCTAGGCTTAGGTAGATGGGCAGCCTAAAGTTGACTTGCAGGCTGTGGTTTTCTGCTCTTGTGGGCAAATGTTTGTAGCATGGGAGGCCTGCCTGTGGCTGGGATTAATGGGAATTTTCCCCATATTTTGGTGGGTGCCCCGCACTGCACAGTGCACAAATGTGTGTTTGATAAACGCTCTGTGAGCCAGTTCATCCCGTTTGCATTGTGCGTTATCAGTAGGAAGGAGGTAGTAATGGGACTCCAGACGGCCTCCTCTCCTGGGAATTGTTATTTATGTAGAAGCTTGTTATAATGCAAGTCATTAAACAGATTTAAATTTACCACAGGTTAAGCTGTGCATCCACTTAAACAACTACATATAACAAAAGCCTGATATAATATGGTTAGGTTATAACACAGCGTGAGTCTGTCTCCTGGCTTTATTGCTGGGTCAGTGTGAAGGTGGGGTGAGCCATTGCTCCTTAGTGGGAATTAAGACAGCCTTTTGGCATTTCCTATATTTTATGAAACTATTTTGTCCTTGTCTGGGTGTAGGGCAGTACCTGTGTTGAATTGTTTCCCTGTTTTTCTCTCCTACTGTTTCCTTATTTTACTGCCTGGAGATTGAGTTTTCACTATTATTTATTCAATTATTATTGTGTGCCACACACTGCCCTTAGCACTTGATGTGAGATACGCTATTTGGTTTTTTTCAAAAAGTCCAAGGGGGGGCTACCATTGAACTCATCTGGTAGTTGAAGAGCCGTAGCTCAGACATGTGAAGGCACTTTCCTAGAGTCACACAGCCAGTAAGCAGCAGAGCCACGGTTCCAACCAACAGAAGCATGCTTAGCTCCATGATCTAAAATGTTGTCAGAATTACTTTTTATGTTATGAAAATATCTTGAGTTTAATAAGACACTGGGAAATTATAGAAGGCCTATTCAGGTCTGGGATATGTAAGTCCTTATTCTTTCTAATGATGCCCCAAGTGCTTTACCATCATGATCCTCTCTTCAGTCCATTTGTGTGTTTATTGAGCATCTACTATGGAGCCTTTGTTAGTTTTCAGAATGAAGATGACTTAACCCCAATAGGGAAAGGACAGATAAACCATTAATGGAAGATGAGAGTGCTTACATCTATGAAGGGGATTTTTTTAAGGTTTTCAGGGAAGGGAACTAATCTAATTCTTCCAGTGGGGTTTCAGAAAAGACAAATCTGGCTGACTCTCCCTGAAGAAGGAAAAAGTCTTTCTCATGAACTGTTTTTATTTATTTATTTATTATTTTTATTAGATTTTAGAGACAGGGTCTCGCTCTGTTGACTAGGCTGGTCTCCAACTCCTGGCCTCAAGTGATCCGCTGATGCTCCTGACTTGGCTTCCCAAAGTGCTGGGATTACAGAAGCGAGACACTCACGCTCGGCCGTGAGCTGATTTTGGTTAGATCATGACGCCAATATGGATGACGAGGCAGGTTAAGATCACCTAGTGGGAGAGAACAAGATATGAGAAATAACTGGGTCTTAAGACACTTTAACATTTAAAAGAGAAAGATGAGAGGCCAAGTCGGGTCAAGAGAAGAAGATGGAGAGGTAAGAAGAAAACGAGAAAATGATGGAATCATGAAAGCCGAGGGAAGAAAGTGTTACAAGAAGGAGAGACGTTAGCAGGACTGGAGGCAGCTGAGAATCTGTGGAAGATGAGGCTTTTTGATGCCCATTTGACCTCACAACAGGGAAATCATTGTTGACGTTGGTCAGAGAAGTGGAGAAACAGAAGCAGAACCAGTCAGGAAAGCATAGGAGGTTGGGAAGTGTCGACAGCTCTTAGAGGCGATCCGGGGAGGAGGTTCACGTTAGGGTGAAGAGTATAATGGGAGGAATCAGGAAGGGGATGGGGGTACGGAGAGGTTTTCTTGTTGTGGGCTTTTGCAGACTCATTAAAGGAAGAATCTAGTAGACAGGTTAAAGACTCAGGAAGGAGAAGGGATGGATGGAAGTACAAGGGCTTTCAGAGGCAGGAAGTCTAGAACATCATGATGGATATTTAAATTAGAAAAACTTCATTTTACTATTTTGAAAACTATTTCATCCCAGAGTTTGTCCTCTCATGAATGTATTTAACAGTTACAAAACAGGCTTCCTTTCTTTCTAAGTCAGTGTCCACGTGCCATTGTGTGTCTGTGTAGAGCATCTTCTGTGCCCCGTAAGCTCCTGTAGGTGCATCTCATCAAGGTTTCTCCTTCCCAGTATGTTCACTCTCATCCCTGGCACACCCATAAGAGTCCCAAGGCCTTTTGCAGCTTCCTCCAGCAGCCTCCTACCCTCTGCGTTTATTCATGCCCCCTGGGAGCACTTGCTGCATTGTGCTGCAGTTATATTTTCATGTTGGCAAACTTTTTTCTATTGGTCAGGTAGTAAGTATTTTCATCTTTGCAGATGCTGCGATTAGTCAGTCCTGCCTTGTGTCAGTAAGACAACCATCAACAATGCATAAACGTGCATGTGCTTGGCTGGGTTCCCACAGAACTTCATTATAGACACTGAAGTTTGAATTTTATAGAATTTCCATGTGCCACAAGGTAATTTGTTCTTTGGATTTTTTTTTTCAACTATTTAAAATGGTAAACACCATTCTTAGCTCACAGGTCACATAAAGAAGGCAGTGGGCTGGATCTGGCCTGCAGTTGGTACCTTGTTGACCACCCTAGGCTGTTTCTCCCGGGGAGAGGGGATAGCGTCCTTCAGTCCAGGCCACTGCCTGAAACTTTCCTGATGAGTAAAAGAGTGAGTGACCTGTTTAAGCTGTTATATTTTCATTTATAAGCTGTCCCAAACTGCAAAATTCCTGTAACATGTAAGTTAAATGTTCTTCTGATCTTAGAAATCCCCGCGGGAGGACACAGTGCATCTGCGTGAGGGATGACGTAACCGTCCTCTGAGAACCAGAGCATCTTCTCCAATATTAATTGGGCTCCAAGTAATTAAGTTCAGATATTTTCCTCAGTAGGAGACTAAGCTTCTTTCCTCCTTTGATTCCCTCCCAAATATAAGCATAGGATGAACTGTTGATCTTTCTGCCTGGTCCTTTACTAAAGATTAAGAAAAAACAAACCCCACCCTACCTGAGTCTGCAGAAGAGCTGAAAGAGCTGCTTTACTTATGTAAGTGCCTTGGGTCCCCCCAGAAGTGAGCGGCGTGGCCTCTGCTCAGTGCCTGTGTGTGGGGAAGCGGAGGGTACAGCACAGTCCAGCTGCCCAGTGCCTCCTCCCGAGGCTCCACTCGCCACACCTGGGGACTTGGCACCTGCTCGTCTGGCTCCTCCTGTCTCTGCGTTTCCAGGGACTTGTGCGATCCTTGTTTCTCTCACCTGTTAAGCTGCGACTTCTCCCTGCCTCCTTCTCTCCCCAGGTTAGTTAATTTGAATTCCAGGTGAACAAGGAAGAACTTGTAAGTGATTATGTAAGTGTAAGTATACTAAAAACTTCTTATACTACGAAGCATTCATTGCGTATCTGAAATTCAAATCTGGCCGGGCACCCTGTGTTTTATTGGCTGGCCTTGTCTCACTGGGCCCTTAGTGAAGGCACTCGTGTGTGGCGCAAGCCACACCACCTTCCCCAGTTCCCTGTCATTCAGGAACCTGTGTTCATTTCTACTGTTTCTCTGTTTCCACCTCCCTTTGTACACTTAGGCTCTGGGATGATGCTGGGGAGGAAAATACAGCCCCTCTGAGTGGACACGGCACGTGGGCTTTCACCAGCAGACGCCCAGCGTGGTCCCCAGCACATCAGTTCGGCTCTCCCCAGACTCTAAGGTGGGTAGTTTGGTCCTTATGCGGAAAGGTTCAGAAATTGAGCCTTTGAGAGGGTCCCTAACTCACGCAGGCCACATGGGTGGGAAGTGGAGGCAGGTGGGGCTGTGTCCAGGGCTGTTCTCTGTGGATCCACAGAGCCGGGAGCTGGGCAGCCGGGGCAGGGCTCTGTGAGTCCTCCGATCCCCCCAGGAACCCCAAGTAGACTGCAACACCTGGGGAAGCTGCCAGGAGGCATTTAAAAGGAAAAGTCACCATGGTCTGTAAGGCAGTGAAAATAGACTGGTCTGAAGGTGGGAGCCAGTGCTTGGCAGATGGGGCGGTTGTGAGAAAGGACAGTGGGTTTGGAGCAAGCTTCTCCACACTGCACCCCAAAACCAGAGCTGTCAAGGCCGACTCCTTCCAATACCCACTCACTGGGACCTTAGCTCTCTCTGCTGGAGAGCTGCTGTGGCCAGTGACATCTGCAGGTGTAAGCTAAATTGGTCCATATTTCAGAAAGCTTGGGAGGTCACCTCTGGGGTTCCAGGAAGCAGAGGCAACCAGACTGTAATACGGGCATGAGGAAATATATCTCCCCCCAGCTCATGTGATCCCCCTGAGAAGTTTTTGGACACAGATCATTATTGATATATTGGAAGTGTCTTCAACCATATCAGGTGGGGGCTGGGGGCACCAGGATGCCAAATGGCTGATGTGTCTGCGTGAGGACTAATCTTCATGATTGATGCCCAGCCTTGCTGCCAAGGCGAATGCGCAGCCATGCCCATTCATCTCAGCCTAAATATGGATGTATATCGACGGACCCATTAAATGATGTGGGTTTCAGATTCATAGGATCAGATTAGATAAGCCCCTACATTTCTTCTTTTAAAATATGCAGAGAAAAGAAGTTCAAAATACCAAGTGCTGATGAGGACCGAGGGTCTGGGAGGAATTGACAAATATCTTGGAATTCAGAATGAATGCTTTAAACTTTAGGCCTCTTTGGCAATCAATACGTACACAAAACTCTCATTAATGTTCACAGGGGTTAAAACACGCATATCAACAGCAGACCATTTATTTCTGAGTCATCAACACCCGGCCTGATGCAGGCTCTCTTCTGTGGAAGACGGACAGGATGCCGAGAGAAAGGTTACCTGCCGTGGACTTTCATCCCATTGAGGCTGAGGTGGTTTGATAGCAGATCTCCGCAGAAAGAGAAAACTGCTGCGTTTTCTCTCAGGCCCACCTCCCCTAAATCCGTCTGTTCCTCCAGTTGACAGAAATCTCAAGCACATCCCAGAGTTTCACAACTTTCTATCCACGCCTGGGGTTCAGGTGGCTGTGCCCCTGTCCACGGCCCTCAGAGCCTGCCACTCTCCATATCCTTGCCTGACCCCTCACAGGGGTTCGGGTGGCTGCGCTGCTGTCCACAGCTCTCGGAGCCTGCCACTCTCCATGTGAAGTCCTTCAGGAGGAGGCGGCCAGGACAGGGATTCACCCCCTGCCAGTCCCAGACCACCGATGTACAGCCTATAATTTATCATAAAAGGTTACCAGGTTGTGTTATCCCACTCTGTTATTAATCAGAGTGCCTTGGCAGGTTAGATTTCGTGACCTATAAATATTCATTACATTTGGACTGCTTCGTAAACAGCAACATTTCCTTCATTTTTAGAGAAAATTTTCTTCCTTCTTGCCTTCTTGTCAGTCGTGGCTGTGGCATAAAGTAAGTTGACGTCATATTAAGAAATACAGGTCATCTTCTCAGTGGCAGGTTGTGTCTCTTTGGTGATGAGGCGCCCGTGTGAATTCATGGCACTGGGCGTTAGCAATGGCAGATATCTCTGGTGGGAGATATTCCCACCAGAGGCGCTTTAGTCCTCTTTATGAAAATGTCCTTCTTAAAATCAGGTACTATTTCAAGCATTCCAAAAGTAAGAGAGCCTAACAACTACCCATTTGCTCACCGTTATTATCAAACCCTGACATTAGAGATGAAATGGACCCCTGCGTGCCGCTCTGTGATCCTAGCCCTCTCTATCCCCCTTAGAATCACTCAGTGGTCATCATTCCTATGCATATTTTTATACTTTTACAAGATACTTATGTTTCAATAAGTTATCTGACAGTGGTGTGTAGACTTAAAAAAAAATAAAGCTATGGTATCATACTGTCTGTATGCCTTTTCGTTGTTGTTGTTATTGATTTTTTTTTTTTTTGAGATGGGGTTTTGCTATATTGCCCAGGCTGGAGTGCAGTGGCTATTCACAAGTGCAATCCTAGCTCACTGCTGCCCTGAACTCCTGGACTCAAGTGATCCTCCTACTTTAGCCTGAGTAGCTGGGACTATAGGTGCAAACGGCTGCACCCAACTACCCTTGTTTTTTTTTAAAATTTTTCCACTGAACATTATGTTTTTGAGCTTGCATATATAACTCTAGTAAATCTATTTTATCCTCTCTATGTTGTTGTTTTTTTTTTATTGTAGGACTCTGATGCTGTCTATCCATTCTCCTATTGATGGCTAGTTAGCCTGTTTTCCATTTCCCCCTATAACCAATACGATGGACTTGGATGTTCTTTTTCAGTACATGTCTCATTCTAACTCTTACACACAGAAGCAAAAGTTTCCATTGAGAAATCACATTGCTAAGTCATAGGGTACAAGTGTCTTAAAATTTGTTAGATAGCCCCCAATTACTCTCCAAAATTAGGTACCATTGTACATTCATACTGGTGGGTATGGAAATTCTCCTTCCCCCTTCACCTTACAAAAGTTGTAATTGCCCCATTTAAAAACATTTGCCAATAGTTGGGTGTGGATTGATAGCTCCTTGTTTTAATTTGCATTCCCCTAATTACTCATGAAGTAGAGGCTTGTCTATATTTATTGGCCATTTACTTTCATCTTGTGCAAACTGCGTGTTCTTATTACTGGGTCATTTTCCTATTGTGGTATCTGGTTTTTTATTATTGATTAGAAAGCATGTTTTAAAAATACAATATGTGTATCTGGGTATAATAATTTCTTTCTTATGCATATTGCAAATATTTTCTCACATTCTATGGCTTGTTTTTCCACATTATTTTACTATGTCTTTTGATGTGGATGTTTTAATATTGATATTATCAAAAAATTATTAATATTTTAATTTACATCTTATGCTTTTTACGTTTGTTTAAGAAAAGTTTCTGTGCCATAAGAGCCTACTGTTACTGGACCGTTCAGTTACTAGAAAAGTGACATCCAGTTACTAGAAAAGTGACAAAGTTGGTTCTCACACGTAGGTCTTAAATCTATTGGTGAGACATTTGAATGTAAAAAGTAGGTATCTGATTTTACATTTTCCTCATGAATAACCAATTGTCACAGCTTCATTTATTGAATAATCCATTATTTTGCTAGTCATTAAAATATTGCATTGTAAAATTTACCATACAAACTGAAGAGGGGCACACACACACACCCACCCACACCCCCCACCCCCCCCACACACACACTTAAGGATTATTATAAGCCAATAAAGCAAAATAAGAAGCCATCAGTTATGCTATGACATAGAACATTTCCGGTATTTTAGAGCATTTGTGTGGGCCACCCCTTCATCCCATTCCCTTCCCTTCTCCTTCCCAATTTGTATGATAAATGGTCCTCTGGTCATCTTTGCTGTGTTCCACACATATATGTGTCCCTACACAATATATTCTGTACTTGTGCCTTTCTTTTCCACTTTATCTAAATGGAAATATACTATAGGTATTATTTTTTGACTTTCATTCTGTTCCATTGGCCGTTCTTTCTTTCCCTATGGCAAAAATTCACTCTCTTATCTAATATAACTTTATAATAGTCTTGATGCCTGAGAGGGCAAGTTTCCTCACATTGTTTATTTTCTTCAGTATCCTCTTGATTATTCTTGACCCCGTGCTCTTTCATTAGAATTTTAAGATAAGCTTGCAAAGTTTCTTCAAAAACCCTGTTGGAATTGTAATTGTAATTACAGTTGACTTTATAGATTAATTTTGGCAGGTTTGACATATTTATAATGAAGTGTTCTAATTCATGTCCATGATATGCCTTCTCATTTTTTGAGGTCTTGTTTTATATCCTTTGATAATATTCTCTTAGTACTGTTCTCATACAAGTATTTTTTAGTTTTTTTTTTCCAGTGACATTTTGCATTTTGTTGTTGTTGTGATTGGGAATTTTAGCATTTATGTTCTATAATAGGATGCTTGGTGATGGACATGATTTTTATGTGTTGATTTGTGTATTAGATTTCTATTGCTGCTGTAAAAGAGATATCACAAACTTAGTGGCTTAAATAAATGCAAATTTATTTTCTTACAGTTTGGTAGATCAGAAGTCCCATGTAGGTCTCACTGGGCTAAAATGAAGGTGTCAGAAGAGTTGTGTTCCTTTCTGGAGACTCTAAGGGAGAATCTGTTTCCACGCCACTCACATTTCTTGGCCTGCGGCCCCTTCCTCCATCTTCAAAGCCAGCACATTGTATCTCTCTGACCCTTCTTCCATTGTTCCAGCTCCACGTCTAAGGATTTGTGGTATTAGATTGGGCTCACCCTGGATAATCCAGGCTAATCTCCCTATCTCAAGGCCTTTAACCTTGATCATACCTTTTGCCATGTTGGTAAGCATAGCCACAGGTTCTGGGAATTAGGGCACAGACATCTTTTGGAGTCATTATTCTGCCTACTACAATTCGATATCTAATAACCACGCTGATCTTTATTTCTATGATTTGTCTACAGATTTTCTTGAATTTATAAATGGACTATCATATTATCTCTTCCTTTGCTGTTTCTGAAACATGAATTCATTTTTCTTTTCTTATTGCATTGGATAGAAGAAAGTCAACTCTAAGTAGTAATAGGAGCTATTCTTGTCCTTAGTTTTAATGAGAACTTTTAAAGTCTCACTATTATGTATAATGGATGTTGTAGGTTTTGAATAAGTGTCTTTTGTCAGGGTAAGGAAGTTGCTTATTAGATCTAGTTTATAGTTTACAAATACTGTGACTGTGGATTTTAATTAATTATTTTTAGAGACAGAGTCTCACTCTGTCACCAAGACTGAAGTGCAGTGGAATGACCACAGTTGGCTGTCACCTGGAACTCTTGGGTTCAAGCAGTCCTCCCATCTCAGGCTCCCAAGTACCTAGGACTACAGGTGTATGCCGCCATGACTGGCTAATTTTTTATTTTTTTGTAGACATAGGGGCCTTGCTATGTTGGCCAGACTGGCCTTAAACTCCTGGCCTCATGCAATCCTCCTGCCTCAGCCTCCCAAAGTGCTGGGATTATAGGCATGAGCCACCACCCTGGCACTTATGAAACTTTAAATTTATCCTTGTAATGCTGCCAGTTAGAGCTTGTTACATTTTGGAGCTATGTTGTTAGAAGTATACAAAATTTGTAATTGCTAATATCTTTGTGGTGAATTTTTCCCTATGATAGTGTCATTATTTAGACATTTTAATACTTTTTGCCACAGATTGTATTTTTGTGTCATATTAATATAGATAGCACTTCCTTTTCATTTGGGTAATATCTGCATATTATATCTTGTTTTTATTTTCAATTTTTCTGTGTGGTTTTGTCTTATTTGTGTTCCTTTTAAGTCACATATACTTAGATTTCTTAAAAATCCCCACATCTGGCTGGGCATGGTGGCTCATGCCTGTAATCCTAGCACTTTGGGAAGCCGAGGCAGGCAGATCACTTGAGGCTAGAAGTTCGAGACCAGCCTGGTCAACATGGTGAAAGCCCATCTCTACTAAAAATACAAAAATTAATTGGGTGTGTTGGTGCACGTGCCTGTAATCCCAGCTACTTTGGAGGCTGAGGCAAGAGAATTGCTTGAACCTGGGAGGTGGAGGCTGCAGCAAGCCAAGATTGCACCGTTGCACTTCAGCCTGGGTGACAGAGCGAGACTCTATCTCAAAAAAAAAAAAAAAATTCCCAAATCCAACCAAATAACATCGTCTTTCAATAAGTAATTTAATCCATTAATATTTATTGTGGTTAATGCACACATTTGGTCTTATATGTATCGTTTTATTTTACATTTTTGTTTTTAGTATCAATTTATTTTTTTCTCGTTTGTTTCCTCTTTCTTTCCCCCCACTTTTTCATCTTCTTTTTATCCTTTTTATTACCCTGAAAATTAATAAAATATTTTATGATACTTTTTTCTTTTACTTTGGAAGTTATAGATTGTATTTTTACTTTTTGGTGATTATTCCTAAATTTTTAAGATACTTAACTAAAAATTTCCTAACAAAGGCTAGAGCTGTTTGGTATTTCTATTTTCTTTTTTCTGACTATAATAAATACCTTAGCTGACATGGAATAAGTCCCCATCTTGTGTATTGTTGTTGGGAGTTTGTTTTACCACTATTTTTTAGTATAAAACATTGTCATTTTCTAAATTAGTTATTAAATTTACTGTTATATTTTATCAGTTTCTATGTTCATATTTGCCTCTTATTTCCCATAACTCCTTTGGTACTTACTTCCCCCTCAACATGCATGCTGGTATAGTTCCTATATTGAGGATCTGTAGATTGTAAATTCACTAAATCTTTATATACCTCAAAATTTCTTTATTTTGCTTTCACTCTTGATTGATAGTTGGACTGGTTTGAAATTCTTGGTTAAGTTTATCTGTTTTCCCCCCAAAACTTTAAAGGTGTTTCTTCCTTGCCTTATGAAATTTCTTGTTGCTGCTGAGAACTCTGTCAGCATTGTAATTATCGTTCCTTTATAGGCAATTTCTTTCTTCTGGAAGCTTTTGATGTTGTTTCCTTATTTTCTTTTCTTCTTTCTTTTTTCTTGTTTTTTTTTTTTTTTTTTTTTTTTTTTAAACACAGAGTCTCCCTCTGTCACCCAGGCTAAAGTGCAGTGGTGTGATCTTGGCTCCCTGCAACCTCTGCCTCCTGGGTTCAAGTGATTCTCGTGCCTCAGCCTCCTAAGTGGCTGAGATTACAGATGTGCATCCCCATGCCTGGCTAATTTTTGTATTTTTAGTAGAGACTGGGTTTTGCCATGTTGGCCAGGATGGTCTTGAACTCCTGGCCTCAAGTCATCTGCCTGCCCCGGCCTCCCAAAGTGCTGGGATTAAAGGCATGAGCCACTGCACCCGTCCTTGCTTCCCTATTTCCAAGGTTCTGCATTTTTTTCTAAGCTGCTATGCTGTGTGGACACAGATATTTTTATTGATTGAAATGAATTACTCTTGCCTCTGAAGAATTCTGTCCTCCAGTTCTGTAAAATTCTTAGCTATTATTTATTTTAAATGATCTAATATCACTTGTCTCCCATCCTCAGCTTTAAGTACTCCAATTTTATAAATCTTGGAGCCTCTTGATCTATTCTCCATGTCTTTTAACAGGCTTTTCATACATTAAAAAAAAATGTTGCTGCTCTTTGATGTTGGTGAAATCCTCGAGTCTGCCTTCAATTTCATTCTTTGACCTGGAACCACCTTCCTCTTACAGTTTACCCCACCTCGTGTGCTTAAAACATTTTCAGTGACAATACATTTCATTTCTAAGATGTTATAATTGATTCTCTTTTATATACATCTATTCTTATTTCATTTGGGTTTATTATTTACAGAGATGTTGGATGTATCCCTTTAACATTTAAAACTTATTCTTAAAAGTCTTTGCTAGGATTTCTATAAACTTAGTTTTATCTGGAATGAATTCACATTCTTTCTTTTATGATTTGTCTTTCTTGTATGAGGTTTGTTTTATGTGTTTTGGAATTTTGGTGAGTAGGCCTGTTTTGAGTGGGAAGGTTGTGTTTTTGTATCTTGCATCCGTATTTTCTCTCCCCCAAGCGTTTCTCTCTCTCTCCCCACTCCCCCGTCTCTCCCCGCTTTATCCTCCCTCTTTAGCTCTCTGGCTGTTGCCTGTGCCCAGCTCATGGTATCTCTAATGCGGAATTGGAACTTTAGCTCCACTCTCATACTGGGCACGTTGCTGATGCAGTCACAAAGCCATGAGGTGTAAGATTTGACCTTGATCTTTTTCCAGCCTCCTTTTGTGAGTAGAGGAAGAGGGGCGTCTCGCCCCCCATCCCTGCCTTCAACAGCATTTATCTGTTTTTGATGAAGCCCTGTATTCCCCGCCTTTTTTGTTGTTCCTTTTCTGCCACTGGAAGCTAACTCCTGATGCTACTGCGCTTCGAGACCCAGAGCCCTGCCAGGCTGCAGCTGCAGCCCCCCTCGTCATTGCGTTTGTGTTTCACTCTGCACCCATGCAATGTGTATCTCGTGCTGGAGCCTGGCTATGCCGTTTTGGTTTTGTCTGGAGCGTTGCAGACCATGTTATTCAGTTCTTTGCAGCGGGCAGCGCACAATCAGCGGGAGCTCTTTCTTTGCGCGGCGTCCGTCCTGTTGACTTCCTCTCTCAGGCTGAGTTGGATATTCAAGTGGTCTTTTCTCTGTGAAAAAAATCCAATTTTGGCAACTTCCATTGCTGCGTTCCTAATGATTGTCTATACCCCTCTGTATTTACTTCTTTGTGTGGCTTTTGGAGAATGTGTGTGTGTGTGTGTGTGTGTTTGTGTGAACCCATACAGGGAAGCTCCCTACAACACTGGCCTTATGAGTTCCACGCCCTGTGTTTTTCTTATTTGATAACATTTTATTCATTTACCGACTACATCCTGAGTCCATGCTGCGCACCACACATGCTGTAGTCCTGCAGCCTGAGGTGTGGTCTGGGGCCCAGCAGCCTCTGTGTGGCCTAGGAGCAGGTTCAAAGGCAGTGCAGGCTCCTTCCGACGGCCCCGGAATTAGAGGCTGCATTTTCAACAAGAATTTCCAGGTGAGTTTCATGAATATGAAAGTCTGAGAAACACTGCTTTCTAGTGAAGGTGACCATACATCCCGAGTTAATTATTTCTTTTCTTTCTTTTTTTTTCTTCTTTTTGAGACGGAGTCTCACTGTGTCACCCAGGCTGGAGTGCAGTGGTTTGATCTTGGCTCACTGCAGCCTCTGCCTCCTGGGTTCCAGCGATTCTCCTGCCTCAGCCTCCTGGGTAGCTGGGCTTACAGGCATGTGCCACCAAGCCAGGCTAATTTTTGTATTTTCAGTAGAGACAGGATTTCACCATGTTGGCCAGGCTGGTTTCGAACTCCTGACCTCAGGTGATCGGCCTGCCTTGGCCTCCCAAAGTGCTGGGATTACAGGTGTGAGCCACCACACCTGGCCGAGTTAATTATTTCTAAGCCCCTCTTTGTTCTGAACGTTGTCCTCATTTAGACAGTAAATTATGTTTACTTCTTTATGATGAAACTTGGATAGGTTATCTTCTAAATTCTTAAGAATCTGTTGGGGATACACCTGCCATTCTGAGTTCCCCTTGAGAACAAGTAGAGATCGAGTGAGGCTGTGGTGGGGGGATAGGGTGGTTTGAGGAAATTATTGATGAAATAAATGCATTTTGTGTTGCACTTACGTTTAAACAAACAAAAGCAGAAAGATCTTGGCTTTCCCATCAGCGGCCTTGGAGTCAGGCACTGTTTTCTCTCATAATGGGTCTTCAGCTTGTTTTTGGTCTGTGACCTCAGAGGTGCTGGGCTTTTGAGGGGACTGTCAGCAATAGGGCATCCCTGCCCCTGCAGTGGGAGACCCAGAGCTTTCTCTCCCCTGAGACACAGCTGTCCTGGTAACAGCTTGCAGAGAGCCAGGCTCTGTCATTTAGTGAAACTGTGCCGTGGGGTCTGGTGAGTCTCCTGTGGCGGCTGTAACAGATCCGCACAAGCTGGAGGGCTTCAAACTACAGTTCATCTCTCCCAGTCTGGAGGCCAGAAGGTCTCAAGGTGCTGGCAGGACTGTGCTCCCACTGGAGGCTTTGGGGTACAGTCCTTCACTGCCTCCTTGGCTGGTGGCCGCATTGCTGCTGTCGCGGCCTCTGTCCTCACACAGCCTTCCCATCTTCTGTCTGTGTCAGATCTCCCTGTCTCCATAAAGAACACCTGTGATTGCATTTTGGGCCTGCTCAGATAATCCAGAATTATACCCACATTTCAAGATTCCGAATTACATCTGCAAAGTCAGTGTAGCCGTATAAGGTAACGTTCACACGCTCCAGGGATCAGGACATGGACATCTTTGGGGACACCGTTTTCCAGCCTACCACAGCATTCAAAAGAACGTGTTCCTGGATGGAGCTGGAGTTCATTATTCCAAGTGAAGTAACTCAGGAATGGAAAACCAAATCTTATTTGTTCTTACTTATAAGTGGAAGCTAAGCTATGAGGACACAAAAGCATAAGAATGATATAATGGACTTTGGGGACTCTGAGGGAAGGGTGGGAGGGGGTGAGGAATAAAAGACTACACATTGGGCACAGTGTACACTGCTTGGGTGACAGGTGCTGCAAAATCTCAGAAACTTATCCATGTAACCAAAAACCACCTGTTCCCTAAAAACAACAGAAATAAATAAAATTAAATTAAAAATTAAAAAGAAAGTGTTAGTTATATTACCAGACAAATTAAATGGGACATCTCCCACCCTGAAGAGCAGATGCTTTGAGACACTCTTCTTAAACAGAGAGAGGCTGAGGGCTTGAATCCTGGCCCTGCTCTAATCCTCTTGATTCTTTGCTCCTGCTTGCTGAGCGCCTCTCTTTGCCCTCTCTCGGTCCTCAGAGAGCCCCACGGGGATGCAGTACAGGTTGGGTGTCTCTCACCTGGAAATACAGCATCCCAAATACTCCAAAATCTGATGAATGCTGACATAGTGCCTCCAGTGGAAAATTCTACACCTGACCTCATGCGATGGGTGGGGGTCAGAATGCAGGTGGCAACACAAGGTGCACCCAGCCCGCCGTCTGCTTGCCGCTGCTGTTTCCAACAACCGATGCAGGTGTTCTGCCGATGCCCCCACGCTGCTAAGCGAACACTGTGTTTTCATTGTATTAATGATATGTCATCTATTTGACTGTTAAGTGCTTACGTGTGAATAAGTGTAAGAAAATGATTGCTTATTGGTCACATATAAATTCAGAGTCAGGAATGATGGTGAGGCCCAACAGCCACAAATTCTCCACATGGTGCCTGAGATAGTGACACTTTTGCTTTCTGATGGTTCCCTGTACACAAACTTTGTTTCATCCACAAAATTATTAAAACATTGCATGTAGTTCCCTTCAGGTATGTGCATGAGGTTGATATGAAACATAAATGAATTTTGTGCTTAGATTTGGATCCCATCCCCAAGATATTTTATTTTATATATGCAGATATTCCAAAATCCAAAACAATCCCCAACAGGAAACACTTCTGGTCTTAACCTGTATCATCCTTATATCCTGCAGGGAAGATACAGCAATTTGCCCCATTTTACCCTGCAAGGGGTTGGTATGGCAGAGTTGACTTCTAAACCAGGGCTGTTTCCACGAGCAACGAGTTTTGTTGGCTCAACTAGAATCAGGGCAAATGGCGCTGCCTGTTGGACAGTGGAGGTGGGGTAGTGGGGGGTGGAGGCTGCATTCTTAGTGGAAGAGCCAGGCTGGAAGCTGGAGGAGTGAGGTTCCAAACCCTGCTGGCTGGTGTGGGGTGCCCTGCCCAAGTGCTTCTTTTCCACACGTGGGTGGTGTCACCTGTGAACCAAGGGCTTTGTCCTGAGTACCTGCCCTATGGCACATTTGGCTGCGAGGGGCAGGAGCCTTCTCACGGGGTGTTCAGGGAGCACTGGCGTCGGGGGGCCTGCATGCATCTCATGCCCTTTCTCACCTGCTGCCCACAGCTGAGCCAGTCCCATCAGAAGAGCAATCCCCCTGTCTTGTGGACTTCCACAGAGGATCACGAAGTTTTGACAATTTTACCTTCGAATTCCCCTCCCTTCTTTGAGGATATGAGGGCTTCGTGGAGGGAGCTCTGCTTCAGGGGTCCCCGGCTTATCACGATTCCCAGAGAGCAGGAATTGGGGCTGACTCAGTTGTGGAGGGTTGCAATGGACACGTTCTTAGGGGCGTTTTGGGTGCATCCCCCGAGGGCAGATGCGTGGATGCTACTCAGTAAATCCAGTTCCCATCCGCTATTCCAGGTGCACCAGATGAGAGCGAGAGCTGAGCTATGTGGTTGAATTTAAAACAGAACGTGTGTATGTGGCCTAGGCCCATGGGCAGCCAGCGGTGAAAGGTGCCTATTGACTCCGAATCTAGGTCCTGGCGCATAGCAGGCTGGGTGGGCACTGGCTGAAAGTTGGAGGTGTCTGTCTCTTGGGTAAAAGGCCCAGGACTTTGAGGGGGCAGCCTCCCCTCTGCAGCCCCTTCTGAGACACCCACTGGGGGAGGAGATGAGTGGGGCTGCAGCCCCAGGCCCTTGCCTGCCCTCCAGAGGCGCCCAGCCCTGTACAAGCTGTTCCTGAGCTCAGAAGGCTGCTGCGCGCAGCCAGGCATGCCCCTTGCCTGGGAGCCTCTTCCTCTATCCCCCAGCACAGCCCCCAAGGACAGAGCCCCATCTGTGGCCCAACAGTGGGGAAGGGTGTGCGTTGCCCTGGCCCCCTCCCTCCTCCTCACTGGGCTGAGCTCCTTGGAGCCTGGCAGAAGCACGTGGCTCCTCCTCTGAGGATGGTGTAGGTTAGGAATTGTGTAACCCTGGAGAAGAGTTCACTTGATCACTGTGTTTTACACTTTTCTCTGCAGAACGATGGTGACTTAATTAACCTACTTGTAGATGTAGCAGCCGAAAGATACATTTGCCGATGCATCTCCATCTCTTTTTCAGTCATCATATACTTAAATTGCAAATTCTCATGAACTGTAACCCAGTGTCTTATGGCTCTTGATTCTACATTTCCCTGTAGATCTTCTATCTTCAAATGTGTCAAAGTTAGAGTGTGTGGCTGTTAGAAAAAGCTATAGCTGTATTAAACCACACAAACCCTTCTTGAAATAAAGTTACGAATATAGCTTAATGCTCCTAATGACAGACAATTCTGAGTTTGGTTTCAAAGCCTATTGTTCACCCAATGCTGTCGGAGAACACGTGCCATGGCAGCCCTGGCTCGGAGGGGTGGACTGGTCAGCCGTACACTCAGGGCCATGCAGCCCCGGCTTGGAGGGGTGGACTGGTCAGCCGTATACCCAGGGCCGTGGCAGCCCTGGCTCGGAGGAGTGGATTGGTCAGCCGTACACCCAGGGCCGTGGAAGCCCCGGCTCGGAGGGGTGGACTGGTCAGCCGTACACCCAGGGCCGTGGCAGCCCCGGCTCGGAGGGGTGGATTGGTCAGCTGTATGCCCGGGGGCTCATCCTCAAACCCTGTGAGCTCACTTTCCATGTCTCCTTATTCGCTTTATTTTGTAAAATCCTCGCTCCCCTCCACATGCACTCATTCTCTTTCCTCTGTCTCCAGGAGACCCTCTACCCCTACCTTTAGAAAAGACTATATTACAATTTAATGTTTTTTAAAAGATAATTTGAGGTTAGAGAATTGCTGAATTATGATCAAGACCAGTAATGGTTAATTTGTGTTTGATTGTTTTCCCTTAAAATGGCTAAGAAGACATTTTCAAATTCCTGCTTCTCCCCCACCCCACAAAAAAACCAATTGAGTTTTTGAGCTCAAAAAGTTGTATCATAAGCACATTTTTATGGCTAAAGATTGGGGTTTACAAAGGGAAAATGACAAGCCTGTAATTGGCATGCTCAGTATGAAAGTTTGCTTGCATATAAGAGATTCATGTTTGTAATTTCATTTTAGGAAAACATTCTAAGCATCCCCAGAAACCGCAGGAGGGCAAGGGCTGTGGGAACTCTCCTTCCAGAACCACCTGGTTTCAGATTCACCCATAAAAATGGAACCGCATGGAGTTTTATTCTAGTGTTCTGGGATCCGGAGACATTTTCACCCAACTGGAGATGAAATTTGAAGTGCAAATATTTGGCAGCTGACATTTTCTGAGTATATTCACCATCGCATTAGATTTATTATGATTTTTTGGGTCTCCCTTCTGAGTTCCTAATTATGCCTGTGCCATGCTTAGTTTCTTCATAGTCACGTATGCTGCGGGTTGTTGGGGCTTACCCATGTCCTGAAACATCTCCCAGACCCAAAGCAGACAGCGATATAGAGTTAACCATGTCTTAAATCCATATGTGAACAGAAGGCATCATGAACTGGCTTTTGGTCTGTGGTGTTCCCATTCTCCTCCCCTCCCCTCTCCTCTCCCCTTTCCCTTGGTGTAACGTAGTAGCATTTTCCACATTGGACTTGTTCTCTCTCTGTTAGGGGACAGGTGCAAAGATTTTCCTTGAACTATAGGGACACTTTCTTTTGGCTTTAAATCATAAATAGAAACTTTATACAAGACAAAAGGTGTAAATGAAAAGTAAAAGTTCATTTTCTGTCTGTGTGTGTCCAGTTGTCCCTCAGTATACACAGGAGATTGGTTCCGCGACCCTCTCATAACTGAAATCTGCGCGTGCTCCAATTCTTGACTGCTGCAGTCCACCCTGCGGAACGCACGCTTAGGACAAGTCAACCCTCTGTGTCCTTCTGCTTCACATCCCTACTCTGCCTTTGGCTGAACAAAAATCCTCCTATACGTGGAACTGCATAGTTCAAACCTGTGTGGTTCAGGGATCAACAATATATGAGTGCATTTCCATCAGCTGTCTGTCTGTCTCTCTTTTCGTCTTTTCTATCCTAGTAAAAGAGGATCCTGCTACACGCGCTGATTTGAAAATGTGCTTTTCCCCCCTCACTGGGATGTTATTTCTTGCAAGCACATTTTCTTCCCAGCCACAGGGCATGCACAGCATGAATGCACTGTGATTTTCTCTTTCCCAGGCCCCACCTGATGGCCACTTAGGTTGCTTCCAGTCTTCCACCTTGAGAAAACGGCTGCCATGGGCCTCTGTCTTCATTATCGGCCCGTGCTTGTGAGATTATTTCTGTAGGATGCATTCACAGGCATGGAGGAACTGGAGACTACTCCAGACGTATATGCTCCAGACGTGTATGCTCCTGTACGTGTCTAAATTGTAGGCAGGTGGTCCATCATGAGAATTTGAGGAGACACACATTTGTTGAGTTGAGTTAGGCTCTGTGATGGCCTCCTTCTACATCATCTCATTTCATCTTTACTATGGTCCCAGATGGTGGGGGCTATGATTTGCTTTTTACAGATGATGAAGCTGATGTTGAATTATTTGTCTCAAGGGTTCATAGTAGACAGTGGCCACACTGCGGGTCAGCGTAGACTCTGAAGTGAGTGGGGTTGCACGTCCTTAAGGGAAATTTAGGACTTCAGGGAAAGGGCAGGTGATCCCTATGTCCCAACCTAAAAGTTGCACAGGCAGTTGAGGTTAAGATAACCACCAACTCTGAAGACCTTTGGAGAAAACACCTTTTAAAGATTAACTGGGTTCTAAGAATTTATAACACCAGAAAACAGCACCTGACAAGCAATTGGCAAACTGGATAGCACCAGGTCTTGGAGTGTGAGCAGATGCAAAATAAAGCTGAAAATAAAAGTGAGCACACACTCACCCCTGGGCCCTGGACTGTAGGCGCTGTTGACTGACAGCAGTGGTACCAGGCATCTTTTGGGAGTGTCTGGAGAAGGGAGGCTGCCTGAGTGTTCAGAATCCTACCTCCTGAATGCAGGCAGCTGAGGAGGGCCCTTCCCACCATGGTGCCTGGCTTCTCAGGGCCTTTATTGGAGGGACATTGCTGACATTCCTGTTTTGAAGAGTGGAGACTGGAGTTTCAGCTTAATGGGCAGCCTTAACTTTCTCGACTTCCTTTTTTTTTTTCCCAGATTCATTGTAATCAAATGCACATATATTTGCCTCTTGTCCTTAAAAAGCCATTATATTTAAATGTTTTTGCTTTTGTACTGTCATGTTGAAGAATCAAACAATTTTTAATAATCAGTGCTAGGAGCCTAGGATAATATTGGTTGAATTGTTCACATTCAGAGGCAAGTCGCAACCTTTAATATCTACCAAAGTTCAATTAATTTATTTCCTCTTTAAGGACCTACAGGCAATCTGAATCATTTTTGCTGTCATGTAACATCCCCAAACCATATTTTATGAGGCTGAGTTTAGTTAGTGGTTAATAGATTCAGGCTTAGTTAAGGCTCGCATATGGGCAGCTCCTTGCTTTAGAAATGTCTGTTTATTATCAGTTTAATGCAGATGAAACTACTTACTCACTCTTCAGAAACTCTTTATGACTCCTAATTAAAGTCTTTGTCTGAACACAAAATAATTAATACATAAAATGAAGCCACAGGAAAGAAGCAACTGTGAACTAGTCACTTGCGTGTGTGTCGAGCAGTATTTAATCATTAGACTCACACAGTGTTTGCACTTTTGGAAGGAAAACAAGACACAGCCTTCATGTTTATTTAACACTTTGACTAGTTCTTCTTGGAGGTATGAAATGAGTCTTATGGAGTGCTGCGACAGTAAATCATATGTTCTGAAAATTACTGGGTCTTAAACAGTAGTGTCAGTTTAAACCTAAATAGTTTGGTGGTGCTCCGGCATATAAAACTGACCTCTTGGAACAACATCGACTGTTTACACTGAAAGACAAGTAAAGGAAATAAAAACAAGACATAAAATATAGCGCTGCTGGGATGCAATTTCTTCTGGTTTGGCTTCGGCTTGAAATCTGATGCTACTGATGGGCATGAGGGTGCTTAGTGCCACTAAAGAGGGTCCTTCGCTTGCACCCCCCGGAGCACTGTGGTCCCTTCTGCCCTGTAACAGCATCTGCAAAGCTTCCCTGGCTTTCCTGAATGGGGGAGAAGTAGCTGGTCCCCCAAAATGTGGAAATATGTCCATATTAAATGAGATCTCATTAGTGGGCATCGGAGGGCGGAGTGGAAATTTGCAGCGGGCTCTTTTTACAGGACCCATAAATAAAGGTGACTGGCTGGCCCACGGGTTTGATCCTGGGACACGGAATTTTCACCTCCGGGTCACTGCTTCAGACTGGACCATGATAGACATGATGTGCTCAGGCTGGGGGAGACGAGGGTGGGGAATGAGAAGGCGCTCTTGGGCGGCGCTCTGGGCTCAGGTCTGCGTCCTGCAGGATTCGGGGGTGATGCTCTTGAGAATAGGCAGACCAGGAAGGAGGTCAGTGAGGATGGTGGAAGGTGCAGCCCCGTGACTCATCGATTGGCCTCTGGTTTGGGTTTGGTTCTGGACTGAGGAGGAAGAAGAAGCAGAGGAAGGAGGAAGGAGCCAGTGGAGGCTGGGTCCCTGCCCTTCCTTTGCCTTTTGTGAAGGCCTCTCTCTTTCACGTGCTGTGGAGGCACTGCTCCCGTCGCAGGCCGTCGGGGCAGCCCCGGCCTTTCCCGACTTCTGGGTCCGTGGATGCTGCTTACACTTCGGCATGGAGCAGGCAACCAGGCCCTTGGATTTTCACAGCGATCTCGTGGCCCAGACACAGCCAGGAGCAGGTCCTATCGCTCATGCCTCCTCCTCTTTAACATCGTATATTCAGTCTAGAGAATTTGGAACATACAGAAAAGCAGAAATTGCAAAATAAAAAAATCGCCCGTGCAGGAGAATTGCTTGAACCAAGGAGGCGGAGGTTTCAGTGAGCCAAGAGCCAAGATCATGCCACTGCATTCCAGCCTGGGTGACAGAGTGAGACTCTGTCTCAAAAAAAAAAAAAAAAAAATCACCTCTGATCCCACCACACAGTCAGAACTCCTGTGGCCTCCTTCACCTTCACATATGCAGTCAGCCCTCCGTGCGTATAGGACGGTGGTTAAGCCGCGTGTGCTGTTTTATGCTTGCTATCACATGATTTTACAGTATTTTGTGGAATGTGTGCACCATCTTTATTTAACCCATCCTTTATTGTTGGGCATTTTGGCAGTTTTCAATTTCATGCTATCCTACAGGCCCAAGCCCTTTTTGACTCTCCAGGTGAGCCTCTTCTGCTCTTCCTGGCTTCTCCTGGGGTCCCACCTGGCCGCTGCTCTCTCTCTCCCCATCCTACCTGCACCTGCTCTGTGTGGACCAGGGGCTTGAACTTGTCTGTGCCCCATTCCACCTGGCCGTGCGGTTTCTGGAGGGGGCACAGGGCCCCTCCTTCCCCACCCACACCTCCCACTCAGCAAGCATTTCTCCAACGCTTGTGGGAGTTGGGCTGGGCTGTGTGGAGATAGAGGGGTGAGGGGCACCCAATCTCACTCTGTAAGTCGCTCCCAGTCTGTAGGGAGGTGGAAGGAAGATGGTACCCGTGTGTGTGGTCTAGGCAGCTGCCATCCAGGAGAGGCCAGGAAGTGCTGTTGAGTACAGAGCAGGAGGTGGTGCTGAGATTTGAGATCGAGTGACATTTTTGGGGCCAGGTGGTAGTTTAGCTGAGGTTCGAGGAGCCGATGAGGGTGAAGTTGGCACTGGGAGTGAAGGAGGCATCTGGGCTCGGGAGTCCTCACCAGGACTCAAGACCAGGAGTCGCAGGTGTGTTTGCCGTGTTGCTTGCTGGGGGTTGTACCAAATGACACCTGGTCCTACTTGAGGAGGTCTTAATTACTAAGGTCAGGAGGTGAGATTGCTGCAGCTGTAGGGAAGTTCTGAATTTGCTCAAGTCATTAGGAACTTAGTCAAAAAGACACAGCAAAGGAGATAGACTATGGACAATTTTGACTTGCAAGAAGATATTTTGTCTCATCTTTCCCATATCTCCTAAATTCGAAGTCATTTTGTGAATTTCCTTGAGTGCTATCATAACCTTTCTTAGGTGTCTAAAATCCATCACTTCTGGGGGCAGTGAACCTCCAGGAGCTCCAGATGCTGACGAGGCTGCGAGACATTGTGTCCAGGGGCAGCAGAGACGGCCTTGTGCATCGTGTCGAGGGGCAGCAGAGACAGCCTTGTGCTGCCTGTTCAGCTGCTCCCCTTTGAATGTGGCTGAGATGGCCCCTCTTCTTGAACTCCCACTCAGGGCTCCCCAAAGCTTATCTTTGTCATGAGTTTTCCTTCCTTCCTTCCTTCCTTCCTTCCTTCCTTCCTTCCTTCCTTCCTTCCTTCCTTCCTTCCCTCCTTCCTTCCCTCCTTCCCTCCTGCCCTCCCTTCCTTCCCTTCTTTCCCTCCCTTTCTCCTTCCCTCCTTCCTTCCCTCCCTTCCTCTCTCCCTTTCTCCCTCCTTCCTTCCTTCCCTCCTTTCTTCCCTCCCTCCCTTCCTTCCTTCCTTCCTTCCGTTGCTTTATTTGTTTTTTTTTTTTTTCTAGCAGGGTCTGGCTCTGTCACCCAGGCTACAGTGCAGTGGTGCCATCACATCTCACTGAACTCCTGGGCTCAAGTGATCCTCCAACCTCAGCCTCCCAAGGAGCTGGGACTACAGGCACACGCCACCATGCCTGGCTAATTTTTATTTTTGGAGAGCGAGGGTCTCACTGTTACCCAGGCTGGTTAGGCACCTCTTTTTCTAGGGAGCACCAGAAAATCTCAGGGGCTCGCTCTCAACACAGACTGTTTCTTTTCTCAAGTCCATAGCTTTTGCAAGGACAGCAGGAACTCAAAGGACTGAGGTTCTGATTCAGACATTAAGGAAGCCTAAAGGGGCCTTTTTGGCATTTATTAAACCTCCAATGAACAGGCCACTGTAAGTCTAATTAATAATCTTTGGGAAATTTGACCCTTCAATTAACTGAGTAATAATTGCATTGTGGACCATCAAAAACCCTGCATTATTAATGAGCACTTAAGGTCAATATTCGTTCGCTTCACTTTATTGTCTGTGATATTTATCACTTGTAATATGACTTCCTGGTTAATTATACAGAATCATGCAGCATTCACTTTTGATTAATATGGAAAGTTCATACAGACTTTGTTAAAAAACATTTATTATGTGTGATGTGTTATAATAAGCCCTTTTCCCTGAGCTTTGTCCTATGTACATATGTTTTCAATATTTAGGAAATTTTCCTGTGCGGAGGAACTTCCTAATACATGAAATTGAGAAAATTTAATAAATCATGTTAGCCACCTGCGCGATGTGTGTTTTTTATTGTGATACGATCTTCTTGTGGGAAGGTTGGGGTCATAACTTATGTAAGATGATAAACGCATTTTAACTTGAAGGAACTGCTGTGAAATCGTATTCCAGGCATCCCCTATTGCACAGGGGACAGCGAGGTGTGGTGGAAGGAGTATGTTCTTGGCGTCACAAGACTTGGGCCGTAATTAGCTGTGTGACCTTGGGCAACTTACTCTGCATCTCGCCATCTCATAAATTAATCTGTATTCATTGATTAATACCTCCCCAGCCTCCCTTCCAGAGTGAGTTGGAGGATCAAAGACTCCAGTGCATGTGAGAGGGCTTTGTGCAGTGAAATATGCCCACCAGGTTGTCGTGTTTGTTTGGGGTAGAATTCCCTCCAATTCCTCCCGTAGCTGTGGCATTATCACTTGTCATGTCTGGGCAGATGTAGTTTCCAACTGAGAATGCTGGCAATGAACTTTCTGAGGCATAAACAAGCTAGAGAGCTACTCACTTCTAGGAAGGGAGTGGGACTTGACTCTGCTGTGCCTGACCCTGCTGCAAATTCATATGGCGGAGTCCTAGCCCGCAGGACCTCAGAGTGTGACTGCATTTGGAAATAAGGCCATTAAAAAGGTACTTAAGGTAAAATGAGGTCATATGGGTGGGCCCTAATCCACTATGACTGGTGTCCTTATAAGAAGAGATTAGGGCACAGACCACACACAGAGGGATGGCCACATGAAGATGCAGGAGACAGACACCCCCAGGCCAAGGAGAGAGGCACAGAAGGAGGTGACCTGCCAACAACTTGGTCTTGGACTTCCAGCCTCCAGAACTGGGAGAGGGTAAATTTCTGTTGTTGAAGCCCCCAGTCTGTGGTATTTGTTATTGCAGCCACAGGAAGTGGACACAGTGCTTATTAGTGGGGGATTCTTGAGGGCTGCAGTGCTGAGAACTGCCCCCAGCCCCGGGAGTCTGCACATCAAGGGTCCTGCGTGGCACAGTGGGAGAGGGTGGTCCAAAGGGAACTGGGAGGAGCAGACCTGAGGGAACCACACCTCTTGGTCCCACTGCTGGGGGTCGGGGTGGGGCAGAGCAGGGGCTCTCGGGGTCTCTGGGCATCTGGTGTGTGCAGGGTGGGGGATGGGGGATGGGTGAGACCCCTTTCCAGGCTCCCACTCCCTACAAACGGCTGCCTTCTCCCAACACATACTTTGAGCGAACTCCAGCCTGCAGTTGCTGCTTGAGATCCTGTTGGTGACGGGTGGATCTGCAGTGTGCTTGGGCTGAGGCTCAGCGGCGGGGCATGCAGAGCCAGAGATCTGATGCTTTACCACGCTGTGCTGGCCTTGGGGGCTGGTGCATTCATTGGCACTGAGGACCATGTGTGCTCATTTCTGTGAAATGTCTACAGTCAGGCCCAGGCACCCCAGAAAAGGGGTTCATTTTAAGCCCTTGCCCGCAAGGAGAGCAAAAGGACATCCCAACCCTGATGAGCAGGACTGCTTATGGCATGAGGGCAGCTGTGGATGTCGGGCATGGTCCAGGCCAACAATCCCGCTGCAGGCTGCCTGAGTGCTGTTTCTTGCATTGCATGATGACAGCTGTAAATCTGCTTCCATTTCCCCATCTTTGAAAAGGGGACGCTACTTAGTACATGCAAGTACCAGGGGAGGTGGAGGCCAACTTTAAAAAACAGGCACTAGGACAGAAGGATCATTTCAGAAAATCTTTTTCAATCACCTGTTTTTTCAAGAAAGGGGAGGCCTGGAGAGGTGACCTCCTCTCAACCATCTGCATATAAGAGGGTGACCATGACAAGGACCTATGAAGAGCCCGCCATGGGAAGCAGGCCATGTGAATTGTGATATTAGGTCAGATGGCTTGTGGCTACTGGGCACTGTTAGATATGGATGGAGTGGGGTTTGAATGTTGGGACCTGTGAGGTTTGTGGCTTTCTCAGCTGGTCAGCTATCGAGCAGAAGCTCTGAGATTAGAGGGAAAACAAAGTCTGTTCAATTAGAAGGACTCAGTTTATAGAAGTCAAAACAAAATTGGAGACCCAAGGGAATGGAAAGCCTGAATCAGAGAGAAAAGCCGGAGTGATTTCCTCTGGTGCAGGACCAAAGCGTGTGAAGGTGTGCGTTCCTGGGTATATCTGCAAGGCTTGGCACATCTGGACCTGGAGGAGCCGTCTTCCAGAAGAGGAAGCCCTGCTCTTTCAGATGATGACTCTCTTTGGGCAAGGAAGCCTGGAAGCTGGGCGTTACTGTGTGGGGTGAGGCCCCTCCACACCCACCTCCAGCCCAGCCTGTCCATCCTCCTTCCTCCCCCTGGGTTTGGGTCTTGTCTTCTCACAGAGGACGCTCAACCTCTTTCCTCGGGAGCAGCTCAGGCCCAAGTCCTGTGGCACACAGACCAAGCACTAATTTCCTGAGCCACCTTAGCGATGAAATGTTCTGTTATTTAAAACATGTTTTGACAAATTATCTGTCAACAGTAGATGAAGTTAACATTTCTTTTGATCAATGAAATAAGCATTGAGATCATGCGCTCAATATTGTCTACATTTCTGCAATCACATACTTCTGTGTTCACTGTATTCCAGCCCATCTGCTTCAATATATTTTAGCAGAGCTGTTATAATTTTCATTCATAATGTATGACGGGTTTGCAGAAATTTCCTCCATGTGTGAAGCCTATTTAATGTTAACATTCTCAAATTGGAGTTGGTTATAAATAATGCACCAAGAAATGGGGAATGGTGCAAATTATTGCTTTGTGTTGTACCTGTCAGGCCAACAGTTACATTTTTAGTATCTGTAAATAGTTTTACACAACTTGTACCCAGATTACTTCTATCAAAGGGAGAGAACTCTTTGTCCCACTTTACGGAAATTGTAAAAACCTTTAGCCAATTTGTGGTCAAAAAATAAATAGCAGAAAGAGCTTGCAGACAACATTTATTTTGTATGTACATTAATGGGGACTTCCATTTTTCCTGGAGGCCAGACTCCACTTTGAAATTCATGTTTGATAAATTCCCTGGCTTTCCGAGTAATTTAACTGTCTATAGGGCTGTTGATCCTCCAAGTGCATCATTGAACCTCGGGGACTTGTGCACCATTTCTGCATATCCAAGTTCAAATATATGCTCAAGATTGGTTTAAATTTTAAGTTGTTGATCTTATTTCTGATAGATTTGTTAGCTTATCCTCCATTTCATTTCTAAAACCTGCTCCTAATCCTCAAATACTCTCTTCTTAAACACATCTTTGCTAAATTCATTGATTGTGTTAGTAAAATGTATATTGAGCAGTTGTTCTGCAAGTGCACTGGAGCAGGAATATTGTTAGTGCCTTCACTCCAAGACCAGAAGAAGTTTGATAACCTGGCTGTCAATTATCACCTGCCTTCTCATTTGTTCTTACTTTTATGTTGACCATTAGTTTTCAAGTCTGTTACAGTATTTTAAAAAAATTTTCACCGGTTTTAAGAGATTTTGACCGATTTTCATGCTATTGTTTATGCAATATAAAATGCAAGCCAAGTCTATTAAATTTTGTTTTGTTATGCTTCTTTTTAGAATTCTTGAGACTTTGTTGGTATTACAAATGTTATGTTTGCAAAGGAAAGTTTCTAATCCTTTGTCACTGATAAAAGTATACAACTGATTTTTTTTTATCTCCAGTCCATTTTTTAAAGGAAATTTCTAGCATTAAGAATAAGTTAATCCTACAAACACTAATTTAAAGCATTTGCCATGTTCATAAACTACCTTCTCCTAGGCATGTCAGGAATCCCAAAGCACTGGAATACATATATATGTTTTGAAGTCGTGAGCTTCTCCATCACCTTGCGCTATGATCACATCTAGTGGATGAGGAAGCAGGCTCTGCTGGTTCGTGGCTGCTGTGATGAAGTCAGGGCTGGTTCTAGAGCCCCAATGTACTGCTCCCCAGCTCATGACTCTGTCCAATGACGTTGCTTTTCCCCCAGAGTGGATTGCTTTCATCTTCCTGAAAGCAGCACTTTTCAGTAAGATCCATTTTAGTCCATGTCACAGAACACCGTCTGCATTTCTTTCCTTCCTGTGTTCCTGACCTGTGGGGTTGACCCATCCAGGGGAAGCTCATGTGCCCCAGACCCATCCTCTGCTTCTTTGCAGCTCATTTCTTCTCGTAATTCAGTCCAGAATTCTGAGGCCTTTCTACTTCCTTATTATTTTCTTCTCCATGAGGAAATTAGTCTAAAGGAAAAAAAAAAAAGTCCTTCTGTGTGGCCTGTTCAGCAAGACTTAGGAACTTCCTCTCCTTAGTTTTCAGGCCCAACCGGACCCGTGGTGCCAGAATTCAAATTTACAGTCTCTGGGGCAACATTTTAATAGAGTTTTTGCTGGTGTTAGAGCTTAACTCTGGTGTTATATTCATACTCCACCATGGAGGTTTAACCACCCAATTTTATTAGCAGCAAAATAAAAGTATCAGGAAAATGAAATCTCGGTGTTTGTGCCATGGGAGGGAACAGCCTTGCCCCCTTCTCCCAATGGTAATTTATATCTTCTTGGATCATGGTGCACGTAAACTTGGCAAGCAGTAAAAAAAAGAAGCCATTTGAGAACATTTCTGACTTAAATGAATTATGTGTAGGAAAAGAATACCCAGCCCATATTATCTTTGCCTTTTAAGGAAATAAAGCTTTGATAGCAGGAGTATTTGATACAGTTATGCACCCTGGACAAAGATTACTTTGGAGGCTGAATTAATAGATGGGAACATGGAAATGAGAATAATGAATCTATCTCATTTCAGTTTTGTTTTTTTTTTTTTTTGCAAATTGTTTCTAGTCTAAGCTTTCTGGACCCTTAGAGAAGTTTTGGGTCCTGCACTCGCTCTGCTGTCTCAGTACTACTTTGTATTACCACAACCCCTTCTGCTTTATGGACCACACGTCAACCAAGCCTAGAGAAAAAGATGTTGATGTCACCTGGACTGCTTACATTTTCATGTTGTTGGATTCAAAATGGGAAAAGGAAATTGTGGCTGTGGCTCTGAAGAGGAGTTAAGTATGATCAGTGCAATGGCTGAAGACTGGTCAGGGCATAGCTTCTCATTTTAAACAGAGAGCCCTGGACTTCAACTTGGGAGGCCTTACCCTGACTCTGCCACTGACTTTCCTAAGTCACTTCAAGCTTAGTGACAGTTTTTTTTCGTCCATGATGTGTGGATGATCCCCATGCCCTAGTTCTGTGGGGAGTATCTGATGAGATAATCACAGGGAACATGCTTGAAAAAAGAAGAAATGCCCTACAGTGCCTGGCCTCTGAAGAGGGAATGTCACTGGGCATTTTTAAATTGTTCTCAGGGCTTCCTCCCCTGGGTTGAAAAAGGGGTTGGAGGAACTAACATTTGCCTTCACTAGGGATGCCAGATAGAACGGCAGACATTCAGTTGAATTTGCCTATCAGATGAACAAGGAATAATTTTAGTATAAGCGTATCCCACCTGTTGCATGGGATGTACTTATACTAAACATTACTTGTTGTGTTTGTGAGATTCAGATTTAACTGGGCATCCTGTATTTTTGTGGCTATATCTGGCAAACCTAGCTTTCTTGCCTTTGGTCTAGAAGGGATCACCCTCTTTCGTTCCGTGTCCTACCAAGACCCAAGATCTCAGCCCCTGGCTGTGGCTACGAGCTTAGCCACAGGCCTCGGGTGGCACTTAGAGTCAGATGTTCAGCTATAAATATTGATCCATATTTGCACACGATTTTTTACTTGGGTGCCTGGGCAAGTCACTTAACCTTGCCAAGCCTCAGTGTACACAGCTCTAAAACAAACATCAGAACTCACCCTATAGTGCTGTTGTGAGGGTACAACAAGCTGATGCACATTTTTGGAAAGTTTTACAGCACCAGGAACAGTAGTGTTTCCACGCACTTTGCTGTGGGAAGCACAGTCTTACACTTACATACTTGATCTCTGCTATGAAGGGATGGTTAGGGGCAGCAATACAACAGCTTGAACATGTTTTCCAACAACAACAACAAAAATCGACACGTTCTACTTCCCCCTAATTTAAGATTTCAATGCCTTTCATTGGCTTCATGTGTTTTGTCAGTAAATATTGTAAACATTGCTTTGTCTACTGCTTGCAGGAGCTGTGTTTCTAGTTCAAGTCTCAAAGCAGTCCCTGCATGCCTGACCCTTCAAGGGGCACCCGCTTTGTGGCCCTGACACTTAGAAAACCCAGTCTGAGGCCGGGCATGGAGGTTCATGCCTGTAATCTCAGCACTTTGGGAGGCCGAGATGGGCAGATCACGAGGTCGGGGGTTTGAGACCAGCCTGGCCAACATGGTGAAACCTCGTCTCTAATAAAAATACAAAAATTAGCCAGGCGTGGTGGTGTATGCCTGTAATCCCAGCTAGTTGGGAGGCTGAGGCAGGAGAATCGCTTGAACCTTGGAGGCGGAGGTTGCAGTGAGCCGAGATTGCATCACTGTACTCCAGCCTGGGCCACAGAGGGAGACTTTGTCAAAAAAAAAAAAAAAAAAAAAAAGAAAGAAAAAATAAAAAAAGCCAGCCCGAGCTCTCTGTCCCCAGCTGTCCCAGCGTCTTCTTCCTCCACATAAGAACTGAAGTGTGCCACAGTTACTGGGAGAAGATGGCAGCAGGGAACCCAGGGCTGAGGGAGAGAAAACTCTGGCTGTGCACCCCTGCCCTCGACAGGCTCAGGAAGGCTGGTGGGGCCAGGAGCCCATCAGGCAAGATGGCAGCAGGCGAGAAAAGGAGGATGGGAGTGGACTGACTTCACAGCTGGGGTGGCCTCTTGCTGGAGGCGAGGCTGCACGACAAAAATCACTGTGGGGCAGCTGAGGGCTGCTGGGGCTCCCTACCTATGGGTTCTGCACAGCAGGGAGGGAGGGATCCATGTCCTCTGCCCTTTGCCCTCTGCCATCTCTCATCAACATGCAGATCCCCCGTGGCCCGACATAGCTGTCGTCTTTCCCCGGCTGCTTCTTCAGGGAGCCAAGTTAACTTTTGCGATTCCTTTCTTCTCCTCTCGTCGAAGGCTTGTGTTTTCTCAGCCATTCTGGGCACTTCCCTTTCATTTCCTGGGAAAGAAAAGCTCAATCTGTCTTCTCCCGACGGCAGTAATCCTCGCTGTCGAGTTGCGAGTTGTTCACATCCATCCCACCAGATCCATCTGGTCCAGGCACCTTGTTGACTTTCTTATTGGCTCTTTCTCTCGGCTGCGTTTGGCCTTCTGATGCTTTTGAGATTCCTTCTGCTCTGGTGGAGCCATTTGTAAGGCTTCCCCTGGGTCCTCTGAAGCGTCTGCTGTTTTTCTCCTTCTCTGTTCCTCTTCCTACGCTCTCTGTGTTTTCTATTGTTCCAGTAGGCTTTCGTTGGGAGCATATGATTTTTCATTTTTTTCTTTGTATTTGCTTAATTTTGCTTTATCCTCACAGAGGGTGGAGTTTTACTGTTCTCCACCCCCTGCGATTGATGGAAAAGAATATCGCACCAATTGATTGAGATAAAAAATTAGTGCTTCACCATCGAGAAGCCAAATTAGCCATCAGAAGTAGGTGCACAGAGTATTTTAAGAGTTTTTTGATTAATTCTCATGATGTGAGGCCTTTTGACACAAAGTTTTATGTGCTGCGATGTGGGAGGAGGAAGAAGTGGTAACGGGTTATTACAGGTTTTACTTTTACCTCTAGTTGATTTATTGGCCGACTCTTGTGGTATGAAATGAGGGCACTGCAGATGTGAGGGTGTCTCCTTTTGGAGAGAACAATTCCTGTGTGTGCGCGTGACCGTGTGTTTTCTAGAACGCAGGCTCAGGATTTCAGGGACTAAGCCAAAAAGACTCAGAGTAGAATTTTAGTGAAAATGCCTACAGTTATGGAAACAAAACAGCAAAAAGAGGCCCTTCTAACTCAGATAGATATCACTCAGCACCTAAGAGTGACAGCTAATCAATTCTTTTATCACCCTCCTAGAAGGAGAAAATCCTAATTTAACAGAGTGTTGATAGAAAATAATTATTCACTAGAAACATATTTGACAGTGACTCATTTGTTCTTATTTTAAATATACAGAAACATACCTTATTTCTTAAAACCTGTTGTCAGCTTCCTGGTTTCCTTTTTGCAACATTTAGGAATTAGTTTTATTACAAGCTACAATTTAACCTAAATCATTACAGCAGCAACACTTTCCTTTTTGCCATCTGAAAGCACTGCTCCAAAACACAGCAACCTTGGTTGGACATGTTGAAGATATCCTTGGCCATACTCTTGAATTCATATTTTAAAAATAAGGACTTCGTGCATTGAATACTTTTGTTGATGAAAAGCCATTTTACATATCTGAGTTTGAATAGATATATTGAATTCATAGTTGCACTCACTAGAGAAGAAGTAGCATATGGTATAAGCACTCTACTTTGATCTCAAAGAATCTGCAAAAACTCCATTTTTTTTCAGTTCGTGGAAATACATTTCACTGTCTTACATTCTTATATATATTTATATATTTACTTATTGAGGTTAATTGACAAATGCTTTGTATGAAATACAGCTGCAAATCATAATTGAGAGCAAAACGTTTATTAATGCTTCTAGGTAATCTGAGTGACGAATCTCTACTAATGTTTCTGACTGTGGTTATTTTTGTTGGTTATTAAAAAGTGGAGTTCTTCTTTTTCATTTTCCCTGTGTGATGGAAGTGTTGGCAAATAGACATACATTGCATTTTCACTAATCTGCTCATCAAGTTTGAGGCTAGAAGTGTATTAAACGAATTGTCCACTTCTTCGGATTTTAATTGCTATGATAGCTTTTTATCTCTTCTTCTTTCAGGTGAAAAACAATTCCTAGTTGCAAAAGGTGCCCTACGTATTGCTTCCTGGTCTTTGTCCCCTCTTCCCCCCACCCCCAATTTCAGGAGTGGGCGGGGACAGAGAGCAGTGCTGTTTGCCACAAGATGGCGCTCTGTAGATAACGTTTTCTGAGTTTTGCCAAATAAGAATGTAATTCTCCTGGACAACTGGGGTGGCATGAAGTAGTCCACTATTCCCCAAGTCTTTCTTATGGATGGCCTCTGTCTGGGGCTCCTGGTTGTACTGGTGAATGTTCCCAAACATGAATGCATCCAAAATACATCCTGGGTGGATCTCAAGCTTTAACGACGCCGCAGACGCAGCTGCTTTACATGGTTTGATAAACATTTTCACCTTGAAACCTTGCTGCTTCTGGAAAGTTTAATCAGTGGCAGGCAGAAATGAGCTTTTTCTAATGACTGACTTATCCTTGCTCTTGGTTGAATACTTGAGAGCAAGAACGATGTTCCTTCGAACAAGTTTTGCTGGGAATGACATACTTGGAGTCCAAAAAGGAGGTGGCTTGATGAGCTTGGATGTTGGTCATTCGATGGTCCCCTGCTCTTCCTTCCATAGCCATCTGCGGTCCACGCAGCATCCTGTGCCCGAGCATCCCCCGCACCCCCATAGCTGAAGCAAAGGAGTGGTCAGGTGCCAGGTCCAGGCACGTGTTGCCTAGCAACATGTTGGGGCCTGGAGAAGCTGACATCACCTTGGAAGAGAGCAGCTTCACGCCCACCAACGAGGGGAGTAAATTCGTTAACAAGGCTAGGACCAGGCAGGCGGCCTGGTGCTGTGCTTCTGGACGGGGCCTCTCGGAGCTGGAGAGAGAAGCCTCACTCCTCATCCCTCTTTATGAGGGCAAGAGAGGGGGAAGCCTTCCACGGTGCCTTGTTGCTATCCCTCAGGGGTAAATTTTTAGCTGCAGAATTTATGAGTTGCACATTTATTTGATTTGGCTTTTGGTTAATTTTTTTTCTCCTCTTGTCAACCTGACAATATGAGGGCAGACGGATGCAGTCCCTGTAGAAGAGGCAGTAAACGGTGCTCTTGGAGGCTGCTTTATAGAGGCCTTCTAGACTGCGATCCCTCGGCCCTCCCCCCCGCCGTCCCTCTCCTTCCTTCCTCCCTTCTCCTCTCATTGCCAGTTCAGCAAGGCTCACGCGACCAGAACACTCCACTCTAAATAAATAAATCCTGAAATAAATATGGGTGTGAGTCTCATTAACATTACCTGTCAAATCCCTAAGCATAGAACCCCCAAATGGCCCCCTGGGTCTCCCAGTAATTTCTGGAAAGCACATAAAAAAAGACGATCAGTGGGTATATTTGTGGAAGTCATTAGCAGGGTGGGGGAAGATATGCTTATAAGTCAATAATTCTTTTTGACACGACCTTAGCTCTGGTTGTGTGGCGACTCCCCTTAATGGAAGGAAAAGACATATGGCCTGAGTTTTATGACAGATGTCAGGAATCCTGAAAGGTGGCACAGGGAAGATCTTGGTGATTTTTTTCCCCTTTTAACTGACACGGATATATGGGATATTTTGTCAACCTAATGAGTGTTTTCTTCAGTTCTTCTGATCATACAGTGGCAGGTGAACATAGTGACCCACTTTTCAAAGGACGGTAAATATCGAAGGCAAAATTTATGTTAGAAAAGGTCCAGAGAAGAGACACTCAATCTGAAATCTTAAAAATCGTATAGTGTTGGATTTATTGCATGTTACCTCTGCAGCGTGTTAATCCTTAATTGGGTTTTCAAAGTCATTAAGGGAAGATTCACATTTACCTCTTGAATAAAATTCCTGTGGCTCATATGTTGTTTATTTGGGAGAGTGTTGAGTTAGTGGTTCATCCCAAAGAGCATTTTCTGCTGTTTCGCATTTTGGAGTTCATAAGGGTGACCCTCATCATGGCCTCACAAAGATGTTAGGCATTGAACCTAAGAAGGAATGAGTTGCCCAAGTGCCTTGCTGACCTGCGACAGGGCCCTTTGTTATTTCTTTGAAGGAGAGCTATCAGGTGATACTCAGCAGAATTGCATCTCCAAGAGAGCTGATTACGGAGCCATGAGTGGACAACTTTAGAAAGTGATCACGATTTGGAGCACACGTTCCCAAGGCAGAGCTACTGAATTTGATTTGGGAGGAAAGAAGGTTTGAGATACAATACAGCACTTTGTAATCATTTATTTGTCTTGGAAAGGCCCCTGGAGGTGCTTGAATTATAATAGAAAACAGCAGTTATAAATCAGGCCATCAGCGTGTAGGGCCCGATCTCTGGCAGCACCCCGCATTCACTTAGCTAAGAGCTGCCACTTTCCAGCCCTTGCCTTGGTTTGTAAGAAAAAGGGGAACTTAGCTAACATCAAGATGCACTTGATTTTCCTGATTCTTTTTTTGTTTAAGCACCAAAGCAGTACCAGTAGCTTTCCGGGCTGCATTCTCAAAATGACTGTGGCCAATATTTTATCAAAAGCAGAGTCCTGAGTACTTGTGAATATTTGGCTGATTGATGCTTTCACTGACTTTTGCAGACCAAGTTTGAAAACAATTTTATTTAACTTATCTATCTGAGCCTTGTCCTTTCTCCCACGGCCAACTCCCTCCTCCATGTTCTCACTCTCCCCCCATTCTTTTTTTTTTTTTTTGAGACGGAGTCTCGCTGTTGCCCAGCCTGGAGTGCAGTGGCGCGATCTCAGCTCACTGCAACCTCTGCCTCCTGGGGTCAAGTGATTCTCCAGTCTCAGCCTCCTGAGTAGCTGGGATTACGGGTGCGTGCCACCACGCCTGGTTAATTTTTGTACTTTTAGTAGAGACGGGGTTTCAACACGTTGGCCGGGCTGGTCTTGAGCTGCTGACCTCAAGTGATCCACCTGCCTAGGCCTCCCAAAGTGCTGGGACTACAGGCGTGAGTCACTGTGCCGTGTTCCCTTCTTTCTAAAGGCCGACTCTCTTCACTGTTTCTATTCTTGTCACCCCCACTTCTGGAGCACTGAGGGGAACACAACATTGACTTGCAGTTTCGGAACCCTGGGTGGGAGCAGTGGGGGAGGAGGCAGTGGAGAGAATTTTGCTTCATGAGATGGTGGAGGGTTAATCCGGCCGCCCTCCCTGCTCCAGACCCCACCCTGGACCAGCAGTTCTTTGCCACGGTTGGCTGGGCTAAGTCAAACCTCCCTTTCTCATTCCAGTGGCAAGCATGACGGAATAGAAATGCATTCCCTTGATCAGGAATCCCTTCCAAGTCTTTCAGGGTGTGTTGGAGTTCTCGCAATGACCTTCTCTCAGGTTTCTGGGTACGATGGGAATACGTTCTTTTCAATGCACAGAGACAGTCCATCAGCATCCTGACCAAGAGGCTTCTATTTTAAAAATCCAAGTTAACTGGGCCATTTGGAGGCAAGCGTTTTAGCTGAAGCTATGCACTTTTACGTGTAATTTTGCATATGTAGCTGCAAGTCCAAAGAAAAGTCAAAATTGGGAAGTATCACTTCAAGATTTGTTTCCTTATTTTATTAGGGTTTCCATTTCTAGCAAGTTTTATTTGGCTATTTACTTTGCTTATATTAATACAATTCAGTTTGATGTTTTTCATAAGGAACAACTCTTGCTTCCTTTAAGTAAGGGAATTATTTAATTATTGAATGGGAATTTTCAATGCAAATCTTCCTGTAAGAAATAGCAATATATTTAAGTCAATCTATGCAATTTCTCTTCTGCGATTAGAAACAATTTTTGGCCTCCGCAGTGTGGGCTATTTTTTTTCCCAGCTGCCAGGCTGATGCATACATTTAGCCATCATATACATTTTCAGTGAAGAGTGGCTTAAATGATCTGCTTTGTTCACTGCTTAATTATGTTATTTTACTGTTCCTGAAAACCTGACACAAGGCAAATTTACATTACTGTGCTCCTAATTAGCCAATAATCCTTGAGGATTTGAATGATACATACCCAAAGTCATTTCCTTCTCCACTAAATATGAATTTCCTTACATCAGGTTAAGAGGATGGTGCAATGACAGAAGGCATCTTGGTGATGACAGCCCTCAACATGCCTGTCTCCTGAGTCACACTGCGTTAAAAACCACATAATGATTTCAGCAGTATCATAAAGTACATCATAGGAAATCAATAAATAAACGATGTAGTTGGCTAAGATGTGCTTAGTTGTTCATCAGATGGTAAAAGCCCTTGTAGATGCTTCTTCTAGTTTTTAAATGAACTCAGCTGTGCATTTCTTTGCCTGTAATCCACACTCTGCTCTATCTGCTTCACACTGTCCATTGGAAATGTGTCCATGTCAGCCAGCAGAGAATCTAGGTGGCCCCACAGGCAGCTCTATTAGCACCTGGAATTGCCCTGTTCACCGCAAAGCCTAGCTCTCAATCCAATCCATGTGCATCTCTGTACAGGTGACAGGCATCTCCCCCATTCAAGAGACTCTCTTCCTCACTTGCTACTTGTTACCCGTTACTGCTCCTGTGGCTTTCTTCCCTACCTCACTTTGTCTGGGCCTCCCTTCTGTCACACATGGCTGTGTGCTTCAGGGAAGTCAGGCTACATCTTCTGCCCTAAGTCTAGGTCAGGACTGGTCTAAGTCAGTGCTTCTCATACTACCTGGACCATCAACCAGATACAAGAAATTCATCTTACGTTGCAGCTCAGTGCACACATAAGTAGGTGGACATGTGTATATTCATATTTATATTTACATCTGGACTCAAATTTCACTTGCGAAATGGGAGTTGGGACCTACTCCATGGATGTCATGGATTTCAGTCGGCAGGGCCTGTCTAAGCTAGGGATGGTTTTAGGCAAGGGCACGTCATACGATTCTGGCCATAAGAAGCTGAGTGGCTCCTTGAGGGGTCTGAATTGTTAGCAGACTCAAGGGAGGCACCTGTGCGTTTTGGGCTGGGTGTCCTGCTGGCTGCATGGGATAACCGAGATGGGCTGCAAAGGCGCGGATCTGTGGATAGCAGATGACACCTTGGATCTTTGGTTATGTTGCTGAACTAGCCAGTATGCTGCCAAGCTATTTCAGGAAGTCTTGTTGTGAGATAAATTTCACTGTTGTTTAAGCCAGTTCGATTGGAGTTTTCTGTTACTTGCAGTCAAAAGCTTCTTAATATATTTCAGTGTCTAGGAATCACATCACCTGAGCTGGGGTTTGTGGTACCTGATGTTAACAGACTAGGGTCATATCCCAATTAAAAGAAGATGAACTTAGAACCCTTTTTGTCATGTTAAGTCAACTGAACATTTGTGGCTTTAGTGGCCCATGGGACTGGTTTGGGGACCTGATTCAGCATAAACTGAAATTTGTGATTTGACCTCTGTGGTTTTGGCTACTTGTAGGTAACCTAGAAGGCTCATGGCATATAGTCATTTGTAATTTGCTGAGCCACATATTTAGATTTTGTATGCCATAAAATGGATTCTGTATGCTGTGAATACTGAATCGATGAGCCCAGATAACACCCAGCAGGTTTATGATGTGGCTGTGTGGGTCTCCTCTTCTCTTCATAGACAAGAGGAGACAAGAAAATGGCTCAAACTCATTTTCTCATGATGAAGTATTCGCTACCCCTCCCTTCCACCTTACACACACCACAAGCTATTTGTTAATGCTGGAAATAAAGAGAAAGTAAAGTAAATGGTGATTCATATCTGGGAAATTGAACTCTGGAGAAAGAGGAGAACAAAATACTGGGTTGTGGCCCCTACCCAGTACCAGAATGGGTCCCCTGGAAAATCAATGCGGTCATGAGAAGAAGTGACCTATGAAACTGTGGGTGTGAATGCTTCATCCAGGGCAGAAATTACTTGCTGATGAGGGCTAAGCATCAGTGGAAGTTTGGAGAGCATTCTACAATTGTGTGTAGACTGCCAGTAAGCTTGTTGGACATGATATAATGATATACCTCAGTGTCCCTGGATGGGAGTTTGTGAGGGTCTCGGGACATGCTCCCATGAATGTGAAGAGTCTTCTGAATCCACAGTGAGTGAATGCTCTGTAAGCCAGAGGATGGCAAAAGGCTCTGCTTTATAGGAGCTGGAAGTTGCTAATTGTTAGGCAATTGTGGTAATCCTTTTAGTTTAGGCAGTCTTGCAGGATGTGCATTCACAGAGACTTGCGCTGGTCTCCTGCAACTCACCTTTGCTCGAGTACAGTGTTTGGGGTCTGTCAGTTTCCATGGAATTAATGAATTAAGCAACAACGTATTGGGTTGGTTCTGAAGAGTCACCGGAATCAGAGACAGAAGGGGAAACAGTGAATTCCTCTGGTGATGATCAGGTAGAAAGAAACGGAGGATGTGGACCCAGTACTTCAGCCAGGGCCCTGATCAGTTGTCTGATCCATGCCCTCGATCCATGGCATCACTCATCTCAATGGTCTAGCTTAATTCACAGTCAGAGCTGGAGCCAGGGGCTGAGCATTGCTTATCACCACAGTCTCCACTGTGGGCTCAGGCAATGGTTAGAGCTAAGTCCACCTCCCTGTGGAAGGAAAGGGCTCCATCTGGGAAAGTCACTGTGGGGGTGACACACCTGTTCGTGAGCTTACCTTTGTTTCAGGTGGGGACATTCATGTATCCATTTCAGGGATGTGACAGGAAAAGCATAGAGGGGGCAGCTAGAGAGAGAGTACCATGGACAGGGGCAACATTGCTGGGCACAGTGGCTCACACTTGTATTCCCAGCACTTTGGGAGGCTGAGGCAAGAGGATCACTTGAGCCTAGGAGTTCGAGATCAGCCTGTCTCCACAAAAAAACAAAAAATAAAAAATTAGCTGGGTGTGGTGGCTTGTGCCTGTAGTCCCAGCCACTTGGGAGGCTGAGGCAGGAGGATCACTTGAGCCCAGGAGTTCAAGGCTGCAGTGAGCTATGTTCTGCCCAAGGCACTCCAGCCTGGGTGACAGAGTAAGACGCTGTCTCTTAAAACAGACAAACAAACAAAAAAAGAGAACATGGAAGATTCCAGAGAAGAATTTATAGTGAGGCTTCAGGACCATGCTGCAGAGTGGTGAGTTGGGTTGAAAGTTGCTGCTCTGTGGTCTGCCAGAGACCAGAGATGTGGTTTTTAAAACAAGTTTTTAATGCTTTAAAACTTGTGGTGACTTCAATTTCAGATCCAGAATTTATCGTTTGTTTATTAACAGATGTATGTAATAATTTGGTGCTGTCTTCAAGTTAATTAAAGTCAATTAGAAATTGGTTATTTGCTTTTGAATAGAAAAATTAGCAGTTGCTGTTGGTAAAGGTGAAGCTATTCCTTCAAGAGTCAAATCAGCTCTCCAAAGCACAGATATCCCACTACCCTTAAAGTATCATGAGAAATTTTGTTTCTTGTGTGGCCCAAGCACCAAGACTGTATGGCCATAATGTGTTTTTTATACTTTTTTGTGTCTTCCACCCCAAGGCACTAACTTGTGGGAAGTGGTCACCTGCAGGAGTCTGTTTCATTAAAGTCCAGACACCAACAATATGAGGTTTCTTGAACATTTTTTTCCTCTGATGTCTGTGTTTTGAAACTCCTGTGAAAAGCCAGGGTACCTCTGTGAGGTGTCACTTGCACTGTAAAATCATTTGCTCTGGGGAATCTTATTTCATTTATTCTTCCTTCAAAACAGAATCGTCAGAATCCAGAACAGAAAACAGTGGAACATAAAGTGTTTTGCAAGTACTTCGGCCAAAACTTAGAAATGTGCATTAAAAAATAAATAAAAAGCATGAAGGAGTGGTATTTTTGAAGTTTAAATTATCTTCGCACACCGTTTGAACCTGTTGTCCTTTCAGCCTTAAAGGAAGTGATTCCCGCCAAGCGGCCATCTCTCCAGGACTAAATTGTGAGCCTCTTTCGGACAGGAGAGACTTAGGGAATTTTTTTTGGACATTCACATGGATTCTAGAATATTCCAAAGGGTTGGTTCTTAGTTATATATTACTTAAGGATGTTAACTTGATATTTGTAATACAAGCTCCTGGTCATTTTGTGGTGGTGACAGGGCTCATTGAAATCCAGATGTCTTGGGTTCTAGAGGTCATACCCTGAGTTCCACCCTCCTCTCAGTTCTTAGCCCTCCAAAGAGACATTGTCATTAGCAACTTGAGTTTATTGCAGAAGACAGCAACTTAACAGGATGAAACTTTAAAAATTAAAACTGGCAAAACAATTGTTATTGACTGAAATGGAAAGTGAGTTGTAATTTGGAACTAAATTATTTATAAACAACGGCTGGTGTTGTATTGGAACTACGTAGATGGTAAAAATCTGCTTCTAAAACATCTTGCTAAGCGTGAAGGTTTTCAGCATCATTTGAAAATGCTCCAAGGAGGTCTTGTGATGGATACAAAGGCTTGCACACAGTCGCCAGATAGCTGATGTGCAAAATAGGAGGAGATGAAGTCTGAGGGGCAGAAGCCGGTGACGGTGATTCAGAAGAAATCTAAACTGTATGAGCATAACCTTTTATATAGAGATTCTAATTCTTCATTCAAAATTTAGGCAGGCGGCGGGCAAAATGTAATCACTTTTTAGCATGACTGTACTGTATAAGCATATTAGAAAAGCTCTGTGATGGTAATCGCGTAGTGAACTTGAAACCACCCCTAATTAAACTGCCTGCATCCCCCAGCATTTTTCTGTAATGATGTCAAACCATGTAGCAATTAGTTGCACCTCTATGAATGTAAACACTGTTTGTAAATCATATAAACTTAACCTGGTTTGCTTATTGAAAATCTCCTAAAAAGGAATTAATTAGCTTTGTATGTTTTGGAATCACAATTTATGGGATCATTTTGGAATCTCTCACTGAAGTCAAATTAATTTTTTTTTCCCTGAGATTCATACAAATGGAATCTCTCTTGCAGGGGACTGCAAGGAAAGACCGAGCAGAATTTACTTCATCTTCATTTTATTTCTGCAACGACCGCTGAAGTGTGGAATTCAGGACAGGGTTTTACTGAGTTAACCAAGTTTTATGATATTTTTCTCAAGAGAAAGGTATATATCATCTGAAGGTTGCATCTTTCCTGTGTTTTTCACTTTCTCCAGGCAGCGTGGAGTGTTTCAAGCTCATTTGAATGTGAAGTTTGGGCACCGAAGCAATCTTTATGTAACCTGGTGTCATCTTGGAAGACACCAGCCCCAGACTGCGTGGCAACAGCCCGGGAGCAATTGCCGATTAGGAGAGAAGTGGCCAATTCCAAACAAAGACATTGAACAAACAAAACAGACACCCAAGTGTTTTAACTCAGCGATCTTTCCTCTGCCGACAGGAAGCACAAAAGAAAAGGAAGCCAAGTGTAAAATGTGGCATGGCTTTGTTGCAATTGTCTTGCTGAAACCTTGGATCCTAGAGGTGGATGGTTTACCTGAGCCATCAGCTACACAGCACATTTATGGTTATTGTATTTTACAGGTTGATAGATTTTTATATTCTGTCCAAGTCAGGATCTTACACCACCTGGTTTATTATTTAGTAATTTACAGTGCAGTCAGGCATGTTTGGCTTAATGTAGGATAATCTTATAAATCTATTGTTCCTCCAGTTGCTAGGGTTGGTGTGCCATGAACTACAGGGCTGGATGCGTACATACATTTCAGCTCTGCTTTTTTCTTTGATAGGGAAGCAGGCAATAGATAACACAGTGACAGTAGCATCCCAGGGGACAGCAGAATGTGAAAGCAACACCACGTCAGGTTAGTAGGTCATTATTGTATGAGCCGTGAACCATTAATGGACTACTACGCCCAGCTCAATCTGTGTCAGATTATGGCTCTTGGCAGGAGAATTGTTATCTAATAGCTAACTTTGCTTCCTCACTATCGTCTTATTAGTTCCTCTGATAAAAATGTGCACAGGTATATATTAATAGGGGGCCTCATTGGGAAAAGGCAAGATCTTAGCTATTTCCCCCCAGATCTGGAGACAATGCCTCTATGCTGATTGTGCACGGGTGGTTCTTTCAGGGAATGGCATTCTTTCGCAGGTATTTTCGGAGGTCTTCTAAAACATGCAGCCAAATACATGGTGTTAGTTGTTGCAAAAGACTCCCCTATTAATATGTTTTGTTGATGTGAACTGAAGAATTAGTGGGAGTGAAAAGAGAGGGGAGGGGAGGGTTTGTCTTCTCTGCCTCCACTGTAACTCTTCAAACGAGAACACGGATGTACGTTCACAGTCCGGGGAAGAAAAGCCCGCCATACCTGAAATGATACCTAAACAACAAGGTTCACGTGGCTTTATATGATTTCTATTATGCTTAAAGTAGGCAAGACAAGCATATTGCTGATGTGTGGCTTCAGACAAAAGCATGCGATTTTAGGAAGAATGTAAGGAATTGCAGGGTTTTTTGAGTTAAAATAGTAAGAAGTTCATTGTGCATGTTTTGGGGCCTGTGGCAGAATATTTCTGCCACCTTTTCAAGACATAAAGGTCACCGTGCAGTGTGTGTCTTTCTTTCTAAGCCCCTCATCCCCTTTGCTGCCACAAGCATCCCCAAACAGACTCACCGAAATGAAGAATTCCAAGATATTTCCAGGAAGGATGAACATGCGGATGAGTTTGGACTGCGATTATGGCCCCCAATCTCTGTGCTTGATTATGCAAATCACTTTTGGAAATTTTCTCTGATGTCAAGAATGTGAAAGGATATTTTTAGCAAATACTGGAGAAATTTTTTTCCATATAGGTGGAAAGTGGATCAGTAGAGCTGACAGTCCAAAGAGGGAGACAAGAAGGAGGCCGGGAATGCAGCCTTGGTGTGGATACAGACCCCGTCTAGACGCTGCAATTGCTCCTAAGGCCACGGCTGGAGTGTGCCGAGGAAGAGAAACCCAGGCCGTCACATCTGGCTTGTCACCAAGTTGTCACTTCCAGCGGCACAGGCAGGAGAGGCTGCTGAAGGAGGCCACGACGTTAGCCTGCTGAGAATCCGGAGGGCAGTGAACATGCCTGCAAGGCCTGGTAAAATGGGCTTTTGGTGATACTATTTGATAAAATGTCCTTGTTTGATAAAGCACCTATATAATGAAGTTAAGTACCGAATTAATACCCAAATCCATCCTAATCCAAATCCAATTACTCATTCCTGCGTGCATGTGTGCATGTATGTGTATGCGTATTTCCATATAGAGGATTATGTTATCATCACCCCATCCCAATACACACAGACAATGGCCAGGACAGCCTGATCCATGTGAGCAGTGAGTGTGGGCTCTTTGCTCTTCTAATGATCTATGACCTGACCCCAAGGTCCCCTCATGTACACTCCCTTCTGACTCAGCCGTGGATCTGAGTTTAATAAAATGTACCACATAGTGTGTTACTAAAGTATTAAGTGTAACTTTTATCCTGGACATCTTTTTCCCCCTTGTCTTTATTTTGGTACTACCCAAGCAAAAGCCTATAGATAAAATGCCTGAAATACTTTTCGGTAATGATACATTCCTTATTTGCCTTCTTAGATAGAACCAATCAAGTAATTATGGTTTATTATAAGAGATCAATATATATTCTAAATATTTCATTAAAAACATGATGATTGTGTGAGAAGGCATGTTATCACTTTATAACTGCCATCTCTTTGGCAGCTTTCACCCATCTAATTATTGTATAAAGGGAATTTTTGGAGTAAAATGTTGATTTTAGGAAAGAAGGCTAATACAGATTGGGGTATTTTAAGCATAAATAAATTCTGACAGGCAATAAGACAGAACCATTACCCATTCAAGGAAATGGCTCAAATGTAAAAACTGACAGTGCCAAGTGTTGACAAAGACATGGAGCAACTAGAGTGCTTACATATGGCTGGCGGAAGTGGCAAATGGCTCAGCCATATTGAAAAGTGGCTTGGGAATGTCTTATCAAGTTAAATACAGAGCCCAGTAATCCTATTCTTACATATTTAACAAAGAAAATGAAAACATAGGTTCATACAAATGCCTGGTACACAGATGTTCAGAGCATCATTATTTCTAGTAGTCCCCAAATCTCACTAAAACAAAAACCAAAACTAAAAACCAACAAAACTGAAAGCAACTGGATATCCATCAAGAGGTGAGTGGATAAACAAATTCCTCCTACATCCAGGCCAGGAATGCTGTTCAGCAGTCAAAAGAAGGAAATCCTGATGCAGGCAGTAATGTGGATGGCTCGCCACACCTTATGGGGAGTGACAGGGGCCAGACCCATAGGAAAGAGCACATGTTGCATAATCACTTATATGAGCTCATTGACATGAAATTCTAGGAAAGAAAATTGTCAGAAAACAGATAAGTGGCTGCCAGGAATGGGGATGGGGGAAGGTGTGACTGCAAAAAGACATTAGAGAACTTTTGGGGCTGCTGGAGATGTAGAGGTAGTTACAGGACTGCATAAAATTGTCAAAAGTCATCCAACTAAACAATTAGAGTGGGCAGATTTTATTATACATAAATCGTATTTCCATAAAGCTGGCAAAAAGTGATAAGACCAAATATTTAAAATCAAATTCCTCCTTTTTAAAGTATGACCTGAAAGCCAGAAACCATCCTGGGAAAGACTGATGTGGTGTCTGAACATATCCATGGCACCAAGACAAAGTGAGAAAACAAAGGAATGGCTGGAGGAGGTATTTTAAAACTGTGACTCATTAATTGTCTTCATGTTTAAAGTATTCCTACAAAAAAGTGAAATCAGTAGAAAATGAGCAACTAGGCTATCCACCTAGTGGAAAAAACATTTGATGAAAAAGTAACAATAATGGTAGCTAGCATCTGTTGAGCACCTACTATCTTTCTGACAGTATTCAAAGTGCTTTATATTTTTAATTGTGGTAAAACTGGCATACAATAATTGAACATATTCCAAGTGTAAAATCTGATAAGTTTTGACAAGCATATGCCTGTGAATTCATCACCACAGTCAAGATAGCAAATCCTCATGCCACTATGCGATTCTTTCCTCCTCCATTTCCCTAGGTGCCACCAGCCCCAGGCAGCCACTGATCTGATTTTTGTAACTACATATCTATTTACATCTGCTAGAATTTTACATAAGTGGAATAATACAGTACGTATTTTTTTGCTTAGTGTCTTTTACACAGCATAATTATTTTGAATTTCATTCATGTTGCATGTGTATCAGTAGTTCATTCCTTTTCTTTTAAAAAATAATTTATTCTTTTTTATTGCTCAGTAGTAATCCATTGGATGCCTCAATTTGTTTACCCATTCACCTGCATATGGAAACGGGTGGTTTCAAGATTTTGTGTATTAATAATGAAACTGACTTAATAGTCCCATAGACTGCTTTTTAAAATAAACATAGAAATGGACCCCTCTTGTCTTAAAGCTTGAAACTTATGTTTGTTTTATTTGAGTTCCTTCCTCAGGAAAGGACCCTGAGACCTCTCAAAAAAGTGTCAAGGAACTGAAACTCACCAGATCTTCACATCAGATGCTGGACCCCACATTCATGGTGATTGCTCCCTTGCCCCTCCCTAGTTTCTGTGTTCCTACACATTGTTTCATTTCTTCCCTGCTATATAAACCCTGAGTTTTAGCTGGTCAGGGAGATGGATTTGAGACTGAGCTCTCATCTCCTTGGCTGCAGCACTTGATTAAAGCCTTCTTCCCTGGCAATACTTATTGTCTCAGTGATTGGCTTTCTGTGCTGAGAGCAGCAGGGCCTAGACCAAACCCCTGGTGTTTCAGTAATAATAATAAAGTGCTGTGAACATTTGCATACAAGTTTTATATGGACACATGCTTTCTTTGGGTAAATATTTAGGAGTAGAATGGCTAGGTCATGTGGTAGGCGTGTGTTTAATTTTTTAAAGAAACTGCCAAGCTGTTTTCCAATGTGCTTGTGACATTTTATATTCCCACCAGCAGTGTGCTATAATTCTAATTCCTTCAGAATCTAGCCTTGATGTGGTTAGTCTTTTTAATTTCAAACATTGTAATATGCATGTAGTAGTAAGTTAGTGTGGTTTTAATTTGTATTTCTGTAGGCGGATCATCTTTTCATGTGCTTATTCTTCAAAAGTATATCTTTGATTAAGTATCTCTTCAAATTTTGGGATAGTTTTAACACTTGGGTTGCTTCCTTGTTATTGAATTTTGAGTTTCCATATATGTTCTGAAAATATCTGGATAAAACTTCTTATCAGCTATATGCCTTGCAAATAATTTCCTTCAAGTCTATGGCTTGTCTTTTCATTCACTTAACATTGTCTTTAGCAGCAAAAATGTTTTTAATTTTTATCAAGTCTATCTCATGAGTTTCTTTTTATGGATCATACTTTTTGTATAGTATCTAGGAAATCTCTTCATGTCTCTAGGTCACAAATATTCTTGACGCTTTCTTCTAGGAGTTTTATTGTTTTAGTTTCCATACTTTTTAGGTCTTTTCTCCATTTATTTATTTATTTATTTTTGAGACAGAGTCTGGCTCTGTCACCCAGGCTGGAGTGCAGTGGTGCGATCTCGGCTCACTGCAAGCTCTGCCTCCCAGGTTCACGCCATTCTCCTTCCTCAGCTTCCCAAGTAGCTGGGACTACAGGTGCCCACCACCACGCCCAGCTAATTTTTTGTATTTTTAGTAGAGATGGGGTTTCACCGTGTTAGCCAGGATGCCTTTCTCCATTTCAAGTTAAGTTTATATATGGTGTAAGATTGGAAGTGGGGTTTCTTTGAGTGTGTGTGTGGCAGTGCACAGAGAGGGGGTACAGATGTCCCTCTTTCACTGAATTGCTTTTGTGCATTTGTAAAAAATTCGTTGCCATAAATGCATGGATCTGTTCTGTATTCCATTGCATTGATCTACTTGTCAATTTAAGCCAATACTACACTATCTTGATGACTGTAACTTTAAAATAGCTCTTGGAATAGTTAGTCCTTCAACTTTGCTATTTTTCAAAGTTGCTTTGGCTATTCTAGGCCTTTTGCATTTTCATACAAATTTTAGCACTATCTTGTTTGTTTCTACAAAAAAAAAAAAGCCTGTGGGAGTTTTGGTTGTGTTTGTATTTAATCTAGAGATGAATTTGGAGACAATCAATACCTTAAGAACATCAAATCTTCTGACCCATGAGCACACTATGTCTCTCCATTTATTAAGTCTTCCTTATTTATCTCAGCAATGTTTTTCAGTTTTCAGTGTAAGAATCTTGCACATCTTTTGTCAGATTTACCCCTAAATATTTTATATATTTTGATACTATTGTAAATGATGCTTTTTTAGTTTAAATTCTGGTTGTTTGTTGCTACTATATATAAATACAATTGATTTTTGTCTTTTTGATTTTGCATCCTGCAACCTTGCAGAACTCACTTACTCTTAGCAGTTTTCTGTAGAATGTATTGGGTTTTCTACATAGATGATCATATAAACCATGACAAAAGATAGTTTTGCCTCTTCCTTTTTAATCTGAATGGCTTGTATTATTTAGTTATTTTTTCTTGCCTTGCTACCCTGGATAGAACCTCTAGTATAGAGGTGTCCAATCTTTTGGCTTCCCTGGGCCACACTGAAACAAGAAGAATTGGCTTGGGCCACACATAAAATACACTAACACTCAGGATAGTTGATGAGCTAAAAAAAATTACAAAAGAATCTCATAATGTTTTAAGAAAGTTTATGAATTTGTTTTGGGCCACATTCAGAGCCATCCTGGGCTGCATGCAGCCTGTGGGCTGCAGGTTGGACAAGCCTGAATAGTAGTGCCAATAGCAGATATCCTGTCTCATTACTGATGATAGGGGAATGAATTCAGTCTTTCATCATTAAGAATGACATTAGCTGTAGGCTTTTCATAGATGTGCTTGATCAGGTTTAGGAAGTTCTCTCCTGTTCTTACTTTGCTGACAGCATCTATCAGTAATGGATGTTGGATTTTGTCAAGTACTTTTTTGTGAGTTTCTTGATTGATCTTATCGTTTTTCCTTTTAGTTGTCTATGTCATGAAACACATTGATTTTCAAATGTTAAGCCAACCTTGCATTCCTGGGATCAACTCCATTTTGTCATGTTGTATTATCCTTCCTATAAAAGTGCTTTATGTTTATTATTTTATTGAGTTTTATAACAATCCTATGTGGTATGAATACTGCTATTATTCCTATCTCTTATATGAGGAAAATTAAGGCACAGATGGCTTCATCCCTTGACCATATCAAGTAACTGGTAAGAGCTTGGATAGATTTGAGGTGGTCATCTAACCCAAAGGTTGAACTCTTAACTTCCAGAGTAGAAATGCAAACTAGAATATCAATAACACAGTTTCACATGTTTGCATGGCAATGACTAAATATAGTAACAATATTAAGTGCTGGTAAGGAAGTAGGTCAGATTAACTTATAAACTGAACTGGTGTTAGGAAGATAAATTAATACAAGCTTTCAGGGAGACATTAACAATATATCCCAGAATGTAAAATTTGTACTACAATATTTCAACACATGTGCAAAGGTGTATATGCAGTGCTTCTTTATTGTAGCATAGGGTATTTGGAGCATGAATAAGATAAAATACTATGGAACTGATAAAATAATGATTTTTCACCTGGATGTTTTTCCATTTTAATAGATACTATAAAGAAACAGTGTATATAGTGAGATCCCATTCCTATCAAACTAATCTCTGTATTTACATTCAAACATAGAGTCAAGAGAGGGGCTTGGAAGGATCCCCTGAAGTAAGTAAAAAAAAATACAGTTATTTTTGTGCATTGTAGAGGTAGGAAGCAGAAAATGCAAGCCAGCCTAGAAAAGCAGGGTGTTGTGGCCCTGTGCTCTGGAGAGACTGTGCCCATCATGCAGCAGCTGTGCTGACCGCAGTTTCCAAAGGGATGAGAGGTCACTGCCTCAAAGGGCACCAAGGTTCTTCTAGGTCTAAGAATGACCTGGGAGTTGCCATGTGGAATCTGTGGGATATTGTCATAGCTTAAGGGGAATGGCCTGTTTAAAGTAAAAATTGTCCTGGAAAATCAGCACATATGCTTAATAAAACCATATGCTTTGCTTTTGTTGTGGTTGGACTGCCCCTAGGCAAAATCTTAGGGCACTGAGGAGTGCTCCCTATGAGGGCACCCTTCCCATGACAGTTCCATAACAGAGAGGTCCCTGGCTCCTGCTCATTCACTCCCTGTAACTGAGATGGGCCCCACTGTTCAACAGTATGTCTGGTACCAAGAGACAGTTTTCGCCTATACTGAGCCAAAATCTGTACCCCTCCATCTTTTACCCATTGATTTCAAGAAGGACTCATCTGACAAAGCAAACTCCACAACTGTCTGGAGATAGTTGTTCCAGTTCCTCTATTTTTTTTTTTTTTTTTAGATTAAACCCTCTTTGCTCTTCCTTCTCCTCTTTGCTCTGGTTGTCCAGCCCTTCAGTTGCCTGAAGGAGGATTCTAGAGTAATCCTCCCTGTTTGTTGATGCTCAGAACTGAGCACAGAAGTCCAGATGGTGTTTGATCCATTCCCTCTCCTGGGATATGGAAACTATGATTCTGGTAATTGATGTGAACTTGGCCTTAGATTTCCTGCTGCCCCTCTACACGGTGAATTTGTATGGATTGTGGGTGCAAAGAAACTTTGCAGGCCTTTGTCTCGAGAGCTCATCAAGACCTCTCTCTCCTCCCTCCTAGATATTAAATGCAGAGCTTGGCTTGCCTTCCTGGTTATCTTGCTGTTTTGTTGTTTGTTTTCTGTTCCCATTTTCTGTGAGCTATGCGCCTTCAGGCCAAGCCCCGATCAATTGCAGGCACGGTGAGAACCTCTGAGAGCACAGCCCTGGAGGCGTGCTTGAGACCTTCTCCAAATTAATGGTGAACCCTTGTTCTGTACACATGGGGATAATTATTCTGTCACCTGTGAGTTCAGATTATTTTGTCCTCAGCCAGGCCTCACTTCAACCATACCACAGAGCTTTCATGGCAGTATTTATCAAATATTTGCCCAAAGCAGGACCACTTCTGCCTGAAAAGCTCTCTGATCAACCAATCTACAGACACTTTCAAGTGAAGAAACATGGCCAGATCAAAGTGATTATTCTTTTTTTCAATGCCCAGAAAATCTGTGTCAGCCTCTCCTCTTGATTTCATTTTTCTCGACCAGCTCTTGGGCTCAGAGCCCTCTGAGCCCCCCAACCCCATATTCCCCTCACCCCTACCCCCACCAATATCTTGTTAAATAAGGGGTAGTTGTTAACACTTAGGAGACGAGTACAAGTATTTGGTCTTCTCTGTAGATATTTCTAAATGTCTAGATTATTCTGTAGACAAGGTATCTGAAAAATTGACTGCTTTTTACTATTTAGCTCAAGGGTCAGTCAACTTTTCCTGTAAAGGACCAGATAGTAAATATTTTAAGCTTTTCAGGCCATATAGTTTCTGTCATAACTACTTAATTTTACTGTTGGAGCATGAAAGCAGGATGGTTGCATTTCAATAAAACTTTATTTATAATGGTAGGCAGAGGGCCGGATTTGGCTCCCTGGCTATAGCTTGCCAACTCCATGTTTAGTTCATTGTTTTGTCTCATAGAGACATAATCCAAGCCTTAATTCCAAAGAAATACACAAGCAGTGTGGCACTGAGGGCATTGGGAAGCCCACTTGAATGGACATCATTGGCCCCTGGCTTTTAACCACTGAGTAAAGTTCTTTCAAAGCAGTTCTTGCAGCTCTACACCTGTTCATGGTAGCAGAGAGCTCACTGTTTACCCTGATATCAACGTGAATTTTTCATCCATTTGTTGGGATTTCTACCCCTTCTTTCCATGTGAAATATGGAAAAATGTTTCCTTTTTTTCTTCAGTAGCTTCATGTTTCCATGTAGCCCTTTGTTTTCATGTTGATATCCTTCCCTCATATGTATTTTATAACTGGTAAAGGTGGCCCAGTTAGATAGTGGTAAAGCCTGAACTCTTCTCCTGTTTATAGCTAACTTCCTTTGAGGATCTTCTACTCCCTTTCTTGTTGGAGCCATAAAATAATATATCTGTAAAATGTTCACATGTGCTAAGAAAAAAGGAAGTTTCGGGGATGCCATATGGGTTTGATTTTCAGGTACTCTCATGAGATTGTTTCAGGGTCATTTGGTTTATGGAAAATAGGGTTAACACAATTTAATACTATGAAATTATTTTTTCACTAGTAAGCATCTTCCACGTGACTAAATCTTTCAGGTAACTAAATTCTTACCAGTATTTGGTATTGGAATTTCCCAATTTTAACCCAGATAGACTACAATTGACCCTGGAACAGCAAGGATTTGAACTGCTTGGGTCCACTTTCACAAGGATTTTTTCAATAAATCTCTCCTGCCACCCCATCCACGTCCTCCACCTCTTCTGCTTCTGCCACTCCTGAAACAGCAAGACCCTCTCTTCCTCCTTCTACTTGACATGAAGATGATAAGAATGAAAACCTTTATGGTGATCAACTTCCACCTAAGGAATAGAAAATATGTTTTCCCTTGCTTATGATTTTCTTAATAACATTTTCTTTTCTCTAGCTTTATTGTAAGAATACAGTAAATAATATGTATATAAAATATGTGTTAATTGTGAATATTATTGGTATGGCTTCTGGTCAGAAGTAGGCTATTAGTAATTGAGTTTGGGGGGAGTAAAGTTATGTGCAGATTTCCAGCAGCCTCGGGGATTGGTGCCTGATATGGTTTGTATCTGTGTTCCTGTCCAAATCTCATGTTGAAATGTGATCCCCAGTGTTGGAGGTGGGGCCTGGTAGGAGGTGTTTGGGTCATGGGGCTGGATCTCTCAGGGTTTGGTGCCATCATTGCAATAGTGAGTTCTCACAAGACCTGGTTGGTTAAGTGTGTAGCACCTTCCTCCCCACTCTCTCTCATGCTCCTTCTTTGCCACATGACATTCCTGCCCCCACTTTGCCTTCTGCCATGAGTAGAAGTTTCCTGAGGCCTCACCAGAAGCCAAGAAGATGCTGGCACCATGCTTGTACAGCCTGCAGAACCTCTTTTCTTTATAAGTTACCCAGTCTCAGGTATTTCTTTACAGCAATGCAAGAGTGGCCTAATACAGCATTGTTCAGGGGTCAACTGTAGTTTGCTTACATTCTCTAACAATGAGGCAGTGGATTTGCTGAAAAAATAAGAAGCGAAAACTCTCAACCAAGTGTAGTTTTCCAGCATACTTCCAGACACCCGTGCTGGAATGTGCAGACTGAGCACTGGTTCTCCACACATGCCCAGGCCTCTCTGGGCTTCCTTGGCCTCCTCCTAGTGTCTGCATGCATGCTGCTTTGCTTCTTCTTGACTCTATATATTTGCCACTAGATCAAAAGCAAATTTGAGGTCAGGGTTTGAGTCTTATTCTTCTCATTTGTCTTCCATGTTGAGCTGAATGTGCTGCACATAGTAGGGCCTCAGTCAGTGGCCCTGTCATTGGCCAGTGCAGGAGGATAGTGGCTGTCAATGATGTGCTGTGATGATTTGCAGTGGGTCTGCAGAGCTGCCTGCACATGATGGTCCACTCTCAGTCCTTCACTTGGAAATACCCAATCTAGAAGGGGACAGAAACACCAGCACCACCTCTACAGTCTTTCTCTAGCTGCCCCTCCTTCCTGGGAAGCTGTCGTCAGAGCAGGCTGCTTGGGGGATGAACACTTAGAGTTTTAAAAATATATATATTCCTTGTTTGTAGAAGACAGCAAAGAGGGGAATCTGTTCAGAATGTGACACTTGGCTAGTTCTGACCTTCACGAGAGGTGATATTCTTTTGCCCGGGCTAAGTACACATACAGAGGATTTTGGAGACGTCATAGACAAATTCTCATAGCAGATCATTTCAGCTGGACTATGAGGGCTAGCATCTTTAAGGAAGCCTATGCTTAATGCTTTTGTAAAAAAATCTCTCTTTCAAATAAACCACTGCTACCTTATATCACCTGTTTTATCATCTCTGGCTTTTGAAGGTAGGATTTGATTACAGCAGGTACAAATGCACTTGATAAAACCTCCCTCACTATCCCTACCCCCCAAGGATTAATGGCAAAGATGATGAGACCATGGGTTTTTAGCTTTTTGGAAGAAATTTCCTATCATCCCTGTTTCTAATGGGGTAGAACTCGCTAGCATCACTTTATTTACCTTTCATCAAATGGTCATGAAGTAACCTCCTTGCATCTAATCCCTATCCCTGTAAGAATATAGACTGAGCTTGAAAGCTGCTGGCCTATGGGTCCATGGTGCAGCCATGAGGTCTTCTTGCTTAGAATTGGCCATCCCCACCATAGGGGCTGAGTTCATGTTGGCTGGATGAAAGTCAGGGCGAGCCAGGCTTTTCCTGAGACCCCAATGCTCTCCATCCTTGAGTCCTTCCCTTCCTCTCCACCCTCCCCAGCTCCCTCTCTGGTGTGTGCATTGTTTTAGGTGTTTGCATTCTAAGAGACTTTTTGATGATGATGCCACTGATGTCTGTGGGTGCATTTGCAGACCCCTGGGCAGGAGAACCTGTAAGGGCCTGTGCATGTGCCACGCGTCCCTCCAGGAGGCACGTGGTTATGGAGCTTCTCATTTGACTGAGATGGCAGAAGAGGCATTTACAGTATTTTCCCTTCCTCCTGTAATTAATACCCCTTAAGCTGTTTAAAGAAATACAGTACAATCACCCTTTTGAGCAAGGTTATAACAACATGATCTTTAGAAGCTAAAAAACAGCTGGTTCCACTCGAATTCTAAATACATTTCAACAAACTTTGAAGTCAATAATCTGGGTTTCTGTTTTTATAAATTACAGTGATAACATGTAAATTTCTCCATTCAGCTATCTTGACATAAGCCCTTTTGTGCTTGCCTCTCAAAAACTGTGAACCTATTAGAGATGCTTTTTAAATAAATTGTAAGTATACTTTTTCTTAAAAGTAGAGGCAATAAATCCAGCTGCATTTAGCTATTATAAGCACATGATCCTGAAAATGTGCAATGCCTAATAATGGCTACAAAAAAATGTAGTCAAGTTTGGTTTTTTTTTCCCCTTCCTTAAAAAAAAAAAATGGAGGCAACATTAACTTTTCACAAAAAGTTATTTGTTTCCTCTGGAAGCCCAGCGAGTGAGCTTTGGGGGATTAGGGATACATTTCACCTACAGGTTACATGAGCTTTTGTTATTTGTTTTCATACAAAATAAACCACAAAGCTCTTGCTAATGTACAATTGTGGAGAGTTTTGGTGGGAATATTTCAAAAGTAGTGTGTATTTTCCCTTGATTACTTCCCCAGATCCTTAGGGATTCAATCCAATAGTGGTGTACTCCCTTAGGAAAATATGTTTCATTTATAAACTTTTTTCCCCTATGTAATGAAAACAGTTTTGGCTTAGCACACTGTTCTGGTCAAATTATGTGGCCAAATTCTGCGGAAATGATGAGGGGGCGACACACAGACAAAGCAGCCCCTGGGCACCGAGAGGCTCTGGGCTCCGAGAAGCTTGTGGGTGTGGGGAAGATGACTCCCGTGCAGACTTTTCACCCTGCGGGGCGGTTCCACGTTATACCAATATTTAAATGGTTGAGTATTTCAGATTGAGCGTACAACGTATAAAGATACATAAAGTTGCAATGAGCAGAGCCTAATAGCTTTTTTAGACTCTAGAGAGATACAAAAAGACACAAATATAGATAAATGATCAAAAAGGAATAATTGCTCTAACAGCCCTTTCCCTTGCAGTATTTAACATATATTCCGTTTGCTCCCGGTACACGTGGTTCTAGAATGTAAAAAGTAATTGCATTTTCCATTCTTCTTCCCTCTTCAATATACAAGCACCTCTAGAAACCTACTTGTAGAATATTATGTAGGTTTCTCTGCTTCATTTAGCTCCTTTTCTCTTAGGAAAACACATTATGACTTTGTACAAGCCTTGATCGATTTCTTAAGAGGCCTTATCTGATTGCTTTTATATTCTATTGATTTTTCTGAATTAAGTTTTATGGCCCTCAATTATTTTCTTGTATGATTGTTCACATCTACGTATGGTGTACCATATAATTACACAGTGGCATGATTATGTTCTAGTTGATAATCCCATTTTAATATACAGCACTTTCCCTTTTTATGGAGATTATCTTCCATATGCAGACCGATCTGTTGAATTCCGTGCAATGAAGATAAACCCAAATCGCAGAAGCACTTGCTCACTGTAGAGGCCACTATCACGCATTGTGACATCTTGACAAAAGCGTTTATTGCAAAGTGTTGTGATCATCAGCTTCATTAGGAAAGCGTTTAACAATCATAGGAGATGATTTTTATAAACCTGCTGTTCTGCTGACTGGGGGATACCACTACCACAGCACAATTAAGTTTCAAATGGGTTTTGAACACTGATGGCTAATATAATTCAGCCCTAGCAGTAGACTGTTGCATTATACAATCATTTATCATTTGAGGGGAAATTCTGACAGTGCTCAAACGTTGAGGCCTCGATTAAACTGTCTCCTTTTACATAGTCTTCTGAAAACAAGCAAGGGCTCCTTCAGGTGATGTCTGAAGAAGAAGTTAAGACAAAAACAATTGGTTGAAGAGAAGTTTAATCAATTTATTAGACGAGTTGAGTGCTCGAAGATATTTTTCTTATGTAGTACATGTCTATCAAAGCTGTCATAAGTGACACTGCAAATGTCGGAATGCTTTATGGCAAATAGATCGCTGCTATTGTTCTAGGCGTTTGGAATCTTTTATGAATATAAATGTATGGAGAGAGCATCACAGGATCTGTTTGCCCTCCTAAAATAATTCATATTCTATACAGCACATGGCTGACTGATTTCCTCCCAACATTACAAAGTGGTTGTGTTATTTCATATTGCTGAAATTTGTATTATTATTTTTTACATAAGAGAAGTCTTTTGATCTGCATTTATTAAGGAGAAAGAGATGCCCAAGCTTAACCCAATCTGACATAAATGCTGCAATATGTTCATTTTCTTCCACTACAAATTCAATACATTCATATTCAGAATCCTTTATCTAATAGTGCTTATTAGATTGTTTTGGCTACAGCTGCAAAGCAATATATCACTGAAAAATAATAGGTATGTCTTTTTCAGACGATGATGTGATTTGCTTTAGCTACGCTAGCATGAAAATCTGTGCCATTTATTAATAAAAGACTATGTTAGATGAACTAACCTGCTTGACAGTCTTGAGAACAAAAGAGCTAATTTCTCTTTTGTTTGTTAGAACACTTCGGTGCTATAATAGGGTTACAAAGGGTCAGAGAGTGCTGAGGCTCAGAACTGCTTCCTGCTTAATGATTTGTTTTACAGCATCTAATAAATTTTCAAACATGCATCAACATATTACTGATAAAGAATCTGGAAATGCAAACACAGATGATTTCTAGTTTAAGATGTGATCAAATTTTTATTATTGAGTCAATAGTCCAATCCTTTTTTTTTTTTTTTAATTTTTAACAAGCGAGGCTGTAGGGGGATGGTGTGCAGAAGATCCTACATGAAGTCCAGGGCCTCTGGAAGTTTCCAGCTTGCTGTTTGTAGCGAAACAGTCCTAGGTTAATGGTTGCATGAATTTTTCAGTCACTGTTCAAATATCTAAGAAGCCACATATACAATGATATATAATACTATTACTTTCCAGACCGAAAAAAAAATACAGGTTCTATTTCTTTTAAGTAGGGGGGATCTTTATAAAGAGACTTTTTTTTTTCTTGAGCAGCAGAAGTCACATGGATGTCCCACAATGAGACATCTGTACAAGGTGTTCTAGGTTTGTCACTGCTCAGCACGTACAGATGTGTCCTGTCTATGGAGCCACAGCCGGGGTGGTGGTTGAGGAGGCCTCATGGTGGGGCAAACCCAGGACCCAGAGTAGCCCCGGGATGTTCACTCCTGAAATTATTATTACTTCTTTAAGAAAGTCTCCACTGATTCAACACTTTCATGATGGCTTTTCCTGGCTGCGTGCATGGTGGGGACTTAAAGATTGCTGTGTCAGGGAGCACAACCACCTTCTCTCTCTCACCAGAGCCACTCTAGCTGCTCCCAAAGAAGGCATCTTCCACATGGTAGAAAGTTTTGCATAATGCTTAGTGAAACTCCCCGAGAAAAATGGTATTTCCAAATTTTTCAGAAACAAAAGTGAGAGTCCTGAAAAGGAAATTCTTTTCTGGATTAGGCTTGGAAACCAGATCCAATGCATCCTTTATGTACAACACAGCTTTTATGGCCATGAGTTCACATGGCTTCCCAGGGGCCAATGAAAACAAATGGAGGCCTCCAATAAAAGCTGTGTCGAATGGTGTTAATATTAAATACACTTAGGTGCATACCGATAATGAAATACTAAGTAAGGAAAACAGTTCTTAAGTATATATCCTTTCTATGAACAACAGCTGTGTAATTTCTTTAAAAAAATACTCAATGCAACGCTTTGCTGATTTTCCAAGGGTAGTATAAAGTGCAAGATCTTGCTCCCCACAAGGGGAGGTAGAAACGTCGGTGACGTGTTGGAATTCCTATCATAGCTACTAGCTGGCAAAGCCTCCGAATGCCTGCCTGGTGTGCACACGGGTAGAGCAAACATATTGTTTTTTGCTCCTTTTTTTTTTTTGACAAATATTTGGGTTCCTTGTTTCTTGTGTGCATGACTGAAGGTGACTTGAGCTGATTCTATTTTTCTGCACAGGAGATGTGATCAAAATGAGTGCTGTGTCTCGACGAATCCAGAGAGCAGCTGAAGCATGTTGGGCCAGCGTGGGGAAGAAGAAGAAAGCAGGTGTTGCTCTGGCTTTGCTTCTTGAGGGTCTTGACATCTAAGTTTTAAGGCGAGTTTTGTCTTCAATAAAATATAATTAATCATTGTAAAGTTCATCACATGTAGGCATCAGGTGAGAAGGTTTCTCCGAAGCAAGTTTCTCTTATCATCTGTTTCTAATGAAAACTGTGGAACCATCTGTGGGGGAAGGAGGAGGAGAAGCTTGAGTGAGTGCTTGGAAAAGTCTGAGAACTGAGCTCCTGGGGTAGCACTGCGGTGGTTTGTAGAAAGACCTGAAATGTGATGAAAATGAGTGTGCCCAGCAATCCTGTGAAGGGCAACAGATGAATGCCATCGTCATATTCTACCCCAGCCTGAAAATTTTAAAATTGCTTTTCTGATGATATCTACATTGGTGATGCAGACTGCATGAGAACTTAATCCAGCAGGGAACTTGCCAGAGTCTGGCTGTTGGTTGCGGACACCAGGAGTTCCCCAGAAGAGATAAGGAGGTGGGCGAGTGGTCTTAGAATTCCATGGAAGAAACATTTCCCGGGCTGGCAGCAGAGATGCCCTCCCCATAGCCCCCATGTCGTGTCATTATTTCTCTGCAGTCATTGGCCTGTGAGCAGCTGCTGGCTTCAACGCTTTTGGGGTGGGTCTCAGAGCCGCAGGGCGAGCCCTGTGTGAGTAGGGCTTGTGGGAGCACTTTGCTCCCAGGCAGTGCTAGGAGGTGACCTTGTGTCTGCTGAGTTCCTGCAAAGTATTTCTGAGAGGCTTGATGATGAGCCAAACGTTGGAGCATTCAAATATTCAAAATAAATGAAACATGGGTTTGGCTCACATTTGTGGTGGAGGATATTTTATGACTAGATCTGTTCTTTCAGAAAATACATGCGTTGGAGGTCCCTTTTGAATTGATCTATCTCGTGTGTGTGTGTGTGTGTGTGTGTGTGTGTGTGTGTGTGTGTGTGTGTTTCTTTTTAGAATTACGTATTGCTGGGGATTGGTAAAAATTAATGTTTTGATTCTCTCTTCGAATTAGTACACTTTGTCATAGCAATTAGTATTTTATTCAAGTCTATCAAAACCATAAGTTACTGAGACTTAAAAATACAACTGTCGTATCATGTTTGAAACTAAACATTGACATTATAAACCAACTAGCTTCTAAGTGATGGGATTCTTATTTTCTCATTTAAAAATAAATCATGACTACTGCTGTTTTAGGAAGCAAAAAGTCACTGGTATTTAAAGCACAGAATAGTTTTTTTAGGAAGGATAAACAGTTGAAACAAAGTATTTCACATGAAAATGTTCATAAGCAGCAGAAAACTTAGGAAAGTAAATGGGAAAAGGTTAGGGACGGTGCCAAACTGATCCCGGTGATCGAAGAAAGATTCATAAAAGAGCAAAATTCTTGGTTTCAAATAGAATGTCATAAGGAAAAAAAACACAACTAGGAAAGATGATGAAATGCTATCCTAATCATTAAGTATTCTTTGTCCACATCCCATTTAATAAATAGACAGTATTTTAGTGAATGCATGTGCCATACTTCTTCTGTGTGTCCCATGCTAGTGGACATTTAGAATCCTTTCAGTGTTTGTCTGCCATAAATAATGCTGCAATACACATCTGTGTATACAATTTGCTCACAGTTATTTCCTTAAGACAAATTTCTACATGTAAAATTGTTGGCTAATGATATAAACATTTCCGGGTCTTTGGTATTCGTCAAACTGCCTGTCATATCTGTTGGCACGCCTCATAAGAGGAGGAAATTAGCATTCTTTACCTCTGTCCTCCGTCTGCAATCCATTTCCTGTTGTTTTTATCGTGAAATGTTTAGAACCAGTTTGTCATTAAATTTTTGGTGTTTTCACAATCTCATTTTTTGTAAATACTACCTTTATTTCTATGATCATCCAGTTTCATTGTTTATCCCAGTATTTTTATAATTTGATTTTAGAATTTTTTGCTTCTGTATGTTGACTCACCTTTTAGTTCGCTGGAGAATGTCTTTGAATACAGTTTTCTCTAAGTTTTGCAAGTAATACATTTTCTAATTGCTTGTACCTTTGAGAACATTTTCTCTGATTCTATCTAAGCATTTAAGAAAGACATTGAGTTTTAGGAGTTCTTTATATGTTCTGGATATAAGTTCTTTATCAAATATGTGATTTGCAAATATTTTCTCTCAGTCATTGATTTGCCTTTTCATTTTGTTAATGGTATCTGTAGAAGAGCAAATGGTTTAAATTTTGGTTAAATCTAATACCATTATTTTATCTTTTTTGTGCTCTATTTATAACATTTTTGTCTACCTCAAGGTTTGATTAATTTTGTATTTATGTTTATGATCCATTTTTGAGCTCATTTTGTACATGGCATTAAGTAAAAGCCAGGAATCTTTTTTTTTTTTTTTTCCTATTTGGATATCTGTTCTTGGATGGTTGGTTGCAAAAACTATTCTTTTCTCCACTGAATTATCATTGCCCCTTTGTGGAAAATGGGACATAGTATGGGTCTGTTTCTATACTCTATATTTTGTTCCACTGTACATATGACTATCCTATCTTAGTACCCCAACAACTTCTTTACTGTAGCTTTATAGAAGTCTTGATATCAGATAGTATAAATCTTATTTTTTTCTTTTAAAAACTGATTTTGGACAGTCTATATCTTTTGCATTTTCAAATAAATTTTAGAATCAGCTTGTCCATTTCTACAAAAAATAACCTGCTGAGATTTTAATTGATACTGCATTGAATTTATAGATTAAGTTGCAGGAAATTGTCATTTTAACAATGAGTCTTCCAATCCCTGAACATAGTATATCTCTCCATTTATTTAGATGTTCTTTAATTTATCTCACCAGTAATACAGAGTTTTCACTGAACATGTCTTACACATATTTGGTTAAATTTATTTCTAAGTATTTTGTGTCTTTCAATGCTTTTATGTTTTAATATTTATATTTTACTTGTTCATTAAAACAATTAAAGTATATAGAAATATATAGACTATATATAATATATAGTACAGTGATATATAGTATACATATCATATAGTATATATACTGTATATTTTTGACTACATTACATATTATATATGATTTAAATATTATTAATTTAATATAATCCAAACTTTTCTTTAATATTTAGTGTTTTTTGTATCTTTTTAAGAAATATTTTTCTGTCATAAAATCATAAAGATATTCTTCTATTCTATGTCTGAGAAGCTTTATTGTTTTACCTCTTGCATTTAGATCTACAAGCTATCTAGAAATATTTTTTTCTCTATTGTGTGAGGTATGAAATATGTCAGAATTTATTTTTTTCCATGTAGATATACAAGTGACATAGCATCATCTGTTGAATTGACCACTATTCTCTTGTCACCTTCATGTTATTGCTGTCATAAAGCTAGTGACTTACAAATAGGTGGGTGTATTTCTGCCCTCTCTATTCTGTTGATCGGTTTGCTCTCCATGTGCCAATACCACACTATATTAAGTAAGGTAGCTTACAGAAAGTCTTGATGGGTGATAGGATACAAATACCAGCTTTGTTTTTTTTCTATAGTACTATCTTGGCTCTCCCTGCCTTTTGTCTTTCTGTATAAATATTAGAATCAGCTTATCAGTTTCACACAAGAGTTGAGAGTTAGGATTTTGATTGGGATTACATTGAATCTTTAGATTAATTTAGTAAAAATTGATAACTTTATAATATTGAATAGTTCAAATTAATAGGTCTTTCAAAATTTTTCTCAATTGTGGTTTATAATTTTCAGCGCAGAAATCTTGTATGTTTTGTTAGATTTATTCCTTAATATTTACTGATGCTACTGTAAGTAGTATCTTTTATAAGTTTTATTTTATAATTGGTTTATAAGAATATTGAAATGCATTTGATTTTTGCTGGTTGAAGCATGTGAAATTACCAATATTTAACTCCAAAATGGCAATTTTATATGACTCTATATTGGCCTGACTCAATCCACTATTAATACTTAATTTGTCTATAGATTCCTTTGGATTATGTAAGTGCAAAACCATGTCATGTGAAAGAGTAACAGTTTTATGTTTTCTTTTTCAGTTATTATGTTTAATTTTTCTTCATGGCTTATTGCTCTGACTAGGATTTCCAGTACAATGTTGAATACAAGTAGGGATAGTACCATCTTTGTTGATGATCACAATTGGAAAAAATTTTTTGACTCATGGATATTTATTTTATTTTGGGCATTGTAGTTAAATACTATTTTTATTTATTTGTTGCTAAAGTTGCTCCAAGTTTGGCCATTGAGAGTTTTTCTGGTTTGACCTCTGCGTCCTTTCAATAGGACCTATTCCCTTCCCCCTGCCTCCCCTTGAGTACTTCCTTGCTTTTTGGCAGCACAAAGTGCTTCAGGCTCATCTTGGACTTTCCCAGCCCAAGCCCTGGAATCAACTACTTCTCCAAGGAGTCCTGGTTCCCTTTTTTGGGAAAATGATATTTAGAAACCAAGATCTGGTTGCTAGGTGTGCTCATTGCTTTTGGAGTCTCACTACTTGTAGCACATCTCAGTGATCAGAGCGGGGAAACATATGTTTGTATACTAAATCATGCAAGTACATGGGTCTATTTAGTTTTATATTTATTTATCTGTATATCAAAAAACTCTTAAGTCCATATTGATACCTCTGAATCCAATCCAACACCACCTTGCTCATTCTCGTCTTCCTCCTCACCTTATTTGTAGCGTCTTTCTCTGACAGTAAGAAACTGGGATCTCATTATCTATCATTCCTTTTTTGTTCAACTCCAGTATACTCATAAATAGTTTCAAGACTTTTAACCATACCCCTGTGAGAAAGTTATTCATCAGCTGGAGTGCAGGATTTGCATATAATTCTTTTTCATCTTTAGTTTTATAGTATTTAGTCCAAACACCATTTTCCAAAGTTACCTGGGTCAGCACCTTTCTCCCCCAGCCCCTTGAATGTGGTGGTTTCATTCACGTGTAATACAGTTAGACTCATTTGCTATCTTTGTCTGCATTTCATGCTTTTAGGATCTTTTCCACATCCTAGTTGATTGAAAAAAAATACTTCTAGTAAAATTTGCTTTTTGTAGCACCACAAAGGTCTTTGGGTTTTGACAATGCATAGAATTTTATGTCCACCACCATGGTTGTCTCACCTTGAATCTTCCCTGGCTGCCCTTTTACAGATAACTTCTCCCCTCAATCATACACTTGGCAACCACTAATCAGTTTCTCCCTTATAGTTTTGCTTTTTCTAGACCATCAAATAGATGGAATCATAAAATAGATAGCCTTTTGGGTCTGCTTCTTTACTTAGTTGAATGCATTTATGTTTCATCCATATTATTGTGGGAATCAATAGTTCATGCATTTTATTGTGGAGTAGTATTCCATTACATGGATGTATTATGGTTTGTTTTAGCCATTCACTAGTTGAAGGATGCAACAGGGTTGTTGCCAACTTTCGGCTAATATATATAACACAGCTGTAAACATATATAAGTTTTTGTGTGAACATAAACTTTGATTTCTCTTCAGTAGGTACAAAGGAGTGACATTGCTTGAGTTATATAGTAGGTATATCTTTTACCTTGTAAGAAACTGACAAACTGTTTTCCAAATGGGCTATACCACTTGGAATTCCCAAAAATGTAAGAGAATTACAGTTGCTTTGTATTCTCTACAACTCTTGGCATTGTAAGTTTTTTAAAAATTTTAGATATTCTAATATGTGTGTAGTAATATTGTGATTTTAATCTCATTGATACTATGATTTTAATGTGCATTTCCTATTGATAAATGATGTTGAGCATCTTATTATATGCTTGTTTGCAAAATTCTATCTTCTTTGGTAAAATCCCAGCACTTTGAAGGCCGAGGGAGGTGGATTTCTTGAGCTCAGGAGTTCAAGACCAGCCTGGGCAACATGTTGAAACTCTATCTCTACAAAAATAAAAAAAGATACATAAAATTAGCCAGATGTGGTGGCATGCATCTGTGGTCTCAGCTACTTGGGAGGCTGAGGAGGTGGGAGGATGGCTTGTGCCTAGGAGGTGGAAGGTGCAGTGAGCTGAGATCATGCCACTGCATTCCAGCCTGGGCAACAGAGCTAGACCCTGTCTCAAAAAAAAAAAAAAAAAAAAAAAAGAGTTCAGATCTTTGGCTTATTTTTTAAATCGGTTTGTTTCTTTACTTATTGTTGAATTTTGAGAGCCCTTTGTCAGATTTGTGATTTGCAAATAAGTCCTCTTGGTCCATGGCTTCTTCCCTCATTCTTTTAATAATGTCTCTCACAGCAAGATTTTTTGCTAAATAGATTTTGGCAATCAAATTGTATTTTTAAATATGGAAAGGCAAAGCAACTCAAATGGTCAAAACAATTTTGATTGATTTCAAGGTTTGTTATAATCAAGAGAGTATAGTATTGGCAAAAAGATTGATGCATAGAGCAATGAAACAGAACAGAGAGACCAGAAATAAGGCCTCACAAGTAGTCAACTGATTTTTGGCACAGTTGCAAGGACAATTCAATAGAAAAAGAATAATCTTTTTAAAAAGTAGCACTGAAAGAATATCTACAAATAATCCTTTTGGGAATTGGATTAACACTGCATTGAATCTACAGGTTAAGTGGGGGAGAACTGATATCTGAACAATATTGAGTTTGCCAATCCTTAAACATGGTATATCTTTCTGTTGATTTAGGTCTTTTTTGCATCTATTTATGTACAATCTACCTATTGTCTATCCTATAATATACCCATCTAATCCTTGTCAAAAACTACACATTTACACCATTACATCCCATTTAATTCAACATCACAGAGTTCTTCGTTTTTTCCATTTCCACATTTGTAACTTTCTTCTCCAGCCCTGGGAGAGCTCTGGCTTTTGTTACCCTTAACATGTTTCTTCATTTGCTCAAGCCCTATGACCCAGCAGGCCTCTCATCCCTGCCACTATGGCCTCCCCTGCATGGGTCCCCTCTTTAGCCTGCCTGCGCTCCTCTAATTTTCAGACATTCCCTGCAGGACCCGCTGCTCCCTGCTATAGGGGCCTTCCTTTCTCTACCTGCCAGTGCAGGAGTAAATTGTTCAGGGAGGTGGGGGGAGCAGAGGCTGAAGCACATGCTTTGATTTTTGAATGTTAAAAACCCATGCATTCTTGTCATAAACTCTGCTTGGGCTTCATGCCTTTTCCTTTTGACATTTTGCTGGATTATTTGTGCTGGGGTTTTGTTTGGCATTTTCATGTCTGTGCTCATAGGCCGGTAATTTTCCTGTTATAATTTATTTCCTTGTTAGATTTTGGCATCATGGTTAAAATGATCTCATAAGATGAGTGGTGAAGTATTTTATCTCTTTTAGCCTCTCGAAAAGTTTCTGTAAGATTGGTATCATTTTACCAAACAATATTTAAAATAATTCATGAATGAAACCATCTGTGTGTAGAGAGTTTTTGATGGGTGAGTTGTGGAGAATTTAAATTACAAATGAAATTCCTTTAATAATTATGGGATTGTTTACATTTTTATTTCTTCTTTTATCAGTTTTCTAAGTTGTGCTTTTGTAGGGGTTTTTCTATTTCATAATTTCCAAGTTAATATGCATAAAATTATAATATCCTCTAATTTTTTAATATCTGTAGGTTTTGTGGTGATATTCCATTTTGAAGTCTCCATATTGAAAATCTCTGCTTTCCTCTTTCCTCTCTTTTCTGAAATATTCCTTTTAATGTGCTGTCAATTTATGTAATTTTTTTAAAAAGAACTACTTTTGGTTTTAAATTTTTTTCTTTTGCTCATTTGTTTTACATTTTGAAAAGTTTTTCTTAATTCCTTTTCTTTTGCTTGAGTTTAATTTATGTTTTTTTCTAACTTTGTAATTTGGATATTTCAATCATTTATTTTAAACCTCTTTATCTCCTAATGTAAGCATTTAAGGGTATTAATTTCCCTCTATACAATGCTTTAGTTGCATCCCATAAATTATGTTCTGTTGCATTTTTGCTATCGGTCAATATAAAATATTTTCTAATATCCATTATAATTTGTTCTTTGCCCCATGACTTATTTAGAAGTGTATTGATGAAATTCCAAATGTTTTGAGGATTTTCTAGTTAGATTATTTTGTTATTTATTTCTAGGTTGTTTCTTTCACAGTCAGAGAATATATGCTAATTAATTCAGTCTCTGTAACATTGTGAACGTTGTTGAGACTTCCTTTATGTTCCAGGATATGGCCAATCACTTACCCTCTTATATTTATCTCCTCTCTTGGAACATTAGTTATTGAATATTGGATCTTTATTCTCTTTTGCTTAAACCTATAGTTTTCTCTCTAATTCTTTTGGCAATCTTCATCCTTTTCCTCTGTTTCTTATATAGTTTCTCTAATTTATCCTCCATGATATTGATTGAATATTATGCATTTTTTACAGCTTTTAAAGTACATAGAAATTGGGCTACTGAATTATTAATTAATATTACTTTATTACCCTATCTAGCTCCTTTTCCATTTCTCTATGCTCCTTTCATTCTTAGCCTGTTGTCTCATCTTATTTATATTTGCATATTAAAAACATGGATGGTTTTACCATACTCACTTTTCATATACAGTTTACCCGTAAACAACATGGATTTGAACTGTGTGGGTCCTATTATATGTGGATTTTTTTCTATCTCTGCTGTCCCTGAGACACAAGACCTATCCCTCCTCCTCCTCCCCCTCCTCAGCCTATTCAATGTGAAGACAATGATGATGAAGGCCTTTATAGTAATCCTTGTACCAATGTACCTGGTGCTCTTATTGGAAAACAAAATCTTTCTCAGAGCCTCCTCCCCATCCCTGCAGGAAACTTCCTCCTACATCTCCCGGCCAGTATAAGTAAGCCACTTAAAGAATAGTAAATATATTTTCCCTTCCTTATGCTTTTCTTAATAACATTTTCTTTTCTATAGCTTACTTTATTGTAAGACTACAGTATACAATACAGGATAAAATCAACTGTTTATGTTATTGGCAGGGCTTCTGGTCAATAGTGGACAGGTTTTTGGAAAGTCGAAAGCTACAGGGGATTTTGACTGTGTGGGTGTCGGCGCCTCGAGCCTCCGCATCGTTCAAGTGTCAACTGTACTCTATCCTGCATTCAAAGAAACAGCAACCTCTTGGTCATTTAGAACTATCTGCAAATACAGAATATATATGAAAGTGCTACAGATAGGAAAGCACTATGTAATTTTCAGATACTGTTATTAGTAATAATGGTGCTCTGCCACAAATACTTCTCTTGAAAACCTGCAGAATCATGGGAAACTAGCAAAGACACGAAAGCTACAGTGATAGATTGCCCAAGATTTTCTCAGAGGCACAAGTGTGTCTTATAATAGTTCATATTTTTATACATATTTGGAATTTAAACAGAGAAACAGGGAGGACTTGGGAACTTCAGGCTTAAAAATATAGGTCCTGCTTGTTGGATCTCAGCAAGTAGTGCTAGCTCACTCCTGGAGCGAAGCGTAGGTCTATGTTTCTTCTGAAGGAAGCCAGGCTTTTCCTCTTTGTTATTGTACTTTCATGGAGAAATGACTGACAATTACATAGCTAATGAATGGATGGCCAGTTATAGGCTGTAGCCACTAAGATGTCATTGTTTCTGAACAGTAGATGCTCACTCATGCTCCAAAAGTAGCATTCATGTCAGTTAGGCATGCCTAACAGTGATTTCAGCAAGAAAGACGATCTCACAACCAGGGGGTGCTGAAGGAGGGGGTTCCACATTTGCTGTGTTAGCCCAGTGATGCTTTCTTCTGCTCTCCAGTCTCAGCGCATTGCCTTCTTGACATTACTTAATGATGTTGTGGTTATTGGGTGGCTGCTGCACAGGGAGGGAGCCGTCCCAGCAATGTACCTGGTGCTCTTATTGGAAAACAAAATCTTTCTCAGAGCCTCCTCCCCATCCCTGCAGGAAACTTCCTCCTACATCTCCCGGCCAGCTGGGCCACACAGACACACCTGGTTGCAAGGGGGAAGTCAGTTGTTGGCTTGACAGCTGTGTTCATTAGGGCACTACACTAATGGCAGTAAGCTCCTGCTTTCTATGACTGGCTGGGACACTTCCTTGTCCGGGTAATCAGCAGGACATGGTCTACCTCATCGTGTCATCTAATGAAAAGTCGAAGCTCTCATCTTTAGCCAAAATCTACCTTCTTGAAAATGCATGCATCAGGTACATTGTGCTCCAGGTGATGGGGAGGGTTCTGCCCTGGGTGCCCGAGGTGTTCCTCCAGAGCTTGCCCTGTACACCCTCTGTTGTAGCTCCTGAGGGGCAGAGCCCAGCCAGCCTCAGGCTAGGGCACTGCGGAGTCTGTGCTCTCAACCATCACTCTGCAGTGCCTTGCAGGTAAGAGTGGAGGTGGAGAAGAAAGGAATGTGGGCTGTGCTACCACCAGCCACCACCTTCCCCCAGGGGATGGTGACTGCAAGGACGCTGAGCAGGAATCAGTGGGATTTGGGGGCTCAACATTTGAACCCTGGTAGATATGTCAGGAGAACCTTTTCCACTGAGAGCATTTCAAACATTGAATTGCCTTCCTCTTATTTCAGTATACTGTATTATAGAAAACTCTCCTTTCTGCTTTCCCCTCAAATTTTCTCATTTTTTTCTTTTAAAATATCATGTCAATTATTATGTTACAAACAAAATTAGGTTGCAAATAAGTAACTAAGAGCCCTAATCATACCGTGTGCAATTGTCTTTCTGCCTTTTTCCATATATTATCAAAAATTCTCTTTTTAAGTCTGTGTTTTATATTTTCTCAATTAGTTTTACTTCAGTGAAATTATGTTAATTAGTAAGATTACAAACAAAATTAGGTTGTAAACGAATGGACAAGAGTCCTTGTCATATCCTGTTCATGGTTGGTGGAGAAGGATGGGATGAAGATTTGCCATTTCTTTTTTCTTTCTTTTTTTTTTTTTTTTTGAAACAGAGTCTCACTCTCTTGCCCAGGATGGAGTACAGTGGTACGATCTCAGCTCACTGCAACCTCCTCCTCCCAGGTTCAAGTGATTCTCCTGCCTCAGCCTCCAGAGTAGCTGGGATTATAGGTGCATGCCACTGCACCCAGCTAATTTTTGCATTTTTGGTAGTCAGAGTTTCACCATGTTGGCCAGGCTGGTCTTGAACTCCTGACCTCAGGTGATCCACCCACCTCGGCCTCTGCTGGGATTACAGGCATGAGCCACAGTGCCCGGTTGAGCTCTACCATTTCTTACCTGTGTCTGTGTTCCCAGCATCAAATTCTAGCCTGCTCATGGTGGCTTCCCAGTAAATATGTTCAGCTGCTTCTGTGGCTGGGCAGGTTGATAAAAATTAGCACTAGCACCGGCACTGCTATTGTCCCTGAATTCATTCTCTAGGCTTCCTAGAAGTAGGAACTACTGAAAGGAACCACATGCAGTATGGCGAACTTGTGTTATTCGCTTAAACAAGAACTGTCATGGAGGCAAACGTTCTTTATTCTCAGAATGAAATACCTAGGTTTAGCTTGGTACTTCACTGAATGTTTTAGCACAGGGTTCTAACACATTTTTGAGTTCAGGAATTGGTGAGAAGAGTTAGGTAAAGAAGGACCTAAACTTTTTGCTTCCCAATATGTGCAGTTAAATCAGCAGCCATGGCACTGGACAAATTCCAGCGGAAGGGCTCCTCGTGAGGACAGAGGCTTCTGATGAGGGAGTGACATCGTGGGATTCCCAGCCATCCATCTAAAGTCATAGCTGAGTGCTGAATGTGAAGCTTTATTGCTTGGCCAGTGACCAGTGATTGTTGCATATACAGAGGGAAAGTTGAGATGTGATGATGTGACACCTCCCAGAATGAATGGACTGAGATGCCCTGAGGCTAACCCTGGTTAAGATGGGAGCCCTTAGGTTTCTCTGGCCCATTCCCTAGTTGCCTATTTTAACTCTTTCTCTCTGGTACCTTTCTCTCAATCAGTTGTTCAAATGAAGATTTTGCTCAATTCATTGTCTTAAAATACTGAAAAGCTTTAAAATATAACATCTTTCCAATGTGATTTATTGTAGTGGAAGATAGAGTAAAAGACTTCACATTTTTTGGGAGTCAAAGGAGTGACTATCTAATGCTGGAATCTCAGGTGGGTAAAGTAGACATTTGGGGTTCATTATTCAATTTCAAACAGAAAGATGTTTAGTTCACTCAGAAACATCCCTTAAAAAAAAAAAGCCTGAGCTAAGTACTTTCTTGCATGAAATATGGATATAGTTATCTTATCAGTGGTCCAGGTCCTTATTCTGGTGCCCAAGAGTCTGGGCCCCTGAGCTGCTGCAATGCTAGTTGCCCTGGGGAGAGTAATTTCTAGTGGTTGTCTTAGCTTGCATGTGAGCTAAGCTTGGAACGAACTCTCTTTTTCAGAAAAAGACACTGGATTCCAATATGAATGTCATATTTCCAGTCCAACTAGATCCTGTGAGAAACCATACTTTTTCCCTCAGGTATTCCTCAGGAATAAGTGCAGTGCTTGGCAAAGAGCAGATGCTAAAACCTCTGTATCCCACCCCTGGATATTATAATTAACACTTATTCTGACAGTTCTCTTTTTCCCTTGTCTTGTTATTAAAGGAACAACTCTGGTTGTATTGTCTTCATTTCCTTCCTTCCTTCCTTCCTTCCTTCCTTCCTTCCTTCCTTCCTTCCTTCCACTCACTCATTTGTTCAATTCATTAATATGTTTGTGACCAGATTGGTCCTGGGGCTAATGCTCAGGTTTGCTTTTTACTGATTGTTCATGCTTTGGTAATAATAGCTATTAAGAATCCTAGCTACCTTTAAAGCAATAATTATGTTCAAGGCAGTGAGTTAAGTACTAAGCTTGTTTTTTTATTTGTAAATGAAGATACCAATAACTACTTCACGGGATAAAATAAAATGATATATGTCAAGTGCTTGGCACAGAACTTGATACATGGAAAGCATTTAATAAAAAGTAGTCATTACCTTGACAAAGATCTAGTGTGCCCTTGGCCAGGTACCATACTAGGAACCACCGCAAAACAGAACTGTCAGTAGTTGACCTGTATCAGGGGTTCTGAATTGGAAGAATCAAGTCCTCTATGTCCAGTACTACTGAAATCTTGTTCAGAAACATGTTAAGAAGCTCTGATGCACTAGGCTTTTCCTAAGCTGTTGGCAGGGAGTTACCCAGACCCCACTTTGAGATGAGAAATATAATTGAACTTAGTATTTGGCTGTGGCCACTGTAGGGATTTCTAAGGTATTGAGAAGTTGGTCTATCTAGAACACTGATACTTTCTTTTTTCTTTCAGCTTCATTGAAGAATAATTGATAAATAACAATTGTGTACATTTAAGGTGTACAAGCAGATGTTTTGATATATTTAATATGTACACATTGTGAAATAATCACGACCATCAAGCTAATTAACATATCCATCACCTCACATAGTTACAATATTTTTCAATGATGAGAACATTTAAGATCTACCGTCTCAGCAAATGTCAAGTATATAACACAGTATTGCTGACTATAGTTCTCATGAGTCCATTAAATCTCCATAACTTATTCATCCTATAAATGAAAGTTTGTGCTCTTGACCAACATCTCTGCATTTCCCCCACCCCCGACCTGTCTTGTAACCAACCACCCTTCTACTCTCTATTTCTATGAGTTCGGTTTTTTAGGTTCCACAAATAGGTGAGATCATATGGCATTTGTCTTTCTGTGTCTGGTTTATTTCACTTAATCTAATGTCCTCTAGGCTCATCCGTGTTGTTGCAAAAGGCAGGATTTCCCACTTTTCAAGGCTTAGCAATATCCCATTGTGTGTATACACATCACATTTTCCTTATCTATTCATCTCTCAACTGACATTTAGGTTGTTTCTGTATCTTGGCTATTGTGAATGACGCTGCAATGAACATGGGAGTGTGGATATGCCAACGGGGTGCTGATTTCACTTCCTTTGGGTATATGCCCAGAAGAGGGATTGCCGGGTCATATGGTTTTTTGAGGAAACTCTGCACTGTTTTCTCTTACGGCTGTACTAGTCTACATCCCCACCAATGGTGTGCAAAGGCAGCCTTCACTCTATATCCTTGCCAACACTTGTTATGTTTCAGCTCTTTGAGAATAGTCATTTTAACAGGTGAGAGACAATATCTCTGATACTTTCTTAATTTGGTATGAGATAAAGGAAACACTGAAACCCATGTGATGGGCGCCATTTTGGGACAGTGGAGGGCAAGTTCTTACCTGGCATTACTATGTTCAAGGCTCCTCTGCCTTCTGATCATGCCCTTGCTTTTCTCAGTGCTTATTACTAATGCTTTCTTGTTGAGTGGAATCTGAGATGGACTCCTCTATGATCGGTCTTCAAGCTCACACCAGATAGTGAGCATAATACCCAACAGAAGGATGGTTTCAGCCCTTACCCCCCTTCCTTCCTTCCCCTTCTTGTATTTCCCAGTATCTACTGTTCCCATGACAGATAAATTCATACTCTAAACTTCAGCATCATGCAATATACCTATGTAACGAACCTGCACATGCACCCCTGATTCTAAAATAAAAGTTGAAAAGGAAAGAATAAAAAGCAAACCTAAATGTTCATCAATACCACGAATAAGTGGCTAAAGAAAATGTGGTATATCTGCACAATAGAATGCTATTCAGCCTTAAAAGAGAATGAAATCCTGTCATTTGGGACAACATGGATAAACCTGGAGGACATTATGTTAGGTGAAATAAGCCAGTCACAGAAGGACAAATACTGCATGATTTTACTTATATGCAGAGCATAAAAAAGTTGAACTCTTAGAAGCAGACAGTAGAATGGTGATTACCTGGGGGCGGGGGCTGGGGGTGTTGGGAAACTGTTGGTCAAAGACCACAAAATCAATTAGACAGGAGGAATAAATTTAAGAGATCTATTGTACATCATTATGACTACATTTAATAATCTATTGTTTATTTAAAAATTACTGAGAGTAGGTTTTATGTGTTCTAATCACAAAAATATAAGTATGTGAGATAATGCATATGTTAAATAGCTTAATTTAGCCATTCCACAATGTATGCATATATCAAAATACAAATACATTTTGTATACCATAAATATATACAATATTTACTTGTCACTTAAAATAAATTAATAAAAGATTAGGAAGAAAAAACACAAAATCACACCAAATAATAAACAAAGGTGGGAAGAAAATTCTAAGATGTTTATGAAATAAAGGGTGACTAAATCAATGATGCTCAGAATATTTTTGTCACTATCTTCCATTATCTTGTCATTATATTGTTTTGTCATTATCTTCCATTATCTTGCATGATTGCTCTGGTCTGTAGATTCTGAATGGCCTGGCATGCTTCTGAATTATGTGGGAATACCATGATGCTTTTGTAGACTGATGTAGTCATATGTTTGGTTTCCACCAGTCCCCATCTGTGGTCTGACTTTCTGCAGCGATGTTTCTGCTAAATAGCAACATCATGATTAAGGACATGTCCTCTGGAGCCATCTGGCTGTGCGGCCTCCAGCTGCGTGACTTTAGGAAGGTTGTGTGGCTTCTATGTGCTCCATTTGTCTCATCTGTAAAATGGGGACAATAAGAGTCTCTGTCTCATAGGCTTTATGGAAATGAAATCATTAATATTTATAAGGAAGCTAAAGATAGTGTTCGAGAAATACAACGCAAGCCCAACTTTCACATGAACACCCCCATGGGCAAACCCCTGCTTTCTTGAAAGAGGACATCTTTCAGGCCAGAAATTTCTCTTTGCTACTCAACAGAATGGTCTTTCCTTTTATTTCTTCCCATTGGCCCTGGCTCTATCCTAAGAGGCCACAGATCAAATGTAGTTGGTCTTCCCTATGCCAACCCTTCATTTGTATAAAGATGAAATGAATATGAAGCTAGTTACTTCTCTTGGAACTGTCTGGGTCACCTTCTGAAATTCCTTCAGTTCTTGTCTGTCTCAAAGTGCAGTGCCTGGATGGCATCCTCGTTTATAGGAGCAGAGCCAAGTGCAGCCTCCCACATCCCACCCTTTGGAATTCCTTAATGGATCCTTACAGGACTTTGCAGCAATATATAGTTTTTGTTTTTGTTTTTGCACTTCAGTGGGATTTACATTTAATTTTATCATCTGTCTCATTGGGTGCTCTCTTTCTTTAGATTTAAAAGGCCTGTGAGCAATTGGGACAAGGCAAATATTTTACCATCAAATAATTCAAGATTTTTTCTCACACCTAACACTTGTGAGATGACTTATCACTTAAATCCTGAGAGTCATCATCAGATTTTCCCTTTGTCCTCTATTCCAATCTCAAATATTACATACTGATAAAAAAATCCAAAGTATTATTAAAAATAGTTTAAATTGCTTAAGTTTATCATTCTTAACTTCTTTAATAGTTACACACATATATATTTATAATTATTTTATGTACATATGTATATATAATTATATCTCATTTATATAAGTATATAATTACCATGTATGTTCACATATAAAATAATTACATACTTATAACTGATTACTGAAATAAAGTACAAATTACATTATTTATGTTAAGGTATAGTTCAGCTTGTCTGTCATGAGCTTCTTGATGAAGAAGTAGATAGACACATCTCTCTCCGGTCCTGTCTTGCTAGTGTCATGGGTCCTTTCCTCCTGTTCCATGTTACTGCTTCCATCCTCCTTAGGGTCCTCATTAATTCCTTCCTAATAGTTGTCAGCTCACATGCCCCCTCTTTCATGACTCTGTCCCCTGTGGTCCAGATGGAATTAATCTCTCTGGGCTTTGAATTTGATACTTTGTGTGCCTATTATATTAGGTTTCTTCTTCTGCTTTGTTGTAGTTATTGCCATCTGTTCCCCCAAGTTGGGTGGTAAGATTCTTGGAGGTGGGAACAATGTCTCCTTGTTCTGTTGGGTCCCCACCTTGTCACCCCAGCACCTGGCACCATGCCTGCTCAGTGAAGGAAAAGTTGAAGAGCCCAGCCCCTCCCTTCAGGTGTCAGTGGAGCTTCATTGATAGGCCACCTGAGCCACTCAGAAGTCAACTGACCTGCACCTTGCAGAGTTCACAAGTAGCAGGGAATTAAAGGTTTATCATTTACCTTCTACTTGTACATCTTAGGATAATTTTCCAATATCAAGACTTTTTGACCTCCAGATATCCTGGTTGCTGCCATACAGACCTACTGCTTGTGTACCTGGTAAAAGAGTGTGATGTGTCCTGGTGTTGAACTTCTCATCCACAATAATTCACTAAGACACAATGACACAATCACTCATGGACCCAATGCAAATGACAGCTCCTCAGGAACAGACTCACCAGTTGTAGCTGTAGGTACCTGAGCCTTGGTGATTATTAACTGATGTTTGACACACTTGAAAAATAAGAAGCTCCCAATTTGTACTCCCTTCAACCACTGAGGCTGGGATTTCATCATTTCGGGCTGCTTCTCTGAAAGGTGATTTTTGGACTGTCACTCTAGTCACATGGATTTTCTCATTAGTAAATGATTGCCATCAGCCCTTCTCAGAGGACTCATTTCCGTGTCTGCTCTGCTCTTTTCTTTCTCCTGGTGTCTTTGATCATGGCACGTGCCATCTGTCCTGGGAGGTACAGACATTCTGATAGTTCAGACCACAGCGTGTGTGGCTGGGCAAGGGCCATGCAGACCCCAAGGGCTCAGCTGCGTGTGCAGCTATCTTCTCCATGATGAGCTTTCACAGATGAGTGGTGGATCTGGAAATTGCAGTAATGACTCATCTTGGTTAAGTCCGTTTTGGCTCCAGTCCTCTTTGCTTTGGTCCATGTTATCTGTAGCTTTAGAACTCCCACTAAAAGAGCAGAATTATCTAAATTTCCATTTGACATTTCCCTTTACAATTGTTTTGACATCTCCATTTAGAAATTTCTTTTCTTGTTAAAGCTAGATTGGAAAAGTGAATTTCTAGACAAGTCTTGCCTGTCTCAAAGCCTGAGGGTTGGTGCTCAACTTGTTTAATTGGAGAGCATCTAATCCAGTTACTGTCCATCAGGAAGGGCAACCCAATGCTTTCTGAGTCCCACAGGCCTCTTTCCCAGGCAGACTCTGGCTTCTATCTTCTTTCTGCTGACTTTTGGGGAAGACCAGACAAGGCCAGCCTGCCTGAGTTGCACTTGATTCTACACTCACGCTTCCCTGCAAGGGTCTGGGAAAACTTCTGTTTTGTGGTGAGCACTGGTGGGCAGGCAGCTCAGAAACATCCCGGCGTCTACACACCATGAAGAAAATGAATCAACATGCTTCTGCTCTGGTTATAGACACTTTGGTTCCAGCTACTAAATAGTCAACAGTATTGCCGGTTTTAATTTTCTTCCAGTGAATCCTAAGACTTGCCGATATCACTCAGGAAACTGGTTTACTCTCTCTATTGCATAGTTTGTAGTCTGTTTTGCTTGATTTTAATCCTCTGCTAAGATATAATTTCACTCTCCTAAAAAGCTAGATTTTTGTAAATATACACATTACCATAATAAATATTTAGGGATAGGAAGTTATGGGCTAGATTTGGGCTCACAGTAACAACATTATTTTTTTCCTAAAGAAATGCAACAATAAAATGAATTTTTATTACTGTAAGTATATTTAGACAAAGCAAAGGTAAACACTTCCTTATTTCTTTTTACTCTTAACATGCTGAAGCTTCCACGTTTCCATTATAAGCCAACTTTGCCCCCAGCAAGCACAACCCACAGCTTTAACAATTGAAGAATCCTTAACATTCTTCAAGGGACCAAGCCTTTCAAAAGAAATGGCTGTGTGTTCTTACGCCTCCAAAAGGTTTTTGTTGCTTGCCTGCTGATCTCTGTTTTTCAGGTAAGCTCTATAATAAATTGCACTCCTTAATTAATCATATTGAGAATTCATGTAATACGTGCAATTGCTTTATGTGCTTAATTTTCACAGGAATTGTGTGTGGTAGGCACTCTGATATTTTTCTCATTCTACAGATGAGGGAAGTTGGCATAACTGACTTGCCCAACACCAAGCAGCAGAGGCAAAGCCTAAGCCTCCAACCCTTTCCCCACCTTCCCCACATTAGGCCACATGATGCTCAGACTTGTGCAGTAGGCTCGACTCCACTTATGTATCAGGATGCTGTATACCGTGAAGTGCATACAGTATCTATGCATGGCTGTGGATGCTGTGATGATCAGGTCTGAGAAACGTTTTGCTGAATTATAAACTGGATTTAAAAGTTTTAAATACTTTTGCCATTTGTATCACTTATCACTGGAAGGTATAAGCCAATTCAAATTGTTTTGATTAATTATTTTACTTTTCTTTTTCCTTTGTTTTAATTAAAAATGTTTTCATTCTCAATGTGTGTAATCAAATGATTTACAAATATTTTACCATGGAAAATTTCAAACACATACAAAGCAAGCAGAATGGTGACATGGACCTTGACACACCATCTCTCAGCTTCAGCAATGACGAGCCTTCTGCCATTCTTGTCCCCCTCATACCTCTGGTTACTGCCTGCCTCACTCCACAGTTATCATTATTTACAGCTCTTTTTAAAGTGACACTTACACACATTGAAATGCACACATTTTAACTGTACAGTTGTGACAGATTTATCCATCTGTGTCATCACCTGATGCAATATTGAATATTTCAGTCTCTTCCCTCCCAGTGAATTCCTGCACCACCCCCATCCCTGCCCAAGTCACCACCCTTTTGGCTTCCATCTTGGATTCGTTTTGCCTGTTCTAGAACTTGCCGTAAATGGTATCACATAGTGTGTGTGCTTTCGTGTCTGGCTTTACTCACTCAGTAGTGTATCTGTGAGATTTATCCACATCACAGGGTTCAGTAGCTCATTTTTGTCTACTGTTTCTCAGTATTCTATACCACAGATTGTCGATTCTCTCGGTGATAGACAATGGGTGTTTCCAGCTTTCATTCATTGTGAATAAAGTTGCCGTGAATACTCAAGCACCTTTCCATAAATTCCTTTCCCCAACAAAATATTTATTTGGGTAATGTGGATATTTGTAACATTTATTTAAATAAATTTCTCATGGATAAACACTTAGGATATGTAAATGGTGAACTTTATCGGAAACTGCCACTTTTTCTAAAGTGGTTGTACCATTTTATATTTTTGTGCAGAGACAGACAAGAGTTCATGTTGCTCCCTTTCCTTGCCAACATTTGGTTTTATCAGTCTTATCCATTTTCACCATTCTAGCAGCCTGACATGATATCACATTGTGGTCATTGATTTGTAACTCCCTGGCAACTGATGATAAACACACTAGTTTGTGTTGTTTTTGATCATTCATATCGCTTCTTTTGTGAAATGTCTGTTCCATCATTTTGCCTACATTTACATTTTGTTGGGTTGTTTGTCTTTCTATTATTGAGTTGCATGAGTCATTACGCATTTTGGATTTGAGTCTGATATACGTTTTGCCAAATACTTGGGGTTTGCCTAATTATAATGATGCCTTTGAAGAGCATCAGTTTTTAATTTAGATAAGTCTAATTTATCATTTTTAAATTTATGGCTATTGCCTTTTCTGTCTAATAAATTTTTGCCTGCTTCTAAGTTTCAACAATATTCTTTTATAGTCCCTTCTAAAAGCTTTATAGATTTGGCTTCCACAAATAGGCCTATGATTCATCTTGAAATGATGTTTTTGGTATAGTTTTTAGTAGGGAGTAAAGATAATTTTATTCCCTTTCAGTATCAGTATTATTGCTGAATTTAATGTTCCTTTTGGTGCCTATGTTAAAAATCACTTGATCATAGAAACTGTTGGTCTATTTCTATTTTCTAGTCCCTTGATCTGTTTGTCTGCCCCGTAACAATTCTGCACTGTCTCAGTTAATATGATTTACAGTCTTAAACTGAGTCTTAAACTCAGGTAGTGAAGTCCTCAGCTTATTTTTGCTTTTTCAACATCATTGTTTTGGCTTTTTTAGGCCCTTTGCATTTTCATACAAATTTTAGAATCAGCTTGTCAATTTCTACAGGAAAGAATATGAGGCACATGAATAGGATCGCATTGAATCTATAAATGAATTTGCAGAGAATACATGTCTTAATAATATAAAGCCTTCTAATCCAGGGGTCTGCAAACTCCTAGGCCACAGACCAGTACTAGTCCATGACCTGTTAGGAACCAGCCAAACAGCAGGAGGTAAGCTGGGGGTGAGTGAGCAAAGCTTCATCTGTATCTACAACCACTCCCCATTGCTTGTATTACCATCTGAGCTCCGCCTCCTGTCAGATCAGGGTAGTATTAGATTCTCACAGAAGTGAACCGTCTTGTGAACTGCACATGCGAGGGATCTAGGTTGCATGCTCCTTATGACAATCTAATGCCCGATGATCTTTTACTGACTCTCATCACCCCCAGGTGGGATCATCTAGTTGCAGGAAAAGAAGCTCAGGGCTCCCACTGATTCTACATTATGACGAGTTGCATAATTATTTCATTGTATATTACAATACAATAATAATATAAATAAAGTGCACAATAAACGTAATGCACTTGAATCATCCCCAAACCATACCCCTGACCCCAGTGTGTGGAAGAACTGTCTTCCATGAATCCAGTCCCAGGTACCAAAAAGGTTGGGGACCACTGTTCTAATCCATAAACCTGATATATCTTTCTAATTATTGGAGTCTTTAAAAAATTTCTCACAGCAACATTTTTTATTTTAACTATAGAGGTTCTTCATGCCTTTTGTTAAGTGGACTCCTAAATATGATATGTTTTTGAAGTTACTGTAAGTGGAGTTGTATTTTTAAATTTCAGTGTCTCATTGTTACTGCTAAAATACAGAGATAGTAATTGCTTAAAAGAAAATCTTATGGAGGTATAACTGATATACAACAAACTGTATATGTTGGAATTAGAAGAATTTGACATATGTATATGAGTGTCATACCTGTGAAACTGCCATCACATCATGACAATGAATGCTCCCATCACTGGCAAGCGTTCCATTGTGCCCCTTGGTGATCCTATCTTCCACCCCTTACCGCCTCCAGCAACCACTGACCTGCTTTCTGTCACTACATATTAGTTTACATTTCCTAAAATTTTACATACATGGAATCATGTATGTGCATATATATTCTTTTTTTATTTTTATTTTTTGGTCTGGCCTCTCTCAAATAGCATAACTATTTTGAAATGTATCCAAATCATTATGTGTAGAATAGTTTATTCCTTTAAGTGGCTGAGTAATACCATGGTATGGATACACTACAGTTTATTTATCCATTCACTGGTTGCTAGACATTTGGACATTTGGATGTTTCCAGTGTTTGGTGATCACAAATAAAGCTGATATAAACATTTGTTTGAAAATCTTTGTGTGGGCATACATTTTCATTCCTTTTGGGTAAACTTTTAAGAATGTCATGACTGGGTCATAGGATGTGTTTGCTTATCTTTTTAAGAACTTGACAAACTTTTCTAGTGATTGCACCATTGTACATTTCCACCAGAGGCATAGGAGAAACCAGTTGCTCTACAACTTGGCCAACATTGGATATGCACAGTCTTTTAGCCACTGTAACAGGTGTGTAACAGCAAGTCATTGCTACACTTACCTAATGCCAAGTGATAATAAGCATCTTTTAATGTGTTTAACTGCTACCCATATATCTTCTTTGGTGAAGTGTCTGTTAAAATCTTTTGCCCAATTTATAATCATCTGTCATTAGTATATAGAATAAAGCTGATTTTCTTTTATTGATTTTTGTATATTGAAATTTTGCTAAACAGAATTATTCATTCTAGTATCCTTATTTAATTGGTATATTTTACAGGATTTCTTACATAAAAGATTGTCATCTCTTAGTAAACACAGTTTTATTTCTTCCTTTCCAATCTGTATGCCTTTAATTTCTTTTTTTTCTTGATATCAGTGGTTAGAAAATCCTATACAGCACTGAATAGAATTGATAAGAGTGAATATTCTTGTCATTCCTGATCTTAGCAGGAAAATATTTAGTCTTTCAGCAGTAAGTACAATTATATTTAGGTATAATATAGATGTCCATCCTCAGATGAAGGAAGTTCCCTTTAACTCTTTGTTTGCTAAGAGTTTTTAATCAACAGTATAGGTTGGATTCTGTTCCACATCCTTCAGATAATCATAATTTTTATTTGTTAGTCTGTTAGTACGGTAAATTACATTTGATTGCTTTCTAAATGTTAACCCAACCTTCCCTTTTTTTTGGATAAGCTCCATTAGGCCATACTGTATTACTCATTTATGTGCTATTATATTCAAGTTGCTAAAATTTTATTAAACTTTTTAACATCTTTATGAATGAGGGATATAGGTCCATAATTTACTCTGATTGTGATGCCTTTGTCTCATTTTCTTTTCAGGGAGTTTTACTAGCATACATTCCATTTCTTTGATTGGACTAGGCTCTACAGGATTTATCTTCCATCTAATGTCAGTTTTGGCATAGGCAAAAAATTGTTTATGTCATTTCCTTATTATTCCTTTAATGTCTTAGGATTTTTTCATGTTTTTATTATATTTTTAGTATGAGTAAGTTGTTTTCTCTCCTTTTTTCCCATGATAATCTTATGATGGTTTTATCAATTTTATTAATGTCTTCAAAGAACCAGTTTTTGAATTCTATTGTTTTTTGTTTCCCATGTTATTGATTTTTACTATCACCTTTAGAATTTTCTTCTTTCAACTTGCTTTAATGTTATGTTACTTGACTTTGTTTTAGCTTTTTCACATGGAAACATAGATTTCTGATCTTAGATTCCCCTTCTCCCTCTTTCTAGCATCAGTATTCAAAGCTATACATTCTCCTCTTATGACTGCTTTGGCTATAAGCCACAAACTTATACTTTATATTTTTGTTATCATTTAATTTGAAATGTTTTCCAATTTCCCCTTTGATATCTTTCTCAAATTTTCACATATTTGCTGTGTTTAAAAGATATCTTCTTGCTCTATATTTCAAATGTATTGTGGTTAAAAAATACTATGTAGGATTTTAATCTCTTCATATTTACTGAGACTGTTTGTACTCAAGTATGTGGTATATTTTGAACATTCTCTATATGGTTGAAAAGAGTATGTGGCTATTGAATATACTGTTTTATAATTGTCGATCTACAATTTATGAGACCTATTTACTTACTAGTGTTTTGTATGATTGTTCTATAAATCTCTGAGAGGAGACTGTTGATTTACCTATTTCTCCCTTTTTTGTCATTTTTTTGTTTAATGTATTTTTAGTGCTGTCTTTGGAAGTGTACACATTTATAATTGCATTACCTTCATAATACAGTGACCTTTTATCATTATGAAATGTTCTTTTATGTCTCTTGGTGATACTACTTTCCTTAAAGTCTATTTTGCCTTTTAAACATAACATACAGTAAAAGATATTTTACCTGACCTAGTTAGTTCATCCTTTTAATGTTTTCTATTTGAAAATGTAAATGTGGAATGTTTTTACATTTTTATTTTCAGCACTTTTATTCAGAATTATATTTTAATTTTACATTTTTGGAATGTGTTTTTACATTTTTATTTTCAACTATTTGCACCTTTATAATGCATCTATTTTAGACATAATATATTTGAGTGCTTCTCCCCGCCCCACCCTGCCCCCCAGTCTTACAGTATCTACTTTTCAGTTGGGTTTTTAGGCCATTTACATTTAATGTAACTGTTGTGTGGCTGGATTTAGGTCTGTCATTTTGCCATATTTTCTGTTTTCAGGAAAAGGTAGGAGTAAATGTATTTTTGTTTACAGGTTTGGTGGTGGGAACATGACAGAGTATGGGTTTGGCTTCTGTATTCTCCATGAAGAATGTGGTGAGGTCATCATAGGAGGGAGAGGGTAGAGGGAACAAATGTAAGAAGATTGAGGAGAAAAGAGAACATATGAAATTTATTGGGATAAGTGAGAAAATGAGCCTTCTAGAAGACAAAGTCGGTTTGTCTCATTGGTATATTGGTTGTCCATTCACTCATTTCTTTATCATGTATTAATTAAAAAAATAAAAGTGTCTCCTTTGTGGACAAAAACAGGCACAGCTCCTGATTCCACGAAGCCACAAGACTGTTGTTGTTGATAGACATTAGTCAAATAGTCACAGTAACATATGCATGATTATAAGCTAAAAAAAAAAAAAAGGTTCTGGGAGACCATGGAAATAAGTAATTCTACAAGAATGTATAACTGATGAACTTGACCTTGAGCAAGTGAAGGAATAGTTTGTTAGAACCAGAAGCCCTTGAGTTGAGATCTAAAGTCATTGTAGGTTACAGTAGGTAATGTTTGGTAGAGGGGAGTATTTAGACAGAGAAGGGAGTGTGAGATGTTCTGTGGTGTGAGAGACCATGGCAGGCTGAAGTTGCTGACTGTGTACTGTTGCAGCTGTAGTACAGAGAGCAAGGTGGGGATGGGAAAGGGTGAAAGAGGGGTGGTGATTCAGGGACCAGATGATGCTGGCTCCTACCATCTGTGATGAAGATTCTACCTAACAGCAATGAACCTGAAATGAAGCCAGTTTGTTGTGTGATGGATTTCTCTTTAACACATCAAAACTTTCTTTGATATAAGTTCAATAGGACTGATGAAATTGGGCTACAATAAATTATCAGAGCAGTCCACAAAATGAATCATTGCCAAATTTTCTTACAGTCAATTTTATTTCTATTTGAGGGGAAAATAGGTAATTAGAGAACCTCAGGCATTGCTTCCAGGCTTCAAAGTGGCTTCTATCCAGCCACAGGGAGGCTTGCAGCAGAAAACCAGATGTTCAAATAAAGACCTAAGTGGACAAATATGAACGATGTACATTACACAAATACGTTATGGAAATCTTTCATGGTGTTTAGAAAAAACATCAATGACTTGAAAGTATTTGTATAAATGCCTCTGTCCTTCCAGAAGCCCCGAAGGGAGGAGTTTAAATGCATTTGTTGGGCATATTTGTGAGTTTCTACCTACAGTGTTAGCTAGTACATGCAGAAAATTAGAATAATGAGATTATTTTCTCGGCAGACATTTGCTGAGTGCCTTCCAGGTGTAGCCATTGTACTGGGTACCTTGTACTTGGCAGTGGAGATGAATCTGACAAAAGGTGTCCCCTCTGTGTGGGAAGATCAGACTTCATAAGAGGAAATAGTGATGCTGCTTAGAAAATATGAGAGGTAGAAAGGAGGTTTAGGTAAACCACGGAGAATGGAAGAAAAGTGCCTCTTAGGGGCTACAGGGATACTCCAGGGTCCTGTTTCCTGTTTTTATCTTTATTTTTTCCTTTTCACATTTAAACATTCTTTTAACAAAATGTATGTATTTATTTCAACAAACAGGAAAAATGGACTAGTTACAAATGGCAAGCACAATTTGTTTTCTCTGGCTTTTACATATTTTTTAATTTAACAAATATTCATCAAGCATGTATTATGGGTCACAGAGTGATGCGTATTCCAGTTAACAGGAAGAAACAGGTCATGAGGATTTTAGGAAAAGATAAGAGGGTGCCCATGGTACTTGTTTTTGTGATTTTGATTCTCTTCAGAGAATAACTGAATGTACTTGGATGCATGATCCACTTATTTAGTCAAAGAGGCTCCCATGGAAACACTGATACTTCCTAGAGCCCATCCTGTTTGGCTTTCTCTGTTAAGAGTTAAAAAGTTGGAGAAGCAATACATGCCTGGGAAACTCTGCAGACAAATTCTTGGAGTTGGAAATACACATTACTAAATTCTTTAATACAAAAAATAATGCTTCAAATTATACTTTGGACACGATGTCCACTTTTTTGGCTCAACAAACAAACCCAAAATTGTTTTTTAGCTTTCTGCTCTGGCATTCACAAAGTTTTGCCTAAAACCCTTGAGGATTTGCTGGAAAAGATTTATTTATATGCATTCTGAAGAGCATGCCAAAATCCTGCTGCTTCACGTTTTTCACGACTCTTCTAAATTAAAAAGCGAATGCGCGTGGGAGGGTGAAATGTTGGTTTAGTTATAGTGCACAGTAAATGTGTTTATTTCCAAGAAGAGATGAGTAAAGGTGATGTGACAAGAGGAGTGCTCAGTCAAATGAATTCTGCCTGGACAGAGCTGTGGTTTATTTTACTCTTTACAAAGTCACTCTCTCTATTTAATGGAAAGTCATATGCACATAAAAGTCTATCAGTTTGGGGACTGCATTGTATTGACATTACACTAAGCTCTATTAGTTAACTAAAAACAGCCCAAACCACCCAACTCATCCCCGGGGATGGGGTGGGGAAGTAAGTCGGTATGACAACAAAACAAAATGACGTGTTAGTTAAAGAGGATTCAGATATTTTGTAGCTCAACTGATAGGATCAAAAGAATAAATGTTTTTGCAGAAACATTTAAAAACATGTGAGAGGAGGGGCGCGGTGGATCACACCTGTAATCCCAGCACTTTGGAAGGCCGAGGCCGGTGGATCACCTGAGGTCAGGAGTTTGAGACCAGCCTGGCCAACAGGGTGAAACCTCATCTCTACTAAAAATACAAAAATTAGCCAGGTGTGGTGGCGGGCACCTGTAATCCCAGCTACTTGGGAGGCTGAGGCAGCAGAATCACTGGAACCAAGGAGGAGGAGGTTGCAGTGAGCCAAGATCATGCCATTGTACTCCAGCCTGGGTGACAATGTGAGACTCTGTCTCCAAAAAATAAAAATAAAAATAAATAAAAACACGTGAGAACCCTATGTGCTGTTTTCTTTAAAACAGCCTTGTTCATTTCAACAAAATGTTTTACACAGAGAATATATACATCTTGACACATTACATTCACTGATTGAAATGCGACTTATGCTGTGATGCAGATGAGCAGTAAATATCCAAACTGCATTTGGATGGAGAAAACATTTTGTATAAATAGTTTTCTAAGGAACAAACAGAAAGAAAGAAAATAATAACTTTTGTTTAGTATCACTGCAATGCCAGTGACAGATCCTTGGAAGCAAAGAACTGTTTTGTATCCACATATGCTTGCAGCAAAGTAAGAATCCCTCCTGCCCTCCCCAGAGCCTTGATCCGATGGCCCAATTGCTGTGACTGATAGTCCCTTTGGTAACATAATTTCCCCTGTGTTTATCTGATATAACCGCTCTCCTAATCATGGCACTTTATTTATTTATTTACATGTGGTTATGAATATATATCACATTGGGATGAAATGGGTGGAGGAAAAGTAAGTTTTCAAGTGTGGAGAAGCCAACGACAGCTTATTTGTAGTCAGTCTTGATCCTGCTTTCGTGGCAGGCAAATTTGAGCCCATGGGCTTCAGTGGGCTTCAGCTGGGGGGCCAGGGCCAGGGGCAGTGACAGGCCTAGGATGGTTTTTTTTTTTTGAGTTATTGTATCAAATGCCATAATTTGTTTAAAAGTTTTTACACAGTGCACTGCAGATAACCATGTAGTAATAAGAACAGCAGACTTGGTTGGTAGTAAAATTCATCTAAATATGTATAAAGTAGCCCAAAGTTTGAGAGCAAGTGAAAAATACTGTCTAAAATACCTTCTCCATCTCGATTACACCTCTCCTCTCCAAGGATAAAGACATCAGTACTTTTTTTTTTTCAGTAGATAACGATGAAGTACACAGAGGGTTAAAGAGTCAGTAGACTATTGACACGAACAACACTTTGTATCTTGACTATCCATAGTTAGCCCTCCCATTCCCTGCCTTAGTCAGAGGAGATTCAGATGACGTGGAAGATGGCAGGCTGTAAAGGAAAGAATATTCCCTCGCCCAAACTACAGGTTCTGGCCGTTAGAGCCCGGCGCCGTCATGAGCTGCGCAGCCGTTGACACAGCCACCACTGACCATGCGCAGTGTCTGACGGAGTGCGTCAGCATCACTGCACCGGGTTCCTCCCCACCACCTGCTGGGCAGAAAGTCCCAGGGCAGGATTCCGACCGTGCATGCATGGTGGGAGCACCTCTTCCTGCAGGGCTCCGGAGCCCATCTTCCCTAGTTCCTCAGTAAGAGCACAGCATTCTTTCCTCAGTTCTATTTTATGACTCTCTCCCATCTCCTGGATGCTTTCCGTCAGTCCTGAGACATATTCTGTTTCCTACCATTTAAAAGACCCATCTCCCCAAACATGCACATCTATCCATTAAAACAAAACAACACAACCTTCCCTGGACCCCACAGCCTCTTCTGTCCTTTCTAATCTGTGCACCTCTAGCACCCTGTGCACCTCTAGCACCCAGACGTCCCTGGGGAGAGGCTCTCCTTCCCTCTTGCTGACTGCGGGGACGCCCAGAGCTCATCCTTCCCCGCTCACCCTTCCTTGGGACTTCTCTCTCCCATTTCTTTCCTACTTCTCTCCGTCGTTTACGGGATCTCTCTTCTCTCCCTGCCGTTAGACCTTGAAAGTGCTCAGGCCTGTTTCCTCTCTTCTCTCTAAGGTCCCCCAGTGACCTCACCCAAGCCCAGGGCTTCAGTAGAGTACAAGCCACTGACCCCATTCACACTATGTGCACGGTCCAGACTCATACGTGGGCAGCTCAGCTCATCCGCAGTGGCCTGGACGCCTCCCAGGCACCTCCAGCTGAAGGAGTCACCACCGAGCACACTCCCTTCACTGCGGACTCATTCTCTCCTGCATCCTCTTCTCAGCACTGGGTCACCCTGGGCCACCCAACGAGCCCACCCAGGATCAGACTCGCACTTCTATCCGGCAGCACGGCTGCGTGAAGATTCAGTGCTGCCTCCCCCTGCCCCACAGCACGTTTTCATTTGCTTGTGTTTTCCATCCTCTCCGCCTCAACGCATGCCAAGACACCAGCACATCTTGCCTGGCGCCTCCCAGAGCCTCATACATGGTGACTGTCCACGTGAGCTCTCCTCAGCTGGTCCGTCTCTCCAGCAGCCACAGAGACCTTTTAGACCTGCAAATTCAATGATCACTCCTCCACTTAAAACCCTTCTACACTTAGGATGAAACTTAAACTCTTTGGCAAAGGCTGCACCATCACCTGGGTCACTTTCCCCTCTTCGTACAATTTCTCTAGAGTCCCAACATGGTTCCCATCTCACAGTTTCTGTATTGGCTGCTCCTTTTGTCTTTTGTGACATCCTCAGCCTCCTCTTATTCCTGGTTAACTTCTATCCACTATTTAAACCTCAGCCCCTTCGGAGTCTTTTTCTAACCTCTTCTCCAACCAACACTGAGGTCAGACTTCTGGTTACACGGCTTTCTGTGTTTTTCCCGTAGTGCTTATCACATTTAGAGTTTAATGATTATTTATTTAAACCAAATTTCTCTTCTAGACTTGCCTTATATAAAAAGGGACCCTGTTTGTCCCTTTATTCATTATTCATTCATTATTATTGTATTGCCAATATTTAGAAAGAGTTCAGTTTCAGTACAGTTAATATTTGTTAAATGACTGAATAAACCCATTTGTTAAACAAATCATGTTTTTATTGAAGGTAAAGCATGCAAAATGTATAGGAAGCAATGTGAAATGCAGAATCAGTACAGTTAAGTTAATACAAAATTCAAGTCCTGTGTATAAGCGGTAGCCTAACAGAAGTCATGCTACAAAACTGCCCGTCTGTGTAAGTGCAAAATGTTGGGGAGAACCAGAGCTGACTGGTCACACGGATTAGGATTCTCTCTTATTGGTGAGTTGACTTGGCCTAGCTTCATTAAAAAGAGCATTTCTAGGCTTGAGTGTGTGGGCTTAGCCCTGGTTACTGAGCGCCGTGTGGGTGGATGGGGTCCCCACAGAAGCCGCCTGGCTTCCTGTGAGAAGTGGGGCTGGGAAGTTTGCTGATTCAGCAGAAGAAAAATTATCTGCATGTGCTTCTTGATTCACTAGTCCAATATACACTTAACTCTCGGTTACATGAGCTTTAAACCGTGACGCTACGAGTTATTACCCAAACTAGGCCTTTTTGAGAGTGAAAGAAGGCTCTGTTCATAATCATGCTGGAATAACAGGTAAAAACCAAGACTGCACTGGGAAAGTCAGGACGCGGGGGCACTCCAGTTGGAAGGAAGACAAGTGGAGGGAGGTTTCTGTCTGAGAGGAAGCAACAAGGCACAAGTGAAACCAGAAGGCAGAGTGGCACATGACGATGAGAACAGGGAAGAAGTCCATGGAAAAGGATACAGGGTCCTTTTCCCAAGCCGACAATTGCAGACGACCCCAGTATTAATGTAAAGGGTCAGTGTAAGGAAGTGGAAGATCATTCCCTATGGACCCAGTTATATCTTCAGAGATTATTCTTGTCCAAAAATAATGAATTCCCTCACTGTGAATTACACACCACCAAGAGGTTCTGGCTTCTTGACTTCGTAAAAATTTCAGAATTGCCTTACAACAATTTTCAAATAACACACCCTGGCCACTCCACACAAGAGATAGGACATGCAAAGGACAGAGCCCTTACCTAGTGGCTGGCATCCTTGTTGCTGATTGCTAACCATGTATCTCGGCTCCGTCTCTGCCACAGGATCCTTCTCTATACAATGATCAAGTGTGCTGTGTATGGACAATTCACAAAGAAATGCCTCAGGGGGGTACAGTGGGCTGGCCCCTGGTGAGGGCTTTGGGTACTACATGCTGATGGTTTTCTGAGTTGAGGCTGCAGGTAAGGGATGGAGCGGGGGCGGGGTGGGGAATCATTTGGTCTTTAGAGAGACTGCAGGAAGTGACGACAGAGAGTGGAGCTTCGAAGGGAGTGTAGGGATAAATAAGAAATAATCTGGACCGGATTCTGATGACGTCAGAGGTGGGTGGGCTCTGGTGGGAGCTGGTGGGACTGTGGGCAGCATCCCTCAGCAGAGAGAAATCCTATCTGTTGGGACATGCTGTGCTCAGGACTGCAGGAAGATCTCTGAGGCAGGGGAGGAGAGTGATCAGGAAACAGAGAGTGGCCCAGATGGTGTCAGCAAGCCCAGGATGCAGACCCCAGGCAGGGCCTGGACCACTTTTCACAGAAGGCTCCATTCAAAACGGGTAATTTTTCTTTTCAAATTGAAAGAATCTGTTGCATATTAAAAAGATGTCCTAGGGTAGAGCTCGTTTGGCCAAATTTATTTCATGGGAGGTCAAAGGAAAGACATGAAATGCCTTGCACATCCTATTAGATAAAAAGCCTCATGGTAATGAGCAAGGAAATGACAGCAGAATATCTTAATCTGGCAGATTTTATTCCACACATTATGTCATATTTGATTTAAAGAGTCAAAAGGTGGAGGGCTAAAAATCAAAATCAACATCTGCACCTCAAATAGAATAAATGGAGTAAGTGCGACACTGGAGAGGTGGTTTTTCTTTTTCTTTTTCTTTTTTTGTTTTGAGACAGAGTCTCCCTCTGTCGCCCAGGCTGGAGCTCACTGCAACCTCCGCCTCCCGGGTTCAAGCAATTCTCCTGCCTCAGCCTCTTGAGTAGCTGGGATTACAGGCATGTGCCACCACATTGGGCTAATTTTTGTATTTTTGGTAGAGATGGGGTTTCACCACATTGTTGGCCAGGCTGGTCTCGAACTCCTAACCTCAGGTGATCCGCCTGCCTCTGGCTCCCAAAGTGCTTGGATTACAGGCGTGAACCACCACACCTGCCTGGAGAGGTGATTTTTCTACATCACTGACTTCCAGAAACCCTTTTCCCTGCAGCTCCAGCAGCTCCGGGCCTGTGTGGCTGACTCTCCTCCCACCTCTCTGGCCCCCTCGCCACATCTCTCAGGGCCTCTCGCTGAAGCTCACCCTGAACTCGGGTTGCTGATGTGCTGCCCTCTCTCGGCACCCTCCCAGCTGGAGTTCTCATCTGCCCCTGTGGTTTCAGTTGTCATATCTGTGCAGACAACACCACCGGCCCCAACTTCTCTGGCACTCTGGCCTGCTGGCACAGAGCAGCAGCCCACTCTATCTGGGGGTCAGAGTGTCACTTCCAAAGTCCTGTCTCCTCCCAGGCAAGCCAGCCTGGTAGGCCCGCCAGCACCCAGAATGGGATCTTCAGAGTCAACATTGCTCCTTCACATCCTTGCCTCCGACATGGCACAATCGGTGGCCCTGTATTTCAGAGGAATGCTTCCAGAGCTTTCTCTGACTTTCACGTAGTCACTCCGGCTTGTTCCATGTTTTGTTAGTTTTCATTTCATGAACATTTTGTAAATAGTGTAATATGGTAAATATTGTGAACATAGACATGAGGTCTTAACTCCTTACCCACACGCCTATTATAATACTAAAGAAAGCATTTCTCTGGCTTATTCAAGGCCAGCAGTTGTGCTTGGCATAACACACAAAAAATCTCATTGTTGCTTCCATGAAAATGGAGATTTATTAGATAGAGGAATGTGTAAAAGTCATGGATTATCAGCACTTAAATGCATGGACAGTGTGGTGCCATTGAAGCGATTGTGAAACATCTGCATGGAAATTTTTGGAAAACAGACTTGGCTTATAAAATCCTTGAATTCAATGTACAAATTCATTTTTCTCTAGACATATCTAGATTCCCCCAGTATTCCAGAAAAAGCCCATCTCTTGAATGGGATAACATATGCAAGTGTTTTGTAAACTTAAAGCACTGTAAATAGATAAATCATTGTTATTAGTAATAAAATTCCCTAATATCATGCAATAATCTAAGTGAGAAGAATAGGGTGAATAATTATATATAATGTCATTCAAATACCAAGAGCTTGTCTTTGCTGGCGAGTGGACAATACTATGTTCTCTTTCTCTTTTTTTCCCTCCCAATTCTCCCCTCTAGGAAAGATAAATCTTGCCAAAAACTGTGATTTGTGTGAGAGCAGTGTATCTGTTATCATGGTCCCATGCGTATCGATGGGAGGCTGACATGCATTTCCACGGCTTATTGGCAATATTCCCTTTAGTGCTGTGTTTTGGAAAGTTAGCTGAGTATTGCTTTAAATTGATGAAATAAGTTGTTGGAGACCACTCTATTTTTTTATTCACTGTTGAAAAGTTGAAGTTAGTTGTTTGCTTAATACTCCAAGCTGATGAGGCATTTCATTATCTTACCACTAATACACTCTAGAAATGGAATCATTAGAGAACAGAAGTCATTGAAATGTAAACATGTGAATAATTTACACTTTCAACTGGTGTTAAATAAAAGGTTTTAATCTAGACAGAGATCTGACAATAAATATTCATTTCTAATTTCCAGTGAGTAAACTTTATCTCTTTCTAAAAGCCTTCTCATTTGATTTTTTTCCTGGAAGATAATGGCAAATTTGACACGGACACATTTGGGAATAAAATTTCCCTCTGGTCAACACAACCATGAAGAGTTATTATGAAAATCAAAATTTGAAATAATTGCAAACATTGTAATTAGTAGCCATTTCAGGATTCTTATGTACTATTACCCACATGGCCTACCTTCCTGGTACAGTTTTCCTAGGGGATGTGGATGAGAAGCAGAGGAAAGGAATTGCCTCTCGACTTGGACACTTTGTTGGATGCTTGCCAGGCCGGATAGGGGCCCACCCCAGAGACAGAAGTTGGCTTGTATTTTACCAGCGAGTGTCCGTGTGGGCCTTGACATAGAGGAAGAGAGTGCGACTTAAGAAAAAGAAACGTTCGAGAGATAGCAATTCACTGAGAGCCAGGGGCACTGCTTACACTTCCAAGGCTGCGGGGGGCTGCAGCCATCCCCAGTGGGAGGCCCTTAGCCACCACAGGTGACACCGTGTGCTGTTCCATCTTGTTTATCCTCCTGCAGGCATTGTAGAACAAGGCCTGCTGTTCTGTTTCTCCTTTTGAAAAGGGCTTTCTTGAGGTGTTACTTACATGCCATAAAATTGACCCTTTCCAAATGTACGGCTCAATTATTTATGAGTATGTTTATGGAGTTGTGCAGCTATCGCCACAATCTAATTTTAAAGTGTTTCCATCACCTCCAAAAGAAACCTCGGACCATCTGCAGACAGCCCTGCCTCTCCCCCATTTCTGTTTACTTTTATATCTACCAGCGGGCATAATGCCTGGGTAGTTGTTTACACGCAAGGTATAATTGTGGGATGAATGCATTTGAATATGTGATGTTCCATGATGGCTTTCAGAAGCTTCTGGAATGCCAGGTCTGCATTGAACCATGTGAGCTCATCTCATCTAAACGTTTCATTTTATATGCACCAAGTGGTTCATGACGGTTAAAGGGTCTCGGATTCAAGCTTAGGTAATCATGGTTTCTCAACCCGAGAGGAGGCACATGTTGCAACAGAGATATTGTGAGTTGGTCGTAGATTCAAGATGAACCCTGAAGGCCAAACCCTAAAAGTGATTTATTGACCACTGTTATTTTATTTTTTTATTTTTTATTTTTATTTTTCGAGACGGAGTCTCACTCTGTCGCCCAGGTTGGAGTGCAGTGGCGCGATCTCGGCTCACTGCAAGCTCCGCCTCCCAGGTTCACGCCATTCTCCTGCCTCAGCCTCGCGAGTAGCTGGGACTACAGGCGCCCGCCACCACGCCCGGCTAATTTTTTGTATTTTTTAGTAGAGACGGGGTTTCACCGTGTTAGCCAGGAAGGTCTCGATCTCCTGACCTTGTGATCCACCCAAAGTGCTGGGATTACAGGCGTGAGCCACCGTGCCCGGCCAACCACTGTTATTTTAGGTGTTGTCCATATGGTTCAAGGACTACGTGGGTTCCTTCCCACAGAGACAGAGCTGCGCCTTGGATTATCTGAGCTATTCCTGGCTGACGTACTCACCGCTGACTTTATACACAAACTTGGGATCTGTTCTTGCCGTTTCATGTCCTCTCCTGTTCTATGCTCTTTATTCTTGGTAGCACTTTAATGTTGTCTCTTTCTTCCATTCCAAAATCAGCTTCCTCTCCACCTGGGGACAGCTAATCCTCAGGCCATGCGCACATCCAAGATTTGACAAGCCTCCGGGGGCATTCCCAGGGTAGGCTGATGCTTACACCAGTTAGAAGGCAGCCACATGTAGCTTCTTTGGATCTTTTCTGTTTAAGCAGATGATGGTTGCTCACGTGGTCCAAAGAGCATTTTCATTATTTGATTCACATAATTTTTATAATCAAAACTATGCAGTTTTCCAAAGAATCCTTTTTCTAATATGCAAACTTTTATTCATATTTCAATACTAGATTATAAATAGATACAATTTCTCAGAACATCTCCAAAGGGGCCATTTACAAGATCTCACTCAAAGAGCAATGTATTATTACAAAGAATTATGCCATTTTCAAAGATATTTCAGACCAGTGGGTTAAATCCTCACATAATTCTCTTGATTAAATTCTGCTGATTAAATCAGTTGTGATTTACCTGAAGGTTATGAACATAAACCATAAAAAGAGAATTTTGATTTAAAAATTGATTATAAAATAATATTCTCCAAATTCCCCATTGATATTTCATTTCAACAAATAAATATATTTGATCTTCATCTTTGTGCTAAAAATCTATTTTATCTTTTCTTGAGTCAAGGAAATATATAATAAAAGTGTGTTGGTCTTAAATACATATATAAAAATCAGTGATAATGTTACATATTAGCCATAATCAGCACACTTAGAAGAAAAGAAATTCCCATTTACAAAAACAATATAGGATATAAAGTACCTCGGAAAAATTTTAGGAAGAATAATATAGAACCAACTGAAGAGAGCTACAAAATTTTGCCAAGAAAAATAAAAATAAGATTTAAGTAAATAGACATACTATGTTCTGGATGGATAGACTTAATATGGTGATTGCTATACATAAGTTTTCTGTATTTGCTTAGGTAAATTATCGAATATTCAAAAATTTTTGGAGCACAGTCTATTTCATCAACATTTAAAAATCTATCAGACTATGGCATTGGAGTCATGTCCTCAGGGTGGCATTTGAATGTCTTCAAGATGCTTCCTGAAAAACCCAAATAAACAAAATAAGGTAGTACAGGGTTAGAAAATTATAGACAATAAAAACTAGATGCAGGGAAACCCCACTGAACCCCCAAATATGGGTGGGTGTGGCCAAAACACCCTCAGTGAAGGCAGAGATCAACAGCATGGCTGGAGGATGCTGAGAGTGCAGGAGCTGTTGTCACCCTGTGCTATGGATGCTGAAATATCCCACAAGGCAGGCACCTCATGCCTCATATGTGGGTCTAGCTGCAGCTGGCCAGGCTGAGAGACGTCCTCTGAGACTCAGAGTTGCTGGTGAGTACAGAGATGGTTGCATTCATGGGCACTGGGGCACCAGGGTGCTGTGACGGCCCGGCTTCAGCCCTCGGGAATCTCAGGGCAACCAGCAGACATTCAGAACACCAACACTAGTGTCTAATAATTAGGTGGTGGGGAAGGGGGACAGGAAAGAGACACAGTTACTATTAATAGTTAATGCCTGTTTTCATAACAGAGAGCCGTTCTCTACCAGGATCCTGGAAGAAATTGAGCCACATAGAAAATGATTTGATTTTCTTCCTTCTCCCCAGGATGGTACTATGTACCATTTTAGATTCTTAAGAGTGATCATTTGGTTATCTAATTGATGCCTTAGGGCCTAATTCTCTTGCAAAATCTGGGTTGAGGTTGCTAGTTAATATAAGAGGAGACTAAGGCTATCATATGAAGATATTAGTAACAAGAGAAACACTAGAAGAAAAATGTAAGCCTGCCTAAACACCAAAATAAATAACAGAATTGTGAAAAAAAGACTCCATAGTGAAAGGCTTTATGTATGCATGTGTCATCATAACATACACATATACCCACCTGCATACTTATAAACATAAGTATCTATAATATTATATCAAACAGTTGAAGGAACTGACATGAAACATATTATCCTGTCAGTAGTTATAGAAGGGTTTAACGCACTGATTTAAAGAAAAGGTGTCTGACTGGCTAACAAAGGAAGCATCGCTGAAAGCTGTATCCAAGAGATAGGTCTAATGCAAAGAAACTGAAAAAGATAAATATTATAAAAGGCTGGGTAAATATATAAATACTAATAGAAAGAAAGCAGATGTTGCAATTCATATAATAGACTAGGTAGGACTCAGGCCAATAAGCATTAAATTAGAGAAAAATGATATCTTATAATGCTAAAGGCCACAATTCACAATGAAAATTTAAAAATTATTAGTATCAATGCATTAGATTACACAGAAGCAACTCTGATATAACAGAAACCACAGAGAGGAAAGAAGAAATAAACCAAGACACGCCAGCATAGGAGAAATAGGCACATACAGAAGGCCAATTTACCCTCTCAGTCCTAGGCAGATTGAGACAGCAAACAATTAGTATGAATAGTACTAGCCTACCATATTCATTATGCAGAAGATCTAAACAATGTAGTGAATAAGGAAGGTTTTATAGATATATTTCAAATTCTGTACTCCTACAACAGACTCCATACCTTCTTTTCAAGTATATAGTCACAAAAAAAGACCATATATTAGCATGTAAAGAAAGCCTCGGTAAATTCCAAAAAGTATAAGTAATACAAGCCACCCTCACTAAGTGCAATAAAACTAGAAATTAATAAGAAAATAAAAAACAACTAAGCACTTCCACCTGGAAAAATAAAACCATCTGTTAAACAACTTGGGTCAAGGAAGAAATAAACAAAATTGCAGAATTTCAAAAATTATAAGGAAAACTCAGTATATCAGAAGCGATGACATACAGCTAAACTAAAACTCAGAGGAAAAAAATTATACTGTTATGAACATATATCACCAGAAAAGAAAATAACTGAAATATATGTAGAACTCAGAAAGCTAGAAAACAACACATGGAGTCAAAAGGAATGAATAACAATGTATGCTGTTCTGTAGATGTGGGGAGAAGACACACCTCTCTCCACATGCCTGGGTGCAGTTGAAAGAGCACAAGCCGTATCTGTGCATTGAGGGTGTGTGTAGAATTCGTGGGGGGTGGGGTATGTATATTTGGTGACTTTTTCCATTTCTTTTGTACATATTGGCATATTCTGGTTTTCTACATTTTCTCTAGTCCACTGTGGAACATTCAGACTTTTGTTTTAAAAAAAGTGTTCATTTAATCAAAAGCTTAAAATTTCAAATTTATTGGTCCAAAGTTATACACCATATTATCTTAAGAATTGGCACCGTGAAGGCAGTTGTGTGGTTTCGTGATTTCTAAGGTTCTTTGTCTCCTTTGTTTTTACTTGGGCGGACGTTAACAATTCTTGGCTACTTTATTGGGCTTTTCTAAGAACACTTTTGTCTTTGTTGTTTGAATCTACTTTTACTGTTGATGTGTTTTATACTTTCTTAATTACTTCTTAACTTTCCCCTTCTTTTTGTATTGTGAAAATCACTTGCAAAAAGTGAAAAAAGCCCATATAAATGTACCTACACTGTCACAAGCTACAAGCCAGAATCTTACCAGCACCTAGAGTTCCCAAAAAAACAAACAACAAAACCCCCCAGAATTTCCTATACATTCCTTCAAAACTCAGCCCCCTCTTCCCTCCAGGGGTAACCACTTTTCTGACTTTCATGATAATTTCCTTGCCTATGTCCATGTCCCTGGACAGGATAGTTGGGTTTTTCCTTATGCTGATGCTTTGAATTTTTGGGTAACTGTCACTGTTCATTTCTGTTACCGTGTAGTCCTCTACTGTGAAAATTACAAGTTATTTGGCTGTCCTTTTGATGACATTTGGCCTTTGAAAAATAGTGCAATTTTTGGCTGTCGAAAATAGTACAACTGTGTACATTCTTGCCCATTATCCTGGTGTTCAGGTGCACAGGTTTCTCCAGGGTGTATACCTCGGAGCAGGACTGCTGGATCATGGGGCATGGTTTATATTTAAATGAACTAAATAATGCCACCTTGGTTTCCAATTATATCTCCGACATGAGTGAGCCCTGGATCCTGATTTCCATCCCTCTTGCTTTGTAGGGTCACCCAAACTGTCAAACCTCTTAGGATAAAAGTAATTTTGGTGTTCTGGGGGCTCAGCTTACCTCCCTGAGTTCTCTGTTTCATTAGATTTTGCACTGATATTTCCTTACAGTATTGATAACTTTTTATGCATTTAAGGAGTATTAAAGTTAGCCGTTGTCTTTAGTGGAAGTGTTGGTCCAAATAATCTGGTATGTAATATGAGAAATGTGAAGCCTCTGTTTTTGTCCTTATTAATTACTTCTTTATATTTACTTGAGATTTTTGAGTAATTTTTCTAACTTCTTGAATTGAATGCTTAATTTGCTTTTTGTCTTTCTTATTTCTGAAAATACATTCAAAGCTCTAAATGTGCCACTGAGAACGGCTTTGCTCGTGACCATGGGTTTTAGTACGGAGTACTCTCATTATTTGAGATTTTTCATTTCGGTTTTTATCTTTGCTTGCATTCGTTAGTTATTTGGAGGTTTTGTCCCGTGCTTTTGAGTATGGTGACATTTTGGGGCCATTGTTTGAGTATTCATTTCTAGTTTTATTGCCTTAGGTTCAGAAAATGTGGTCTCTGTGATTTCTACTTTTGTGGAATCTATTGAGTTTTCTTCATTCACTAAAGCACGGGCATATTTTCAAATAAATATTCCACAAGAGCTTGAAAAACACATAGATTTTCCATTTGTTGTGGAAGAAGCTCTCTTTATATCTCTGTCCAATCAAGCTTTTACATTGATATTCTAATCTTCTCTTTATTAATTTTTCACTTTATAATTTTTTGTGGCATCTTAAATTCTCACCCTATGGCTGTGAACATGTATGTTTTTTCTGCTTTCCTGTTTTTGTTTTATATTATTCAGTTTTACATATTATAGAGATATTTTATTTAGTATACAATATTAGATATATATTCTGTTTTATATACTTTGTTTTATATATTTTGCTGTTATGTTGCTCAATGTGTGAGAGATATTTAACCAAGAGGGATTATACTTTTATATAAAATATAATTCCTTGTCTTAAATTTCCTTTCTGTCTTGATTTTTGGTCTGATGCTAAGTTTCAGCTTCCCCGAATAGACAAGGCACTCTTTAATGATTTCCATTCCTCCATCTTCTATAGGTTGTTAATCTAATATAAAGTTTTAGTTCCATATTATTATCTGCATTACCCTCTCACCTTTTAAAAATACCTACCATACCTATATTATAAATATAATTGTAATTGTAAAAAATAGTATTTTTAAAATTATTTCTTAGATTCGCCATCCTTTTAAAAATTAGATTCATTTTTCAAAATTTGCCAGTATAAACCTTCAAGTTACTCCTCCTCCTCTTCTTTTTTTCTCCTCCTCCTCCTCCTATTTCTTCTTCTTCTTCCTCTCCCTCTTGTTCTTTTTGAGACAAGGTCTTACTTTGTCACCCAGGCTGGAGTGCAGTGCTACCACCACAGCTCACTGCAGCCTTGACATCCTGGGATCAAGCAAATCCTCTCTCCTCAGCCTCCCTGGAGTAGCTGGGACTACAGGCATGCACCACCATGTCCAGCTAATTAAAAAAAAAAGTTTTTTGTAGAGATAGGTTTTGCTATGTTGCCTAGGCTGGTCTCCTGGGCTTCAGCAATCCTCTTGCCATGATCTCCCAAAGTGCTGGGATTCACAGGTGTGAGCCACCATGCCCAGCCTACTCCTCTAAAATGGTTGATAAATTTTCTGAGTCCCTGAATGTCTGTAAATATTCTTATTTTGACAACTGATATTTAGGCTAGGTATGAAATTCTAGGTACAAATTTTTTGTCCTTGTGCTTGACACATTGTTTCACTATCTTCAAGGGCCTATTTTTGTGGATTAGACAGCCGCTCCAATCTAATTTTGTTCCCCCTAGGTAGCTGTCTACCTACACGTAGGGTCTCTAGCTACTTTGAGGATGAATGGAGGAATGGGCTCATTTTTATTTTTATGTTTTGTAGAACTCTTGATCTCTTGATTAACCCTTTCAATAAGATAAGACAAAATGAAACAAAACTCACGACATTTTTCAGCACAGGGAGAATTACTCCATTAATTCTTTATTTTCTCCCTCCATCATCCTGTTTTCACCTGACAAGTCTATTAGATAGGTGTTAGAGCTTCTGAATCAGTCTTTGTTACCTTTCAAATTTTCTCTCACTTTTCACCTTTGTCCTTTTGGACTGAGTTTTGAGAGACTTTTTCAATTCTCCATCTTCCTATTTTGATATTTGGCTTTGTCTTTTAATTCTTATTGAATTTTTCAATCTAGAAATCATATTTTTTAATATTTATAAATTTTATTAGATGAATTAATGGGTATCCTAGCATATTTCTCTAAGCTTGTTAATTTTACTTAAAATTTTCTTGTTTCCATCATTTATCTTCCTTTACCCCTCTATAACTGGTACTGCTATTTCATGCCATTTTTCTCCAATATTTGAATATTCTTAATTCTTCATTTCATAGAAGAGATTATAAGCCAAATAGTATTGATGACTGCAGTGTGTTACCTAGGCAGCGACTGCAAATTCTGATTCTAGGAGCACTGGTGGAGTCCGCTGTTATGCGGAGGACTCAGCCAGGTGAGCTTCTTTTTAGGGAACATTAGCAGCTTGTGAGTCCTCAGGATTCTCATTCTCAGGGGAGTGGCCAGGGCAGTGGTCAGTTATTGGTGGCAACTCCCAGTTTCTCTGGCCTTAGACCACACTTTGAGGACATCTTTCTCAGAAATCCCACTTAAGAGAGCCGTATTACTTACTCTCTTGATTCTGAGGGTTATGAGGCTCAGCTGGGCCATGCTTCTACTCCCTGTGCCATTGGCTGCATCTGCAGCTGCCTGGTATTTCAGCTGAGCTGGAAGGCCCCGTGGGGACGGGCTCAGGATGAGTGGGATCCTCTTTCCCTGTGGACTCTCCACATGTGGTCCCTCTAGGTGATCTCCTCAGCAGGGTAGCTGGATTTCTTCCTGTATTCCATCATGTAATGGAGTCACAGGCCACCCTGGTTGGATGAGGGAGGTGTCTGACAAGGAAGTGAACACAGCAAGCTATGGCTCCTTGAGGACCAGCCTTTAGCTTACTGGAATTTGCCATCAATCAATTTTTATGTGTTCTGTATTTTTCAGAATTTCCTTCCTGTTTCGATCTATTGACAGTACCCCTCTGGTCTTCCAGTATGGTAGTGAGTTTAAAATATATCTATTTCTTCAGTTATTTCAACAGGATTTAGAGAGAGATGAGAGAATAATAGGTCTTCAGTCAGCCATAGTAATTAGAATCCTGTTTTCTAATTTTTAAATAGAAGAACATCGATTCCATTAGTAAGTCAGAAATACAAAACAAATTTTCAGACGTGGTTGTCCTTATAACTTGCATTGTTTATCATTGTCTCTTTTTAAAGGAAAGCAATTGAATGTTTGCACTATTATCTATTTCTTTCTATATTTTTATTCTTTCCTAAATTTTACCTACAAATTAGAGAATTTCATTTGTTTCTTGACTTTTCTCATCATCACTTTTCCAGTAACTACTGTGGCTTCATCCCTTTTTTTTTTTTTTTTTTTTTTTTTTTTGAGACAGGTTCTGGCTCTGTTGCCCAGGCTGGAGTGCAGTGACACAATTATGGCTCACTGCAGCCTTGACCTCTTGAGCTCAAGGGATCCTCCCACCTCAGCCTCCCAAGTAGTGGAGGCCACAGGTGTGTGCCATCATACCTGGCTAATTTTTTAATTTTTACTTTTTGTAGAGATGGGGTCTCACTATGTTGCCCAGGGTGGTCTTGAACTCCTGGCCTTAAGTGGTTCTCCCACATTGTCCTTCCAAAGTGCCGCAGGCATGAGTCACTACACCTGGCCTCATCCTCCTATTTTATGCATGATAACAAAGGTAAGGAACACCATGAATTGAGTATCAAGGTTTTGAAAAGATAGCCTCTTTCAGTGTGTGTGTTTAGCCTTTTTCAGTGTGTGTGTGTGTGTGTGTGTAGTGCATGTGTGTGTGTGTGTTTGGAGGCTTTTGAGATGGAGTTTTTCGTATATACTAAATCACAAAATTAACAATATGATAGATTTTTATTCTTTCTGCAAAGTAATTCTTCATTTATATGTAAGGTAAATGAATTAATTCTCACAGAAAAGCAAAACAATTTTGTTTTATTTCTGTGAACCAAGTTAGCATGAAATTCTAGCTCTTTTTGTAAAGATGGTTTTACCAAACCTCAGCTTAGCAAAAAGTGAATGGAAGTATATCTTTATCAGGGAATCTTGGGAAGACACAGTCATCTCTTAGATAATGATGTCAAAGTATTGAAAATGTGTTTAGATCGATGCTTCTGTGTCTGGGCTGCTGGAGAAGATCCCAGAACCCCGTGGATGAGGGCTAGTATAAATTTATGTCACCTGCCACAGTGGGCCCTCAGAACCACGTGGCGGGCATAGTGTGTGTTTCTCTTACCAGCTAGCTTCCTGGCTCTCCCAAACCATGATTTGAAATGTTCTCCGCTTGTCTCAAATTGTCTTTTTCTTATTGATGAATAAAATCCCCATGTGTTAAGAATATTAACCTTTGATCATATTATTTGCAATCTTTCCCAGATTTATTTGTCCCTTAATTCTAGAAAACATTGAAAACCATCACATCAATCCATATTTTCTTTGTGAATTTTCTATTATTTTACCGTTTTTACATTCATTCATTGCACAAATTCATTGGGGTAAAAAGACTATTATTCTCCTCTTATGGAATTTATAGCCCAAAGATGTAAAAAAAAAAGTCTTATTTTTAAAAATTGGCTTATTTATTTCTTATTTACTCACTGGATTATTTTTATCCATCTGGAATTTATTTTGTTCCATCATGTGCCAATAACCTATGTCAGGTTTTTTAAACACTATTTTCCGAACACTTTTTGCTAACTATGGCTATTTGCATACACATTTCTTTCTCATAATTTGTAACTCTCCCTTTTAGGTGAAAAAACCATTAGATAAATGAGAGGTTTTGACAGAGAGAGTTTCCTTTTATTGTTCTCCCCTGCCCCCTACAATTTCTTAGCTCTTTGTTGCTATTTATTTTTATTATAAATTTTAGAATGATTCTGTCACGTGCCATAACAATCTCCATTGGGATTGTGTCTGCATTCGCATTGGTCTTTTAAATTAACTGGGAAAATATTCATCTTTACTGTATTCAGCCCTCCCATCAATGATCATGACATATTTCTATAAAATTCTTAATATCACCCAGGAAATATCTGTGGTTTCCCATTGAAAATTCTGTATGGTTCTTGCTAGGAGTCATCCTTGCATTTTATGTTCTTGTTTGATCTTATGAAAGTCGTTTTCTCCCATTACATCTTCTAATAAGTTAGGAATTAATTTTTCTATATTCAACTTGTGTTGGCCACTTAACCTGCATATTAATTCTAAGAGATTTTATGTGTGTGCTCACGTTATTTGCAGTGAATGATTTTGTCATTTATAATTGTTTATTGTGAAGTATTTCACATGTTACTTCATTGGATAAATCAGAACAATGTTAAACAGTCATAGTGATAACAGACTTAGGCCTGATTTTAACAGGAATAAAGTTGATATTTTTGCATAGCTCCATGTTATCATCTCAAACGATAATGTCTACCTTATTCATATAGTAAAGAAGTAGAAATAATGCAATTACTGTGAAACATTATATAAATATAAGGTGGTGATGTTATTTATTATTAAGATATTAAAAATGTGAGGATCAGAAGGCGTTCATTACCCTAAGAAACACCCATTTCTCATTTTCATGGATAAACTCAAGATTAGTGCTGACTCTTGAGATGGAGCTTGGTCCCTCCCTGTTAATTATCAGTAAGGGGAGTCATTTCTAGGTAGGCATGGAAAAACCGATGCGAGACCATGCTCACTTATTAAAATATTCTCTGGTTTTATTGTCCAAATTCAAATTCACCTAAGATTCCAAGTCTAATCATCTTCAGAGATAACAACAGAAGGAGTTACTAGAATCTTATCTGGAATTCAGTTTCTGCAGAGCAGTTCCTATGTTTGACCTAGCTCTGGGAAATTGTAGTGGAGTGGGGCTGATTCCAGCCTAGTCTCCCTACTTAATGCTGCGGGATCCTGGAAGAAGATCCTATGGGAATGCAGCTGACCTTCCCGCTTAATTTCATTAACGGAGGCTCGGTGAGCAGGGTGGAAGCACCCCCTGCCCTGCTGGGGCCACCTCGCTGAAGGTGGGTGGAGGCGGCGCTGCCTCCGGGCATATCCATCCACAGGCCACTGAACGGAGAACGGCCTGCACCTTCCCCTCTGATGAGGCTTCTCAGGTACTTGTTAGATTGCTTTGCTCTTCTTAATGCAATTTTTCAGCTACTCAACATATTTGTTCTTGAGCAATTTAGACACCAGTTCATGTTTGTAAAGAAAATATTCCCAGGAAAAGTCTCTGGAGAAGTATCTAGTGTGTGACCGTTTTATGATAAAACGGGGCAGGTGGTCATCAAGCCTTCATGCATAACTGCCCTGCCACCTTTGCAATCTCGCTGGATGCCACTGGCCATGTTGGTAAGCGGGCTACTCCTCTGCTTAAAAATGAGGACGAACTCCCCAGCTTCTTGGCCGAGCCGATAAAGCTAGCAACAATAAAAAGAAACAATGCATAATGTTCATTATACTGCTGTGTGGGGAGTTTGTTTAAGACTTGGGCCCTAAATGGTTTTTAATCCCAGGATGCACTGATTGCGATGATGGGAGAGAGGCGGCCCAGCCGTCAGTTATAAAATCATTGCAAATATGAGCAGAATAAAAAATGGTGAAAGGGATCTTGTTACAGATTCTGTTTATTCCATGAGGATTTGAGGAAAGCAAATAGGCAGTGATTCTGTTTGGAACTTGTTCCTGAAAGATTACCTTTTATGTAGGTAAGTCAAAAGGTTAAAGAAGTAAACAGAATTTAAATACAGCCAGTTTTAGTAGTTTTTCTATTGTTTGACTAACACAATAATAATAATAAAAACCCTGCAGGACCTAGCCAAGAATAAAGAATCCTTAAGATGTAAGAGCTGTAAAATCTTGCTAGGGCTTATCTGTAAAATACCATTTTGATTTTGGGTCTAGAGAAGTGCTTTGGATCTCAAATGACAATAAATCTCTACAAGTCCAATAGTGATTTCTGCCAGCTTGTGCCTGTAATGGACAATGTGGCCGCGTATTATGAAGCCGTGATTAAGGAATTGGGGGAAAGGGTGAGAGTGATTCTGGACTTTATTTTGGCACCTTGCACAGTTCAACGTTACCACAATTATTGGTTTTCTGAAATATGTCCCTATGCATTATTCTGATCAGATTACTTGCATTGCACAATTCTCTGGTGAATAACGGGACAATCGCACAAAATAAATCTCTCTCTGAAATTTAATCTTCCTGTCTGTACACTGTTAAGAAGAACATCTACTGTCCTCTGATAAGGAGTTGTATATCTTCCCTAACTGAAGTGGGTTTTGTTTTTTAATTATTCATAATGGAAATTCACAAACAGGCAAATGACCATGTCGTTGATGTTTATGTAAGGAAGAGGGTGTTGAAATACAGCTTGTGTTCTCACAAGCCCTGTGTGATGAAATTCTAATTTCTTTTGTAAAAATGCCATGGGAGACTGGGTTGGGTGGTTTATTCACAGCTTTACTCTTTCACCCCCTAGAAGTTCCTAGCACTATTCTTTTCAAAATCTGCCTCCCTGTTGAGGTGGTGGAGCCCATGGAAGCATCCCTTGTCACTTGGCACCTTTTCCCCTTCTCGGCTCTGCGAGGCTGCCCTTATTTAGAGGGATGAGCAGATTTCTCTTGAGCTGTAGAATTTCTCCTGGAGAGTGGGGACTGTCCTAGGCAGGAAAACGTGGAATATTTGTGCCAAAGATAGAAGAACGGCCCTGCCTTGAGTTCCTTGAACTGTGGGGCACATTCTTGCTGAAAATGAGTGATGGGGGAAGAAGTCCTGTAAAAATAGGACCGAGCTCACAGCCGAAGCCCTTGGTGTGGCAGGATTTCCTAAAGACCCGCTCTGTAGAATAGCCAGAAAAAAAACACCATCAGGACATTCAACTATCAAACCAGGAGCTCAGCTCCGATGGCCCTCTGTTTATGAGGAAGCATCACATCTTGAAGTCATTTTTTCCTCTCTTTCTAGAAATCATATTGTCAGAATGCTGCCAACCCTCCTGACTTGGGTGTGTGCCTCTTGGAACAGACTCATATCCTGGGGAAGTATCCAGGAAATGTTTATTCTTTATTTCAAACTTAGCTTTTAGAAAATATAGAAGAAAGACACGTTCATTATTAAAGAAAGCAAAGAGTACAAAATCTGTTATATGAAAAGGTTCCCCCAACACCCTGGCCAAACCATTTCCCAGTCGCCCCAGCTCTTCTCCCCAGAGGTTGTCGTATGGAGACCTTCCTCTGGACTCTTACAGGCATTGGCTTTGCACATACACGAGATGAATAATATTATAGCATTTTACATACTCCCTGAACCTCGCTGTTTCTTGCCTAACATATTTTAGACATTTTTTTTTTTTTTGCTTTTCTGTACATAAATTCAACCTGGTGAAAATTAAACCTGCTTAGTATTCCAGCAACCAATTTATTTAACTCGTCCTCCATTAAGACACGTTGTTTCCCATTTTCCATTATTATGAACAAGAGGAAGGCAAGAACAAGGATAATGCTTAAGAGTGTAAGTCCGGTTACAAAAGGGACTCAGTTCAAATCACAGGTTACCACTCACCAGCCATCTACTTATCCTCTTGGAACCCAATTCCTCCCCTGTAAAATGGGAATAAATGAAACTTATGCCACATAGTTGTTGAGAGAATAAAAATCATGCACACAAAGTGAAAACATCAGAACTTTGCAGACAGAAAGCTTTTTCTGTATATTTTTTGGAATAAACAGGTGTGTGTGTGTGTTTGTGTGTGTGAAAAAGAGAGAATTTTTGTGCAATTAAGTGAGTGCATTTGTAAGACGAAGCCTCACATGTAGAACTGCTGGATCAAAGCCTATGTGCACTTTAACTTTTGAGGAATATTGCCAAATTACCCTCCTCAACCAAGGACCCAATTACCCTCCTCAACCGAGGACCCATTCATACTGTTTTGAAGAAGCTTTGAGTGTTCTTTTCCTCATCCGATTGCCAGAACTGGACATTCACTTGCTGGTAAGCCTTCACAAAACTAGAGTTGAAAGTGCCGCTTTTTGCTTTGATTTGCGTTTATTTACTTACAGTGGTTTCATATCTTTGTTGTATTTCTTCTCTCAACAGCCTGTTCATATCTGTGGACATTTTCCTTTTGGGTTGATCAGGTTTAAAGGAACAAACAAGATGTGTATGAATTACTTTTACATTCACAAAATCTCCCTTTTACCTGTCCTAAGGTTGTGAGCATTTCATTTTATTCCTTTTCCTTTCTTTCTTTTTTTAAGAGAGAGGGTCTCATGCTGTTGCCCAGCCTGGAGTGCAGTGGTGTGATCATGGCTCACTGCAGCCTCAACCTCTTGGGCTCAAGCAATACTCGCACCTCAGCCTCCTGAGTAGCTGGGACTACAGGCACGTGTCACCAACGCTCCGCTAATTTTTTAAGTTTTTTTGTAGATATGGGGGTCTCACTATGTTGCTCAGGGTGGTCTTGAACTTCTGGCCTCAAGCGATCCTCCCATCTTGGTGGAGTTAGGATTACAGGTATGAGCCACTGTGCCTGGCCTCATTTCTTTACTGATTTCGTATATGGCACTTTTGCTTTACAGAATTTTAAACATTTTATTTAGTCAGTTATCAGTCATCTACTTTACTTGGCTTTTTTTTTTTACAACAATTATAACCAGTTTAACCATTTTTGGTTTATTAGGAAAAACCTACGCTTTTTAAATAACTATCATGGTTTTATTTATGAAGTTAGGTATTTGGCCCAAATGAAATTAACTGATGAATATATTCAACTGAGTTGAAGCAGTGATCCATTCCTCCCTTTCCCCAAATTGTTATTCATTTGTTCTAACACAATTTATTTTTCATCTTTCTCTCCAGTGTTTGAAGTGGTTACATTATAAGAGGAAAATTATTATATGTATTTGATTAGTTTCTGGATTTCTGTTGCATGTATTTACTTAATAATCCTTTGTCCATATCATATTGCCTTTTAAATAAAAGCTTTTTAGATTATCATGCTGTAAAGTTGAATTTTTTTCTTTTAGTGTAAGGTTTTATGAATTTTAGCATATTTTGTATGTATCAAGTGCTTTAAATAGTGTCACTTTTTCAGATGTTTTGTTAGTGGAGATCGTTCTTCTCCTAAAAGCGTTGCTCGGCTATCTTCCCATACAGTTGTTTTAGAATAATTTTGTTCAATTCTAAAAAAAATCTTGATTTCTAAAAATCTATTAATTTTTGGAGAACTTACTTCTGTACTCTTGGGCTGCGGCCTCCTGTTTATTAGTCTTCTTTTATGTCCCTTCATTGAGTTCAATGTTTTTCTACCGTGCATGTTTCTTTAGTTTATACCTAAGAATTCTCATCTAATTTCTTGCTATTGTGAATGGGAAATCCTTTTCCAGTTTGTTTTGAACTATTTTACGTTGAAAAGAGTTATTAATTTCTGAAGAACAATTTCATAGCCCACAAACTTACTCATGTTTTATTATTTCTAATCGTTCTGGTAACTTGATTTTTCCCCAGAGACGCACCATGTTTTGTTCATCTCCAGTCTGTGTAGTCGTCTCTGATATATCCTGCCTCCCACCTCCCTTCGGTTTATTTTTTGTTCTTACACAACTTGTTGAGTTGGGGACTTGGCTTATTCTTTTTCAATTTTTCTTCTAAATGCACTCAAAAATCTATTTTTCTCCAAATATTGCTTTAGCTATGTCCTATAAGAGTTCCTGTTTTGTTTTTTACTGCTCATTTCTAAGTATTTGGCTTTTAATAATGTATATTAAATAATAGTAGTAAGTAGTAATGAATAAGTAAATAATGATAATTTATAATTACAATTTTCTTTGCCTTTTTGTTTCTCATTTTCTGCCTTCTGTTTGATTGCTCAAGTTTTCATATTCCCTGCTCTGTTGGATTGTAAACATTCTGTTGTTTTAGTAATTACTTAAATTTTTTTGAACACAAATATCTCTATCCTCCTCTAGAAAAATACAAGAACTTAAGACTATATTAGATTTTCTTGTGTTGAGTAATTTCTTTGGTAAGTACTATTACAAAAAATTGAGGAAGAGCAGGAACATTTGTTCTGTTTTTATTTTATTGGTTATGCTTCCAAACATCAGCATTAAGTATCATGATAGCTTTTGATTTTTGGTGAGTGATGTGTGTGTATCTGTGTTGTCTGCATGTACACAATTTAAGGGTGAATCTAGTCAATTTCTTGTTTTTTTTAAATCAGAAAAGAACTTTGAATTTTATAAACTTTCCTTTTGACGTGTGTTTATCAAATGTTCTCCTTTGTCTATTGATATGTGAACTACATTAATAGATTTTCTTGTCTTGAATCATCTGTAAAATAGTGATTGAAATTGTATCTATTTTTTATTCATTCTTGCAAAAAATATTTCCTGTGCAGCAACCATGTGCTATTCCAGGCACCAGGAATGTGCAGAGGAAAACGTCAGCCCTCGCCAAGCTGACATTTGTATGCGTGAGTGACAGACAGCAAATCACGAATAAACAAGATACTGGACAAGCTGCAGAGGTAAATAGCACTATGAAGGAACCAAGAGGGGGATATGAGAGACCTCATGGTATCGCTGGGAGCATTCTGAGATGCTGTGCTCCACACAGAGTTTCATGCTTGTGGGCTTCTTGCTTTGATATCTTGTTCACCTCTGCTGTTCCTTTTGCTGGCATTCTTTTAGTCTCAACTTTTCTGGGTAACTTTTTAAAGATGTTTCTTACATACAGCATATGGTTGAATTTTGATTTAATATAAATACTTTTAATAGGTCAACTTATCCAATTTAAATTTATTGTGTATCTATTATTATCTGTAAAATGATGATTGAAATTGTATGCATCTGTATTCATTCTTAGGTCTTTTTAGAAATTGTCATGCATGATTTTTTATTGTTTCTAAAACATTTTAAATGTTTTGTTTTTTATCTTTGGCTCATACACTCTGTGTGTGTGTGTATATGTATATGACAGAGAGAGAGAAAGGGAGAAAGAGAGTGAGAAAGAGAGTGAGAGGAAGGGGTTGAGGGAGAGAACCCCTGTCTAGCATTTGGAAGGGCTAAAGTTCCTTTTAGTTCTTCTAGTGCTCACTTTTATAACTTTAAAGAAATGCTTACATTTCTATTTCTTGATTGATCAACTCCAAATAGTATTGATTTACCCCAATCTATGAAAGGTGGGAAAATGGATGGGCTTATACTTCTTGTTCTCTCTCCTTGTCTTTGGATTTGCATAGCTATAATTTTAATATTGTTGCTTTTTAAAAAAGCAATATTTACTTGCTGCCTTTACCCCAAAATTCTTGCAATTGCTTTATTTCAATTCCGTATTTAAACACCTTCAGTGCTCACCCCAGTCAGTGAGTTTATTCCCATTCCTACTTTTCTCCTTTCCCTGAATTCCAGTTAGCTTTTATTTATTATTTATTTATTTTTGCATGAAGGGCTCATGTTTGCTATACTGAGGGTGTTTTCTGTTCACTATAGACATAAAGAAACTGGCTGCCTATAAAACCCTTCAGTTACGCTTCTTCCCCTCAAACTTTGGGCCACTGTGTTTCTCAACCTGTGAATGTTTGAATCCCCTGCTTAGGAATCAGCAGAGAGATCTGTTTCAAGTGCAGATTCCTGGAGCCATTGGATCCTCGTGACTCGGAGGCTCTCCGCGTGGGCTTGGGGAGCGCTGTTCTTTCAGAGGAGCTTCCTGGGCTGCCCCTGTGCAACTGAGGTGCAAGAATCTGTGAGGCCAGAGTTGCTCTGTGGCTCCCGGCTCTGAGAGGCGTGTCTGATGTCCCCAGCCCATGAGGATTTTCCCTTTGTTAGCTGATTTCCTCTTTCTGCTTTGTTGTTCTTACAGGTTTAAATTTTTTTTTTTTTGAAATATAATCACTTCCTCTGTATATGTCTTGATGTCCGCAGGCTTGGATCTGGCTTTGGGGATCAGGCCTCGCTTTGGTTTAGGGAAGCATTCCTTCCACTAGGCCGTCGAATAACTTTACCATCCGTGTTCTCTTCTCCTCCTGGTCCTCCTCACCACCGGTGCTCTCTTTCTCCTTGCTCTGAATTATTTTCTTTGGAGCGGTTGGCAGTATCTGAACTTTGTTCATTTTCTTGCCTCTTACCTGTCTTGTACCCACTAAAATGTGAGCTTCCTGTGGGCTGGTGGCTTCTCACTGCTAATGTCCAGGGTCCTAGAACAGTGTCTGTACAGTCGAAGCTGATTATTCAAAGGATGTTAGAATGAACATATGCATAAGTAAATGAGTGAATTTGCCGCATCTGTGTTGGAACTCCTGTGTCTTTCTTGCATATCCATCACCTCCTTATAACCCTTTTTCTCATGGAATTTCCCACAGGCTTGTCCTCTGTCCTCCTGCATTCTTGGCACCTTTGGCTCGCATTCTTGTGGCTTTAATTGTGGTTTTCGCTTCCGTAATAGTTTTATGTTCAATTTTATCCTCTATGGTTATTCTGTATTTTTATCTTTATTCTGTAATGTTTTCTCTTTTTATTTCTTATAGTTTTGTTTTAAGCTATTTCTTCCATATTCCATTTTCTTTCACATTTACAGAGAATTGAAAGAAGGTTTTGCTGGGATAATTTTTTTTCTGCTTTTTGGTGCATTTCTTTGAAGGCACACACTTTGTGGGACTTTTCCCTGAAAGGTCCCATTCATCTCTTCGGTCGCATCTTTGCAGGCCTTCATGGGAAGAATATTGTTCACCTTTGGCTGGGGACAGTTCTACCAGGCCCTGCTATTTACTCAAGAACAATGCAAAACAGGCCAAGGAGCATGCGTCCACAGAACCATCACCCGGTTTCACATCCATTCCACATCACCCCTGATATGGTTTGGCTGTGTCCCCACCCAAATCTCATCTTGAACTGTAGCTCCCATAATCCCCATGTGTCATCAGAGGGACCCCGGTGAGGTCATTGATTCACGGGGGTGGGTTTTTCGTGTGCTGTTCTCATGATAGTGAATAAATCTCACGAGATCTGATGGTTTTATAAAGAGCAGTTCCCCTGCACACACTCTCTTGCCTGCCACCATGTAAGATGTGCCCTTGCTCCTCCTTCACCTTTGGCCATGATTGTGAGGCCTCCCCAGCCATGTGGAGCTGTGAGTCCATTAAACCTCTTTTCTTTATAAATTACTCAGTGTTGGGCATGTCTTTATTAGCAGCATGAGAACAGACTAATACACCCTCTGCCAGGAGCAGGTTTCTTACCTTTCCTGTTCCTCACTTTGGCACGGCTTGGTGAGTCTCACAGGGAAGCTCACACCTCTTTTGCATTGTTGATTTTTGTTTAACATCTCTGGTGGGTAGCAGTGAAGTCAATTGTTGTTTCCCTTCTCTCTTACATTTATTTCAATTCCAGGCTCTGCCTTCAGGTGGGTCTTGGAAAGCTGACCGTGTTTCCCTGGAGCCCCCATTTCCAGCTCGGCCTTCCTTCATTCTGCTTCTTCCCAGGTTATTCAAGACCTTCTCATTTTTTCCCGACATCTGTCCCCTGTTCCAGCTCTTCAGAGATGCTCTGGCCCAGGTGTCCACCACAGATGTGGTCATGCCTGTTACCCATCATCTATGATTTGAGATTGTGATCATTTCCTACCTTCACTGAAACTGGAGTTGATATTCCAGCTTTTTTGCTTACTTCTGATTGGTTTCAGAACAGGAAGCCTGACATCCTTTTTGCTGAGGCCACTTTGAAAACAGTGGAGAGTCCAGTGGGCTGCGTTCAGTTAGACCCGGGATGCGGCTCGGCCTCGTTCAAGTGCACCGCACTGTAGATCCACGTGTCCCTGAGAGGTTCTTACATGACTTCGCTAAAATTGGAAAGAAGTTACAGCCAGCACGAGCATAGTGTTTGTAATGATTTGTTTTGAGTAACTTGCTGGTACTTCAGGATTCCGCAAATGCTGATAATTTGTGAATAACTGCTGGAGGCAGAGAAAACCAACATTTAATGGATACCTACTAGGTGATGATTGCTTTACATCTGTTATCATTCAGTTTAATCTTCACGACAGCCCTACTAGCTGGGATCATCATCTGCATTTGGTGCATCAGGAAACTTGCTGGAGGCTGCCTTCCCAGTGGGAATGTGCTTCTGAGGCAAGTGCCAGTTCTGCTGTACCCAGAGGTCCTCTGTGCAGAGATGTCTCCATTTCCATTCCTTGCCTTTCTTGGCAACATTTGGCCTTGGCAGGGCCTAGGTGAACAAAAAGTTTTCCATTGTGTTCATCTTTATGGATGTCTTGACACAGAGGTTGCCCAGGGACCTTACCTGTGGGTTAAGGCTGTGGGACGGAAAGGATTGGCGCTGCAGTTAAAATCAGGTGCTCAGACCTCACCTGCCTGTTGTACCATAGGGAAAACTGCTGGCTATGTGAACAGGAGGGTAGAGAGGAGGCACCTTATGCATTTAGATCCCCCGGGACCCTTTTATGTCTCGCCACAGGCTGCATCAGTAGCTCTTTGGGACCTTGGACAACTATCACCTTGCCTGGCTGTATAACCTTCACTGTGCACAGAGGGTGCTGGCGTCCTGAGTGCCCTCATTGCTACCGTGCACAGAGGGTGCTTGCGTCCTGGGTGCCCTCACTGCTGGCTGAATGGTTAATGAATCCATGACAGAGTCAGCAGAGACTGAATTCACAACACACACCTTTGAAGACTCATGTGTGCTGTGAGGACTCTGCCACCTTTAAGTCTACAGTGAGGGACTCATTACGTTTGCTTAAGACTTGGTTACAGGTGGCCACCATAGTTGTGGTCCTACGTCTTTCTATGAAAAACAGTGAAGTAATAACTACAACCTGCTTTCAATTTGTTTCGTATATGTGGGATGTTTCCCCCGAGAATAGCTTTTTTACTTGAGGAAGAGTTCAAGAGGGTGGAAGGAGATGGGTAAATTGTAGGCAGTCATCTCCCCCACCCCCAGAAGCCCCGTCCTAATCCCTGGAACCTGCGAATATGTTACATTACATTATTCACATTACATTACATGGTGAAGGGGAATTAAGGCTGCAGATGGAATTAAGTTTGCGAATTCCCTGACTCTATAATAGGGAAACGAGCCTGGACTATCCAGGTGGGCCCAATGTAATCACAGGATACTTGAAAGGGAAGAGGGAGGCAAAGAGGCCTCAGAGACATGCCACGTGGGAGGGACTCAGCTCAGCACTCTGGCTTTAAAGATGGAGGAAGAGACTAGGAGTCAAGTCACACAGGAGGTAAAGGCAGGGACGTGGATTCTCTCCTGCAGCCTCCTGGAGCAACGCAGCCCTGCCAACGCCTGGATGTTAGCCTGGTGAGAGCCATGCCGGATTTCCAGTCTGTAGAACCATACGGTAATAAGCTCGTGTTGTTTTTGGCCAGTTAGTTTGTGTAACTTAGTACAGCAGCAATAGGAAACCGATATGTAAGTGAACGTGCAGTTTGAAGGAGCTGGGGTTGGCGTTGAGTTTGTCCACTCTCACTTCCCACGTGGGACAAGTACTGGTTGAGGCCTTCCCTGGGCTGGCCTGGACTGTGAGTGAATTATCTGGGCTTTCCTCTGAGTTTAGGAAGGCTTCTCAGTTACTGTTGCTTGTTATCCCCCCAGTCGGGAGGGGAAGAAACCAGCATGGAAGAGCATCAGTTGCCTTGGTAGGGAAACTACCAACCGTGTTGAGAAAATGAAAGAAAAGCAGTTCAGCTCATTTGTGACTATTTAGTCTCCGATAAAATCGCAGAGAACTGTTTGGGTGGTTTTCAGCAGCAATTGGATAAGGATTCCTAAATAGCCTCCTTTGGTCCTTCATTTGAGATTCTACAGGCATTTAAAAGTCTTCTCTGAATGTGGAATACATTCACATTCTTCACACAGCTGCAGAAGTGTATTAGCATTTTTGTTTTGCCTTCAAAGTTCCTTCTTGACCAGCTAATAATGATAGCGGTTCAGCTGAAGGAAAGTACACATGCACACACGCACACACAAGCATACACACCCCTCCATGCACACACCCCTCCATGCACACACCCCTCCATGCACACCCCCCATGCACACCCCCCATGCACACCCCCATGCACACACGCCCCTATGCACACACCCCCCATGCACACACCCCCCATGCACACACCCCTCCATGCACACACCCCTCCATGCACACCCCTCCATGCACACACCCCTCTTTGCACACACCCCATGCACACACCCCTCCATGCACACAGTCCCCATGCACACACCCCACCCACTCCCACACACATGCAAGCACACACATATGCATGCCACACATATACATGCACATATACATGAGCACATCCACACAGGCACGTGGGTGAATGTTCATACTTGTAGGATTACCTGTGCTTTGTAATTTAGTCAGAATAGCCTGCTACAAATATTTTTAAATTTCAAACTTTTTTTGTTCTTACTGTGTGCCAAAGTGCTGATCAAGTGACACTTAAATGTGTCATTTCGGTTAATCCCTAAACTTTTATAAAATAGATAACATTATTATGCCCACTTTGCAGGTGAGAAACTAGCCTCCAGAGTCTAAGTAAGGTTGGTGTAGGGGAATCAAGGCTGTGGATTAAATTAAGGTTGCAAATTCCCTGATTCTGAAATAGGGAAATGAGCTTGGACTATCCAGGTGAGGGTGATGTAATCACAGGGTCCTTAAAAGGGGAAGAGGGAGGCAAAGAGAAATCAGAGATGCCACGTGGGAGGGACTCAGCCCAGCACTCTGGCTTTAAAGATGGATGAAGAGACCAGGAGCCAAGGCACACTGGAGGAAAAGGCAAGGAAGTGCCTGGAAATGCCTGGTCTGTGTGACTCCATTGTGAGCTCCTACTGGTTTTGTGCTCATAATGGCCAGATAGTTGGGTTTGCCCCCTGGCTCTGCCACTTTTTAATAAACGCATGACTGAAGGCGAGTTGCTTAGTCTTTGTGTTCTAGTTTTTTTGTAGAAAATGGATATGATAATAGTACCGACCGCAGAGTGTTGTTTGTGGATTAAATGAGAATGCAAATCAAGCTCATGGAACAATGTCTAGCATCTAGGACATCTTCATAAAATGTTAGCAGTTGTTTTCACTGTAGGGCTGACTTTGTAAACTGTCATGTCACCTAGTGTACCAATGAGCCATTCGTGAAAGTTGGACAAAGCTTGTTTATGTCAGTCTGAGTTTCAAATAAAACAAAATGAAAGTCAGTAGATAAATGGACATTATAATAGCTTGCTTTTTTTATTCCTTAACCTGGTCCCCACAAAAACCTTATAAAGTCAGTATGACAGTAATTACTATATTTTTGTTAAAGTTGTGAAAACAGGCTCAGAGAGCTAGCAGGACTTGACCAAGTTTAGACAACTACCAGGTAGGAGAGTCAGATTCTCTGCTACCAGATTAAATGATGACTCTTCATCAACACTGTCCATCCATTCCTCTTTTTATCCATCCACTCACCCAACTGTCTAGCCATCCACTCATCCATTCATCCATCCATCCACCTGTCTATCCATCCATTCATCCATCCACCCACGAACCCATCTGTCTGCCCATCCACTCATCCATCCATCCATCCACCCACCCACCCACCCACCCACTATCATTTATCACTCAATGTGCAAAGCAATACACGGGCCACATACTTCAGAAGTGAGCATGGAGATGCACGTATTTATTAGATCTTGACTCAGTGGACTCTTTCTTATATGAGTATAATGACTTGAGTAGGTTTTCTTCTCCTGGGTCATCTTTAATTTGTGCTCAGTCATTTCTGCGTGTTTTTCTTGAACTTAGTCAGGAAGCATGTCTGTTTTAATGTAATACTATGAGGCCTTAATGCTTTCTGTTGGTGGTGTGAAAATTGATGCAGAGAATTTAAAAGTTTTATTAGTCATTGAATATTGTCATGAATTTAGAGAGAAAAGTGTAATGAGCCCATCTGACTGGTGTTTTGGCGATTGTCACTTGTGGGTGTGGCTAGACAGTCATTTTTCGAAGGCCATGTGGGGGTCTCAGGCCTGATCTCTGACTGAGCAGGTGCAGAGTGCCTGCTCCGGGCTGCAGCCTGCACAGAGAAACCTCAGATGTGTGCAGGAACAGGGGAGGAAAGCATGCCAAAGCTGCGAGTTGTCAGTTAAGGGGAGAGACGCCACTGACTATTGACAACTCCTGTTTCATATAGATGCTTCTCGGCCTTTGCTTGAAAACGTTTTCACTCTATTTGGGTTTCAAGAACTTTCTGCATGAAATCTCCAAACTGAGATTGTATGCATTATTATAGCCGGCTTTGCAAATTAGCATATCTTGCAGACATATTAGCTCATTAGGACAACCTACATCCATCCCTAGAAGGCGAGCGTCAGCTGCCATCAATATTCCACTCGCAGGCGAGAGAAGGTGGTGACGGGAAAGCTGGAGGAGGGCTTGTACCTGTGTTGGCTGACTGAGACTCTTTACCCTCTTTAGAGGACCTGGCTATGAATGCATCTGAAGGACTTACTGAAAATATTTTGAGCTTTATGAAAATGCACTTGAAAGACTTGATAAAAGTCTCCCCGACCCAGAGGGGAGTGGGGAATGCACAGAGAATACCCGCTCATTGCCGTGGACTTGGCCACCCCACTCCATTCAGAACAGAGCCTGTAGATTATTCCTGTAAGTTACTCACATCATTCTGGTTAAGAATTAATTCTCAGAGTCCAGCATTACCGTGGCCAGATGCTTAAATATTTCTGAGAATGTAAAAGCATGAATTGGATAACAGAAGTACATTTTGAAGGAATGGTTCTCAAGGTTGGGTCCCCAGACCACAGCAGCATCAGCCACACCTGGACGTTTATTAGAGAGATGCACATTCCAAATCTCACGCCAGGCCTAATAAATCAGAGATTCTAATGGGGTTTGGGGCCAGCCCAAAATATGTTTTTATAAGCTGTCTGGGGGATGCTACCTGTACCCTTGAATTTGAGAACCAATGACTCAGGGGAAACAACAGAAAACTGAATAGCCCTTCATTCATAGCTGATCATAAAGAAGTCTGTTCTTTTATTGAGGAAATTGTTTTTAAGTCAATTAATTGGATTTATCATGGCTTACATTTTATCCTTTAAAATTTAAATTTTTAAAATATAGTCGAACTGTTTTATATTCATTATGATCATTTTACAGATACCTTCTATTTGTATTGCCTTATATTTGACATTTCATTATGGTGGTAGTAATAACTTTATTCAAAAACTATTTTGAAAAAGCAAATTATTAGATTGTAATAGTATAGCTGGTACTATTTATGTCTTACTCTTTTTAATATTTTCTGTAGTGAATGTATATTACCTTTGTCATCAGGAAACAATATGTATTCTAAATATAAGCAAATCAATAGGATTTAGAGTGTGCTGCTAGGTGGATAAAGGCGATAGAATGCTGATGGGAGGTGGATGCTTCTAGTGTTTTTTCCGTTTTTGTAATTAATGTTTGACTGAATCACTAATGGCATTTTAGCATAAAAAATGGAATGTGGGACTACTGCCCTTCAAAACCTTACTGGAAATGAGAAATCTAGAAGCTGTGTTGATGGAATGGATTTTTAAAAATTGTATTTATTTTTAAAGTGACATACAGTAAAATTTATTCGCTATGGTTTATAGTTCCGTGAGTTTTACAAATGCTTAGTCACGTAGCTACCATCACAATTAAGATACAGAATAATTCCATCACCCCCTGAAACCCCTTTATCGTAAACCCCTTTCCCCATCCTCCACTCCTGGCAATCACTGATCTGTCTCTGTTCCTCTAGTTTGGTCTTTTCCGGAATGTCGTATGAGTGGAATCGCACCTGCTGCAGCCTTGGGTCTGGCTTCTCTCCCTGTTTGTTTCCGTTTATTGCTGAGTGGGGTTCCATTCTATAGAGGGACCACAGTTTGTTTTCTAGTTGGTTTGTTTCTAGTTTTTGGCAATTGTACATAAAGCTTCTATAAGCATTCAGGTACATTTTATTTGTGTAAACTAAGTTTTCATTTTTCTTGCGTGAAAACAGGATTGCTATTGCTGGGTCTCATGGTAAATATATGTTTAACTTTATAAGAAACCACCATCCTCTTCTCCAAAGTGACTGTATGATCTTGCATTCCCACTAGCAATGTATGAGAGTTCCAGTTGATTCACATTCTTGTCAGCACTTGGCATTGCCAGTATTTTTTATTTTGGCCATGTTAATAGGTGTATCACAATTTTAACTCTCATTGCCTTAATGGATAATGATCTGGAATATTTCATTTGCCATTTGTATATCCTCTTTGGTAAAGCATCTGTTCAAGTTTTTGTTCATTTTTAAAATTGAGTTGTTTGTTTTCTTGCTATTGAGTTTTGAATGTTCTTTATATATTCTAGATATAAGTCGTTTATCAGCTATGTGATTTGCAAATACTTTTGCCAAGTTGGTGGCTTGTCATCACACTCTCTCGAGAGGGAATTATTTCCTCGCATGTCCTTAGTGGAAATAAGCAAAGACCATGCATGGAAGGACAAGCAAGCGATTCCTTCAGACCTTGCTCTGGCAGCAGAGGTGGCCATCGCCACATGCCTTTGGCAGAGACTCAGAGACAGGCAGCAGAGTGGGACGCTTCTCAGCGGAACAGGGGCGGCTTCTGGTGTGCCCTGGGTGAAACACTGGGGAAGATCGGGGTGGGTGGGGGCTGTCTGGAAGCAGAGCCTCCAGTTTGACTGATATGGGTGCATATTTGGCTTTCTGCATTGGTTTGGAGTTGAGTAATTTTTGGAAGCTAGCAGTTGTTGACCAAGTCCTGACTGCTCTGAACTGGTTGCTACAGAGGGCGTGGGCCACAGTTCTGCTGTCATATACGGCCTGACCACCGTTGGTTTGTTTCTTCACCTTCATCTTATTTAAGGGAGCCAGTATAGCTTCTATTGCCAGTCCTTGCATAAGCACAAAGCGTGTGGATCAGAGCCGGGGATGTCAGGAAACATTGCAGGTGAGGGTGGGGTGGGGCTGAGCTGGGCTGAACCGGGCTTCTCTAGGGAATATTTGGGACTGGGTATGGGTGTTGGGTGTTGAGGTGCATAGAGGTTCAAGGACCAGAGAGTTTCCGGTCTCTATCAATACGTCAGTGACCACAGCATCCGCTGCTGGTCCTGGGGAACCTGGCAGAGCTGACCCTGTGACTCCACCCACAGGCCCCGGTGTGCTAGCAGCCCTGGGCTGGCATCCCCTTCAGAGGAGCCCGAGGCTTGGCAGACAGGAGCAGTTTACTTTTCCTTTCCTGTGGCCCATGCCCATGGGGTGAAGGTCACTTCTACCCTGAGCCTGGCCTAGGTGAGCCTTGGCTTTGCCCAAGACCAAGGCGGGAGAGAATCCTGTAGAGGGACCCAGAGCAAGCCCAAGCTCCGGTGTCTGTAGGAGCGGGTGGCACGGACATCCCTGTGCTGACGTGGCCGTGGCGCACACCGGGCACTTGCTGCTGTCCAGGCAGGTGTCCTGCATGCGGCCAGGTGCCTTGTCACCTTTGTCCACTGGGCTGTGACCACCTGTGACTGGAGTCACTCAGTGTTTGGCCACAGGAAGTGGACTCTGGCAGCTGGCAATCAATATTGCAGAAGTGACTGCCTTTTTGCATTTAAAATGGCATCCTTCAGTGGCAGGGACTGGCAGTGTCAGTGCAGATCTGTGCAAATGCGGGCCACCAAGCTGCCAGCAGGCTGGTGGGTGACAGTGGATTTCAGAGGAGGCTACCGCCCAGGCTACTGAGCAGCAGGTCCTGTCCCCTGCCTTTTTCCCCTCTTCTGTCCCTACCAGGGTTGCTATGGGTCCCTACCTTTCTTTATATTACTTCTCCCAGAATACCTGGGGCATGTGGGTAGATTAGACCTGCTTCTAAAATGAATAAAATTCTTGCTGCCTGTGTGATTTTAGGGAAATATTAGCTTAAGATTTTGATACCTTCCAAAATGTGAATTCTTCTGGGATGATTACACTAAGCTATTTACACCTATAGTAAGAATGAGCACCAAAGCCCTTCCCAAGGGCCTCTTTTGATACAGGAAGCCTGTGGAGGTGACACGCTGGGTGTAGGGGGTGTGGGTGAGGCTGGTGGGGCTTGAGACCTCAAGACACAACTTGTTCTGGCCTCATGGGTCAGTTGGCTTCCTGAAGGGGCAACTGGTAAGCAGGAGGGGACCAGAGGGAAAGCTTAAGATGTTTGGGGCACTGCGTGTTGTCTTGTACAAAAGCAGCCTTCATTTGTTTCTTCTAAGAAACAAATGGGGCCTGGGGGAGAACGGTGTTGTGAGGAACAGGCTTGGGAATCTGCAGGCCTGTTGCCTCCACAGTGATGTCCTGGGGTCCACCTGCACTTCTTGGCTGTGTCTCCACAGACCCCTTCTCCTGCCGGCACTCACCATTGTACAAGACAAGGGAGATGAATCTGGCCAGGCTGCCATTTCTGTTTCCTGAAGTCTGCAGCATCTCTCACAGCCCACAGGCCACCTTCCCCGTTTTCATATGGGCATTTGTCACTGTTCAGTATTCCATCTTAACGTGGATATTTCATTTTTCTTATCAATGTTTACCACTAGGGCAATAACATAAGAGGAACACCCGTAGTGGACACGGTTGGTTTGAGTCTCATGCAGTTGGGCTTGTAGTTTGTTTGGTGCTAAAGTTGCTACAAGGCACTCAAAGTGTGGAATTCTGGGGATGCTTTGGTTTCCGTGTTGTTGTGATCTCTGCAGGAGCCTGTGTCCTGGGAGCCGGAAGCTCTTTGAAAACAGCATGAGGATGAGGCTGCTGGAGCAAGTGTGATCGTGGCACCAATGAGCAAATCTGGAGGCTCCCCAAGTCTCTGAGCACCCCATCTTATAAAGCTCCATTCGCAGCTCCACAACATGCGCTGAAACCAAAGCCACGTGCTCCGAAAGTGAAGAGAAACAACCGGCTAGGCTATCTGATACATGGAGATACAACCCCAGAAAGTCTATTCCTTTAAAAACAAGTGGCTGTCTTGCCCTTGGGTGACACACATTGAAGGGACTTGCCTATCTTCAAATGATTGCACGATTGTGGCAACACATTAGAAGTTGGTGAACCGAGCTGAGGAAACTCCCTGCTGCTCTGCAGCCCCCCATTCCGGGGGACTTCACGTGGGAAGCATTTTGGATGGCATAGAAGTGCTGCTTGGACCTGCTGTGTGGGTGAGAAGCCCACGGCAGTGCTTCTAGTGGGGTGCCAGTTCCTTGCCCACTGGTCCACATGGGGGCACTTGGAGAGGACTGTGGTCTCAGTGGACCAGGAGCTCTAGAGACAGTGCTCCTCCCCTCTTCACCTTGTGACCCAACGCTGCTAGTGGGTTCCCTACAGCCCAGCCCAGGCCAACGTGGGCAGGGACTCCCTTCGGGCATGCCGCTAGCTGTTCCTGGCAGCCTTCAGCCTCTGCTCCATTCTCCCTCTCCACCCCAGCCTGAGCCTTTGCCCTGACACCATAGACCAATGGCCTCTGGTCAGTCGCTGACGCCTGGGGCCCCTGGCCATCTTGTCACCTGCAGCCTCTGGCTCTCTCTCTCAGCACTGCTTCTCCATGGACAGATCTGATGGGCAAAGGTGCGTATGTGGCTCAGTGTCTGAGCTTCCCTCCTTCCTACTGCCAGCCTTCCTGTGCTCCCTCCATGCGGCTCCCCGATCCCTGCAGGACCCAGTGGGAAGGTTGAGTGGTACCAGAAAAGACTGGAAAGAAGTGCTAAGTCACCAAGAGGAAAGGGCCCGTGAGGGGGCGTGGGTGGGAATGGCACCTCACTTCCAGGCCAGAGATTCCCACTCAGAATTTAATGGAAATGAAGTCTCCAAGAGCTCAGTGCGTGTGTCCATCCCTTTGCATGCACACCTGTACCCCAGCAGGAGAGAAAGGCCAGAATCCACCATCTGCCCGTAAGCATGGGGACAGTTGAAGATGGAAAGGCTTCAGATCTGCCCCCTTCTCACTGCCTGCTGTCCTGCACTGGGCAGGGTTGCTGTGCTTTAATTTTTCCCAGGGCTAACCCCGGTGGCAGCCCGAGCATCTCTGAAGGCCACGACGCCTCTGACCCCATGGGACTCCGCGGCGGGAAAGCGCTAGTGTCGCGTAACAGAACGATCTCACAGCGCATCGGATTCAGATATTAATGGCTTTATTCTGACTTCCTGTTCTTATGCACATGTATCTCTTTTCCCTGTAGATCTTCTGTTTGGCTGGATGGCTACTTTGACTGCCAGATTCAAAGAGAAAAAGCCCATAAAATTCACAAATGCGCAGTCACATGTCTAGTTTTTGCTCAGCCGCATCTAGAGAATGACTTAAATGTGGGCACTGGGGCCTGTCTTTGCTTTTTGATTGTTTAAGACTCAGAAATGCCCAGATTTTCAGAGCATAGAATTGTCCCAATTCAAAGTATAGTATGAAGGGACTGGGAATTTGGTTAATGAAAATAATACATCTCAATTTAATTTTTAAAACGTATGTCTCCTTTTAAATAAGGACTCTTACTATGTATGCATTACTGAGGACGACATGATGTACATCGGCTTACAGAGAGCGAAATCTTCTGTTATGTTAACCTTCATGCTGTTTCTTTTCTCATCTTTTACAAATCCTAAATTTGAAAATCCCAGCCTGCGATGATGGCTGCTGGGAAGGCCGTGTGTGTCGTTCCTCTTTGGGATCGGGTGGTATGAACGCCTCCGTCTGCACCCATTGTCCAGGGGCTTCGATGACATTGGTTACAGCTCCTGTCCCCACATTGAATGTGGATTCGACAACTGCAGGAAGGTGCCTCCCAGGATTCCTGGATCCCCTGGATGCTGGGTAGATGAGCCTGTGTCTCCCTATAGAAGTCTGAATGTTCCAGTTTGGGAAAATGGTGCCTCGATTTGGTTGCCTTTGGATTTGAACAGTATTCTATCATGCTCAGTGTCTCTACTTAAATGTGGATTTAAAATATTTCCCCCTAAAATATATCTTTATTTTATTCATAGTGCAATAAAGCACTGAGTGTTTGGAAAGACTCAAACTTCTGGGAGATAAGCTGTGTATCCTATAGTTTGGTCTTACTGAGAAATTTTTAATTTTTTCCTCAGCATCAAACATGTTGTATTTCAGTCCTAAAGGGATAGGTTAGACTATTCAAAATACCAAATATTTTCCTAGGAAAGGTCACTTAAACACAACTTCTAAATGCAGGCAACATCCGAGTGTGGTGGTTCACGCCTGGAATCCCGGCACTTTGAAAGTTATGGCGGCAGGATTGCTTGAGCTCAGGAGTTTGAGAGCAGCTTGAGCAACATAGAGAGACTCTGTATCTATAAAAGATAAAAAAAATTAGCCAGGTGCAGTGGTGCATACCTGTAGTCCCAGCTACTTGGGAGGCTGAAGCGGGAGGATTGCTCAAGCCCAGGAGTTTGAGGCTGCAGTGAGCTATGATTGCACCACTGCACTGTAGCCTGGGTGACAGAGCAAAACCCTGACTCTCAAAATATTTTTTTAAGTAATAAATAAGTAAATAAATTTCAGACCACTGTCATGAATGACATTTTAGTGCCATGAAGGAAAGTTTTCGTTTCATCCTTCATTTCCAAACCTCAAACCCAGTGAGGACCTTACTGCCCAATGCGGGAAAATAGACCAGCTGTGCATTGATTTGCACAGCACACTGTAAGTTGCACAATTTGCTTCTGTGATTTGGTAATATTCACAATTTTTATTATTTTCATCAATTCTGAATCAAGACCGGAGGCCCCCAATTCCCTATTAGTGAAACCCCACATGTAAATTGGGTTTCAGATGTGGCCTGTTTGCCCCAGCAGGGCTGATTTCTGTATTTTGGTTTTTAGTCCATATCATTGCTTACAGGATGATTATTCAATAATTGTGAAAACTCTTCCCTGTAGCATAGGTTCTCAAGATGTCCCCCAGCCGTGGGCCATGGATGGAAGCCTGTGATCATGCCCATCCCTCTTGTAGCTGGTCCAGGTGATGCCAGAGTCAGTCTGGGCTCTGTGTAGTGCGGGACTCGGCCCCACAGTGCATCGAAAGACCCGCTGGGATGTGCATGCGACAGCAATCGCCGCTGATGTCATGTGATGTCATAAGGGACTTTTTCCAATAGCTTTTTCTTCTGATTCCCTGACCATCATCTCTGTCATTCGCTGGTGACCAGGTTTACAAGCTTCTCGCAGGAGTATGTCTTGATCTGCGTCTGCTGTGAAAGCTGTCTTTCTGAAGACTGTCTCTATCGTTTAGGTTTCTCCTCCACTGATGTCTCCATGCCATCCATTGAACAAGTTTCACCGCAGTTGCTGGATACCAGTGATATACAGATTGGCTGGTCAATAAAAACAAATTCTCACATAGTTCTTATCTTACTTCCTAGTAGGTCTTGACTTTTTTTTTTTTTTTGGATGCTTGTAGAGATTGTCACCTGCCACAGATTCATTTTTCATAATGTATATTCTTATTGGAGTCTTATTCATTATTAATATTTATTTATTATTTTTACTGAGACTGAGTTTCACTCTTGTCACCCAGGCTGGAGTGCAATGGCTCACTGCAACCTCCACCTCCTGGGTTCAAGCGATTCTCCTGCCTCAGCCTCCAGAGTAGCTGGGATTATAGGCACCCACCACCACGCCTGGCTAATTTTTGTATTTTCAGTAGAGACGAGGTTTCACCATTTTGGTCAGGCTGGTCTCAAACTCCTGACCTCAGGTGATCCACCTGCCTTGGCCTCCCAAAGTGCTGGGATTATCGGCATGAGCCACCACGCCCAGCTCATTATTAATATTTACTATGTTGGAGTATTTTCTTAACATTTAAAAATTAAAATATTTCCTAAAATATTTAAGTATTTATTCAATATTAAAAACAATGTATTAAAATTGTTTTACTTTTGAGCCATTGACCCATTTTGGGTGTTGGGGAGAGAACACAGCCTAACTATAACTAATATGCATATGATAAATGTAAACAACACACAAATATTAGGAAAATATCTGAGGCAAGGTATGTGCACTATTGAATGTCATCTGAGAACTGACCAATGAGATTGTTCCAGTGCACTTATTTTAAGAACATACCAATTATGAAAACTTAATGAGAGTTCTATGAAAATCATAACTTATAAAACATTTAAGATATGTGAAATGTGTGTATAAAATAATTCCATCACTGTTTCATCTTTAACCACCAAACCATCACCTGATAGCCGTTCACCTGATAGCAGCAAGAACAAGCAGGCCAACACACTCCACATTGGTGAGATGACATTAATCCTCCCGGTAGCCTTCATGGACGTTGATACTATCACCACTTATAGACAAGACCAGTGATGCCAGCTGGGGTCAAGGAGCAGGGGAGGGCAGAGCATGCACCCCCATAGCATGCTGCCTTCCTGTAGAAATCCTAGCGGACCTTAGGGACCTGGAGAGAGAGAAGCAGGGAAGAACACTGGGAGATGAATTTCAAGGTGTCCATGGACAAGTCCTTTCTTTGTGGCTTGTGGGCAGACAAAGTACAGTGGATCAGCTCTGCTCCAGGGCATCCATAAATATGCCCCAGGTGTGGACTGCACCCTGGCTGGCCACAAGCCCAAAGAGCAAACATCCTCTGAAAACGTGTTTCCTCTTAAAAGTTCATGCAAGTTAGTTGTCCATTGCGTAGCTTATCCTTGTGACTTGAACGTTAAAATGTTTTAAATTACAGTAGATTAAAATGAGAGCTTTTAGAAAATGCCTTATATTCACCCTCACCCAGCACATGTCTGCTACTTTTGGGATAAAGATGCCCATCCATAGAAGCCCCAAATTTGTAATTCTGTAATTCTGCGTCAGGGTTTCTTGAAGGTCAAAGAAAATCAACTCAACTTTCTTTTTAATATTATGGGAGTGGAATGGGTGGGAGGGGCCAACTTGTCCTGGGTGGCCTGTGACTTTCTGCTGTGTCACTGAATGTCCTAAATCTCAGGAAGCCCTTGGTCCCAGCAAACCTGGACAGTGGGTCAGCCTAGCAGAGGGCATCAGGAAAACCTATCCCTGTACGTGAGACAGATTGAATCCTATCCTGTGATGGTTACCCCTGTGCTCAGTTCAGTGAGGGGGTGGGAAGTCCTGTCTTCATTTTCCCAGTGCAGATGCACTAGGAGGTTATTTAGGAAGGCAGGCGGCCCATGAACGACCCTTAGACCCATGCTGATGATAAGGTTTGGGCCTAATGCAATGAATACATTTCTCATTTTTGAATTGAATAAATATAGTTCATTCTGGGCAAAGCTGCCTCTGTCATGCTGTCGGGACCTGTTAAAATTTGGATTATCACTTGTCTATGGCAGCTTTAACTTTTCCAGTTACCTGTTTCTAATATTTTAATGTTTTGCATTCATAAATCCACAGCTCTTGCCTACTCACGGTGGCTTCTGTCTTTTCTGCATTCCCTGTCTGCCCTATTTAGATTATTTTAGCAACTCTTCACACTTCTGCCCTCTCTACGTGTCCTTGCGTGGATGAAGGAGAAATGGGTTGTCAGAAGCCACCAGATATCATGCCGTCAGCACGATCACTTTCTTGGGCAAATGGGTGGGGATTATTTTGAACTCTGGGGAAGTCAGAATTCATCCCTCAACCTAGTCTTCTTCTACCTCAATCTCATTTCCTCCCAAGAAATTAAATCTCTTCTTAGTTAACAAGCTTCTTAGAGTTTAGAGGGTTTTTTTTGTTTTGTTTTTGTTTTTGTTTTTCCCAGGGTCTCCCTTATTTCTTTAATCAGATACAGGAAAGAACTCAGGCAGGTGCTGAACTACCCATCCTTCGCATCATCTCCAGCCTCACCCGTGAAAACTTGAAGCTATGCTCAGAAGTGGGAGACCATTTGGCGATCTTTTCGGTAAATACAGCAAAAGGGAGAAAAAAGAACAATACCTAATGGATCCAACTCCTGCGTCCAAGCAGACAGTTTAACCCCTGGGTCATCGTGCTTGTATTTCACTTATTGGATTGTTAATAGATTTTCTTCATTTGTGTGAGACGTTGCGAATGATGTGCGGAGGCCGCCGCTTCCTCCGGCGCTGGGACTCGAGGTCCACCTGTAAGGAGATGGCGTTAAAAGCTGCTGGAGTTGCTGCCTCCTGACAACATCCCAGCTGTAGACTCGCAATCGCAATCCTCGGGTGGCAGTTTTAATTATCGGCACCGCGATACCATCAGCAAGTGTGTAATTACGTGTCAGTTTCCTGGCTGTTGGGTATGAAAAGTGGATCCAGTGAAATGATGATTGTGGAAGCTGTAGACTCATATTTAAACAATTCAAAATGTGTAACTGGCAGTGTCATTAAACAGAGAGAGCCTGACCCCAGCTGTCACTTACTTTCCCTTATGCAGATTTGTTCGTGCTGTCTGTCAAAAGAACTCCATGGGCTGAAATGGGACAGAGGGAGGTGACATAATTCTCCGAGCAAAGAGGGCTGCTCTCCTTAACCCCACAGAGGCGTTCTTTTAGCCTAAACAAATACGACTGCTGAAATTGTAAATAAACCAAGACCATTACGGGAAATTATATAGACTTTTGCCGATGAATACACAAAGGCAGAATATCAAACAGACATCCCTTCTTAAAAAATGTGAATAAAACCTGCCCGATTGTCATGCACTTAAAGAAGAAGTACTGTGGTAATTGGGAGGGTTGATGTTTGAAGCAGAAAATTAAATGACCCTTTTAGTTTGAGATCAAAATGGTGGGTGCAAGATGAAGAAAAGGGGGGGCTTATTTTGAAAACTGCTCTGTATCAACAGTGAGAAACATGAATGGATAAAAAAAATTACACAGATTTAAATAAACTTCAGTATGGCTTAGGTTATAAGTTGTCATGGCCTGAAATGCTTTGAATCCAATTGGGAAAACAGAAATACATATGCTAAATAAATGAAGGTAAAAATAGGCATGATTGGCCTTCTAAGAAGGGTGGGTTAAGAAGTGAGAAATACTCAAATTTCTGCAAATGTAATTACATAGTTCCGCAGCCTACCAACTACACACTCCTGGGAGATGGGAGAAACATGCATTTGCTCTCAAAAGCCTTCATTTTACCTGGCATGCTAAAAAGGACCTTGGTAACCAAGGGTTAAGTCTGCGTGCATGCAAAAATACATGAAAGGCGAATTTATAAAATGAAGCGTGGAGGTTAAGTGTGGGGGTTAAACTAACACAATGAACTGTGAACACAAAGAAAAATGTTTCTTTAATTTTTAAAATGTTTTCACTTCTCATAATAAACTGAACTTGCAGTTGCATGCAAACAACATTATTTCATACCCTGAAGACACCACAATTTAAAGCTTGTGGAACTCAAATTGATTCTAGAAGCAATGTTATAACTACAGAGGCGCTTTGGCAATTGTGATCTTCTGAAGGGCATCAAATCACACCTCTGGTAGCACATCTGAAAGTAAACACTTGCACACATGCACACACACAAGGTAGGAGGCATTTAAAACAGGGTCAACGTCGCATTTATTTCCTGTTTCAAAGGCAGTTACTGATTTTCTCACAGGCTAATAGAAGCCATATTAATTGCCATGGTAAGTTCAGATTTGAAAGTAATAAATAGGCACATATTAAATCCTCTAAGGATTAATTTGTATTTTATCAGCTGTGAAAAGGGCAATTTTTTACATATCTAGACTTAAGAGGTAGCCTTATTAGGCGTTCATTGGAAAACAAATTCTGCATATATTTTCTATCAAGGTTTAAAAAATTCCACGTTTTTCCTCTCAAAAATGGTACAGTGCAATGAGGAAAGCAATTAGTGTTTATATACTAGACCAGCACCATTTTGGAATTTCCTGGCTTATCAATATTTGTATGGCTGGTTAAAGATAAGAAATGATAGGAAATGGCACACTTTTATGTATTTTATCATACTGGACACACAGGGACTTGGGTTTCAAACTGCGTCGTGTGCCCATTGCTTGAATTGTCAAGTTGTGTTGACAATTCTTTTCCTCTATTGATAAGAAACGTCACTGGATACCCTCCCACATGTGGGTTGGCATGGAGCAGGTTGTAGAAGGCAGTGTGTGTGCGGCCCAGCACTCATTTTCCTTTGTTGTTCACAGAGATGCCCGTGTCCTTAGGCATTGGTTGCCAGTCAGTTGCACTCTGCCTTCTTGAGCATGGCTGGCTGCTCTCTGGCTCTCTGTGGGGTCCCCCAGGAGGATCCCACTTTCTCTAGGTTAAGAATTTAAAAAAGAAAAAGTGGCACAACAAACCCATGTTTATGCCTATGCTTTTCTTTGGAAAAGGGATTTGTTTCAAAGGTGCTTATGTTTTTACCCAAGAAGTGTTAAGTGGTCCAGTTAAATCAAGGCATCTGGAGGAAAAAAAAATTGTCTTCTGCAATATGCTTCTTCAAATGGGTTGTCTTGTTTGACTTGAAAGTTCCCTAGGGAGAGCCCTTCCACAACTTCCTTTGCAAGTCCATTCTGCAATCTAATAGATCTTATTGTCAAATGCTTTGTTAAACTTTTACTAGAATATGTGTATTGCACTCAGTGTTGGTGAATCTTGAAATTCTATCAGGGAGACACAATCAAATTGGTCTCCCATGACTTGTTCTCTGGTCATTTGGAATGGGTTCCCCTCTGCTTCTGGTATTTTTCAGGGAGTGGAGCAACGCATCCCCCTTTCCTCCACCTCGAAAGCCCCCGCATCCGCACCGTGCTCATCAAGAGGAGGCCGTCGCCGGGAGCACAGCCGCTGGTTTCGTTTTCAATTTTGAAAAACCACGCCATGTGAATTTAAACTTTTAGAGATTGCTCGTGCCTAAGGTTTTGCTCTAGAAATTCTTCATTTGGGAAGTTCCATACAGTCACCAATGTTCAGCTTTGAAACTGGGCGGTTCAGCCCACATTTTCCTTTGTAGATGACTTTGTGCAACTGAGCTATTTTAGATGATTTTCTCCTGAATCTTAGCTTGCTTCTGAACCAAAAAAGTTTTATTTGAAAATGAATAGCTACTCCTCATGGCCCTCCCAGAGATGCTGGCAGCTCTCCACAGACCCTCTCTCCTCTGGTAGCTAAGATGGCCTTTTGACTAATGAGGTGACCTTAAGAGAAGTACTTGCCTGAATGTTCCTTGTGACTGGCCGTGGTGGTGACAAGTGTGAATTGCATACAGAGCAAATGGTCTCAAACAGTTGCTGCTGATCTCACTGCCTTGCTAGTAAGTCTGTCCTGCCAGGCTCAGGACCCAGATAATTTATATTAGCATATATGAACGGGCTCCAAGCTAAGTGTTAACTCCCCATTATCACTTGTCACCACAGTTAATAGTTACCAAATACTGAAGATTTTAGGCATAGGTATTTTACTGTCCTTTGTAAAGAGAATCTAGGTTTAGAATTAATGAACTTAAATTCTGTATCTTTGAGGCAAATTCCTACCAGTCTACAGAACAGGGCATGTGGCATGTTAGACCCTGGTAATTGTTCCCTGTAAGATTATTCATTAAACAACATATTTAAGGTGGAAAAACACACACACACACACACCTCAAAAGGAAGAACCCTTAACAGTTCCTCTGAAAGCACTAGGCTTTCTCAAAGATCCAGCGGTTTCCAGACTTCTAGTCTTTAAAGTACAGCCAGCAATTTTAGTTCCATCCTGAGCTCATCAGAGAGGCAGAATATGAGGACTCACCCGACCTCAGGTTGGAGATTCCAGAAGCATTACCGGCCTCATCTGATGTGGCCAGAGGGAGCACCCGGGTCTCTCCAATTTACAGGGCATCTCATGCTGCAAACAGTTTGACCCTGGGGGCATTCAGAGGTCACCTTTTGGCCCAGCCTGGAAGCCTGACGAGCACAACTAGGTGGCCTGGTGACCCAGAGTGGCTGACCACGTCATGGCGAGCCACCATGCTGTTCCCTTGGGAAGGCACATGGAGCTCGTAGGTGGAAGCATCTCTGAGAAACACTCTCCTCCGACTGCCTCTGGAAAGCCCAGTGCTCTGGACCTTGTATTTCCCACACTCTCATTTTCACTTCCTTTTGGCTTGGGCAGAATATTCAAGTTCATGGCCTGCCTGGCCTCCAGCTCTGTCTCCAACCCATCAGGCTCATGTTCCTAGCACTCTCAGGAATGCGGCTCTTCCTGCACCCCGGGCAGGGGCAGGGGCAGGGGTAGTGGGAGGCCAGGCTGATGGGGGTCTGCAGGGGCACCACCTGCTTGGCTGCCTCTGGAAGCCTCAGTCCAGGAGCTGACTGCTGGAGGCACTCGTTAGTGGCTGTATCCCCTTAAATATTTCCCTCAAAGTGAGAAATCAGCTTCATTATTACGCATTTCATTTCCTTAATATCCTTAATATTCTGTGGGAATATTCTTAATATTATGGATATGTATGTGCGTGTGTGTGTGTTAAAGGATGTAATAATATTCTTAATAATCTGTGGAAATATTGTTTCACCCTATTGGAGCAAAGTGGGTCATGATAAAACTTCCAGACTGGATGTACTCCCTGGGGTCTGTTGTCTTAATTCATAAATGTTATGAGAATCAGTACAACCACTGCATTTTAGAATGTCACGATTGATGTCGCTAGAATGTCACTGGTGATCTAAAATAATAGTTCAACCATCTAAGCCAATCACTTTCAAAACCCCCTGTGAACTGCCAGCCACGAGGGCGGCGCTCTCTCACAGCAGCATTCCGCTAGCTGCAGGCCTCTAGGGCTTAGAAAACGCATGCTTTTAACTTTTGCAAGACTTGATTAATTTCTCATATAAAACCATGTCATTGTATGATGCCGCTGTGCATTGGATGCTTGTGTTTTCAGTTATATATTATTTATTTCTGAATCAAATATGATATTTAGCGCCTACTCTATATAATTAATGAAATAAAGCTGGATTCATTTTGTGATGATTTGCATGCCTTCCTTCTTTCTTACTCTTCATGTTTTGAGCATCATACCATGTGGTCCCTCAGAGGACAGAGACAAATAACTACCTTCAGCAAGGACAAGGGGTGAGTTGAACTGAATTTTAAACACTACACTTTATGATTGCAGTCAACATTTTTAAATATGGAGCAATTACATGCCAAAACGACACAAGAAGCACGCCTTCTAGAGATAAGCTGTTGCATTTTTTTGGGCAAGTGCAACATGTAGAGATGAATGGTTTATTTTCCCCCAAACTTTACAAATTGCGTAAGCAAATAAAATAACTGTTATCCTGGAAATCACATTGTGGATATATATCACCACCTAAATATTGCTGGAAGTTTTCTTTCAGATTGAGTGACTCTTAGCTTTGTTGGTATTTTATAACTTACACCAGCTTTGAAATTTTAGGTTTTTGTTGTTGTTGTTGACAAAGAAAATTCATGCTTCTCACAGTAAATTTCCAAAGTATAGAAAAGTATGAAGAAGAGGCAGATGCCCGGAGTCCTACCTGTCGAAGGCTCTCGAATGAAGGGCTGTGTTTTCGCTGACTTGATTAGCTTTTAAAGTTGTAAAAACAACACCTCTCGCTAGTACTGTTTCTGTTCACTCATCTTAAGGTATTAGTAACTTTATTTTAAAAGCTTTCCATATGATTGATGAAGTGCCCAAGATTTGCTGGGAATTCCTTTATTCATACATCTTTAAAACTTACTGAAAGGCCTGCATTTAAGCTCTATATGAGTGCTGACACCATTTCTTATTTCCTCAAGAAACTGTCTTCTTTTAGCTTGCACTCAGAGCTGATGGATCAGGACAGATGAAGTGGAGTGGAAGAGCTCAGGCCAACCCACTGGAGACAAGGTAGAAGCCACGTCTGGTAGGACTAAGGTTGACAGCTCAGGATGTGGGAACTATCGAGAGGAACCAGTGCAGAGGCTTCCATGGCAAACACAGCCACAGCATGGTCGGCTAAGAGAATGCTCCTGGTTGTGTACCTAAAAGCCTTCTCAGATAAGGATTCACTGCTTGTGTCTTGGCCTGTTGGTTTCTGGTGAGATTGGATGGAACTGTGCCTGGTCAAAGATATTGGTTTCCTTTTCAAGGATGTTTAGAGAAGTGATTTGAATAAAAAGGACTCTTTACAAATGTTTAACCTTTTTAATCGGCCAACCAAAGTCTTTTTCATCAGTTTTTGGCTTTTATTAAATCTAAGACCTCATATCCTAATGAAAATAACTAAGTTCAAGGGAAGATGGTGCTGAAGCCGTGTGTACAGAGAGAGGGCCCGTATGCAGAGGAAAAGCCCCAGCAGTGCCCAAGGCCCACCTAGAGGCTGGTTATAGGTGGCTGTGTCCGCAACAATGGAAGGACTGTGGGCCGGACCGCGGCTGCAGCGATGGCTTCCTAAATACACAAAACCATCTGAGCAGTTCTCCACTTTCCCTCTGGCCATCTGGAGGTCAGGAAGGTGCACCGAGGAAGAACCAGCATCTGTGCATGGTTTCCAGGGAAGTTAGGGATAGAGAGAGGGGCCTTGAGGAGAAAACTCAAACCTTTCCTGGTTTCAGGGATAGGAGCCAGGCCTGGATCTTCAGCATGGAGCAGAAGGCCAGGAATGCCGACCCCTGACCAACTGGAGCAGAGAATGGTCCCAGCCACTAGAGCGGCTGTCTGTGCTGCGGAGACGCTGCCAGCTCCTCTACAGGAGCAGCAAGTGAGGGAACCGTGAGCATCTCCCCACCCTGTTGGCCATGACTTGGGGCTCTGTGTAGGTTAGAGCAGCAGGAGAGGCAAGAGGGATCAGCTCAGGGTAGCAGGTGCAGGAGGACACAAGAAAACGGAAGGTGCGTTTGGAGAGTGGGACCCCTGAGGACAGGCCAAAGCCACTAGGCTTATGTAACCCAGAGCAAAGAGAGCTGCATGGCAGACTCAAGAAAGCCACTGAGGAGTAAACTGGAGGGATGCCTGCCATGTGTTACAAGAATATTTTTTATAGAAATAAGAACAATTTATTGAGAAAAGTTCGAGGCTGCTCCCACAATGTCTTCAAGCCCATGAAGAATATAGATTTCTCCTACAATGATTATGGAGTCAAAAGATGTCTATTAAAAATAAATTGTGGATTTGTTCCCCCCTCAGCCTCATATGCTGTTCTCCTTCCTTCTAACCCTGAGTTCCAAGTCCAAGCTCAGCAGCTCAACCCACAGCCACACACTTACAAACTTCCCTCAATCCTTCTGGCCCACTTCTCTGTGGTTCCCAAGTTTAATTTTCTGAAAAGAAAAAATCAGTTCTAATACGTAGAAATGAGCATCCCATCCACCCTCTAAGGGTGCCATTTAGGAATCCATTTAGTAAAAGTGATTTAGTCACTTACAAAATTTACTCCTAAAATTCTCGTGTAGTTCCAGTCTCCTGCCTAGCGCTTCAGTCGATAATGTATTATTTCCTTCTGTAACCTCGGCCTGTGTTTCCCAGTTTTGAATTAGTTGTTAAATCAAACATTGGATTGGCAACCATCCATTTCCCCGTCTACTTTTGACTTATGGGCACTGAGTACCCGGCAGTCCTGGGGAAAATCTTCGTCTGTTTGGGGTGGATGGTTTAGGATAGACTTAACCCATCTATCTTCTTAGTCTTACTCTCAAACTCTGAACCATTCTGGTTTCTCTGCTCTGCACTTTCGGATCCCGCAGCATCTCTCGGATAGCAGCCTGCATACTGGCAAACCCTAATGCTCTGTCTTCTGAAGGCTTTCTCGTCTGGGATGTCTTCTACCAATTTCTTCCTCGCAACAAACTCTTTGCTTTACTGCAGCTGCTGACTGTACTTCTTGGAGAATGATTGACGGAATTTAATGTGCTCCACAATCTGGGGCAAGTTCCATCACTTCTGCTTCCTGACGGGGAAGAGGCAGAGGGGGGATTCTGGGATCCCTGCAGCTCCCCAAATTTGGATTCTCTGGTTCAGTTATGTTTCCATTACCTAAAAGTGGATGAGCTCCAAGCACACACTCCTCTGAAGAGTTTCTCTGCTTAAATCAGTCTTGACTCATAGTTAGTGACTGTTCTGTTAAGACTTGATTTACTTTTAATTTCAGTTTTTTTATGAACATACATTTGATAAGCTGTCATGAAAGGTAACACCTTTTGTTATTTATAGTACACTGATCTCAGCTTTTCTCTACCCTGCTTAAGAAAGAAATATGTTTGCTTTTTTTTGTGTGGTTATTTCTGTAAATCAAGCTAGCAATTTTAAAAAAGCAGGTGAATTAACTATTGGGTCACTGAAGAATGTGTGGAATAATGAAATAATAACGAATGAGAGAAAGAAACATTGACACAGGACAATATTTAGCCAGTATCCTCTTGGTTGCAAGTGACTGAGTTCCAAGCTATAACTCCTTACACCAAAACAGGCATTTAGTAGGGTTGGTCAAGGAATTGGCTGGATCAGAGGTTTAACCTATGCCATCAGAAGTCTATCTGATCTTTTTCATCTCTTGATTCTGTTTTCTTCTATGTTGGCTTCATTTGCAGGCAGCTTCTCCCCATGTAACAGAAAACATGGCCATTTGCACCGTGATCAAAAGGTGGTGGTCTTAGTAAAAGGAGATCTTAGGTCTTAGCGACAGCTCTGGCCAGCCTGGCTTGGGGGCTGTGACTGTGGCGAGACCAGTTATGTGGCTGGGCAATGTGGAACTCTGATGGCTGGGCCTGGGACAGGGGCCCTGTCACTGGGGAGAAAGGGTCAGCCCTACTGGTGTCCCATGGAATGGACCCCACACAAATAAGGGCTTTGTTCTCAGAAGAAGGGCTGATGGGAAAACTTTCTGGGCAAACACCACCACAAACATGAAGAACCAGGAGAGGAATGGCCTTTCTGCCTCTCAAGATGCTGAAACATGAGCAGCAGTACAAAGATTTCAACTCTACTTGTTTCTCATGTGAAGTGGAAGTGTTTAGTGACCCTGGTTTTGAATATTGTATCATCTCTATCTTGTGGCATGGATTTGCACATTTATTTGCCTAAATTCTAAAGACATTCGGTTGTATTATACCATATTTCACCTTGGCTAACAGCATATATCCATCATCCTCTCATTTGATCTAGACAATAAACAATAAGATATTTCATAATAACTCCTGAGAAAAATCATGAAATTGTTACATCTGCCATTACAGATTAAACATATTCTTGTATTAACCCAACAAGTAAATTTCTCTGCCTTCTCAGGTTCATCTGGTATTAAATCAACATCAAGGTAAAGAATTCCTTAGCAATTGTTGCAAATCTTATTGGCTCAGGAGTGCTCCCAGAGCCTTCTCCCTTCTGCTACCCATACCTGTGCATGTGGACACATGCATAAACATTCATACCCCCACCACAGGGGCACACATGCATAAACACACACACACACACACACACCTGTACATGGGGATGCATGCATAAACGCAGGAATGCATGCATAAATACACACACCTGCACACAGAGATGCATGCATAAACACACACACCCCTGTACATGGGGATGCATGCATAAACACACACACACACCCGTACACGGGACACGTGCATAAACACACACACACACACACACACACACACCTGTACATGGGGATGCATGCATAAACACAAACACACTGCTGTACACGGGGATGCATGCATAAATACATACACACACCTGTACACGGAGATGCATGAACACACACACCCCTGTACATGGGGACGCATGCATAAACACACGCACACACCTGTACATGGGGACAGGTGCGTAAACACACACACACAACCTGTACATGGGGACAGGTGCATAAACACACACAACCTGTACATGGGGACACGTGCATAAACACACACACACACCTGTACATGGGGACGCATGCATAAACACACGCACACACCTGTACATGGGGACAGGTGCGTAAACACACACACACAACCTGTACATGGGGACACGTGCATAAACACACACACACACCTGTACATGGGGACGCATGCATAAACATGTACACACATCCCTGTACACAGGGATACGTGCATAAACACACACACACACCTGTACATGGGGATGCATGCATACACACACACACCCACCCTTGTACACCAGGATGCATGCATAAACATGCATACACACCTCTGTACATGGGAATGCATGCATAAACACACACACACACCCTTGTACACGGGGACACATGCATAAGCACACACACACCTGTACATGAGGATGCATGAATAAACACATGCACACCCATAAATGGGGACACATGCATTAAACACCACTGTACACGGGGACGCATGCATAAACACACACACCACTGTTCATGGGGACGTATGCATACACACACACACACCCCTGTACATGGGGATGCATGCATAAACACACATACCCCTGTATACAGGGACGGATGCATAAACACACACACACCTGCACTCCTGTGTAAGTGAATCTTGAAATAGATTTGACTGTGTTTATATCTTCCTAACACATTTTGCTTCACAATCGTGTAATGCTGTGATTTTTTCCCTCCTTTAAACAGAAGAGATGGGTTTCCCCTCCCCTGCCCGTGAGCTGGATTAATAGTTAATGATGGCTCGGGAGGAGGAACAAAGTCTGTGGGGTGTGATCAGAGATTAGTCTTTTAAAACACAGCTAAACATTTTGTCCTCGGTTTAGCTGCTCACTAGGCTCCCGCTGGGCCTCCTGCAGAGACCATGGTGCTGGAGTTCAGATCTGACTCCCTGCCCTGGGCAGCGGAGCCAAGATTCCTGGTGGCTGGGTGGACATGGCTGATGCCCAGGATGGACCACCTTCTTGTGCTGGAGCCTTGGGCTGCCCCAATGGTGGCATGGGCCAGAATTATTAAGGGCTGTGCTTCACTCTCCTTCCTGAGAAGGAAGGCATGGGCCTGCAGATGAAGGCAGATCAGACGGGGTGGTCATGAGGATGTTGTCCTGGTGGCAAAGTCACTGGGGGAGCCCTGGGCAGGCCTGTGGCTAACTGGGTAGTTTGGAGGACAGGCATTAACTTTCCAGGGACAGGAACACCATTTCTTCCTAAAAAGAGCGTATTGGCAGAAGCTGCATGAAACAGGCCTGGAACCTGTAACCTAAAAGAACCCTGGAGGGGGTTCAGGGCTTGGAAGTGGCTGTAGTGGTGCTCATAGTACCCATGGGGCAGGGAGGTTTTGTGACTCATGTTCCCTCACTACTGGATTCCTCCAGACCTGGGCTCTGCAAAGGACACGGGACAGCTTCCAGGCAGTGAAGCCGAGGGTAGCAGAAGGTCTCTCCATCTTGGGTCTGAAATCCAGACAGAGTAATGGGCCGCCATGTTATTGGCAAGCTTGTGGCCAGCAGGGACAAGAGGATGGTGCCACCAGGTGCTATGGATTCTTTGGTTACAAACAAGAGAACCCAGCTCTGGCCCCTAAAGCAAAAAGGGCCTTTTCTGGCAGGGAGCTGGTGGGAAACTGGGATGGGCAGGAGCCAAGGCCTCCTCAGGGAGCAAAAAACAGGAAGCTGGGGGCTCTTGCAGCAGGGCCCCTCAGACATGGTGGAGGCACCACTGTTTTCAGGAGACAACTCCACAGCCTCTGTGTTTGTATTCCTGGGAAGGAGGGTTTGACTTTCTCCAGTGGGGAGGACGCAATGCCCCTGAGGAAGTCAGTGCCGCTGGGAGGGCATGGAAGGCCGGCAGCGTGAAGCCCCTAGTGTCCACCCAGTGTACCTTTGAAATGCTTTCTTTCAGGTCCCTCTGGAAGGGATTATGTTTCCAGGGGTCCTTCGTTGTCATATTCCCGCCCGCTGCATTTTGCTCTGGACTCATGGTAGGTGTGCCCTGAGCTGTGGAGTGTCCCCTCCTCATGGAGTACCCAGAACAAGGCCATTGCCACAGCCCACTCCACACTTCCAGCATCTCCCTGGAGCCAGCATGGTGGCCTGGCCAGCCTTCATTTGCTGAAGCGCCAACACTGGTGTGGCCTGCTGATGTCTGGCTCATCAATGGAATGCCCTCTGCCTGTACTTTGCCACAACCAAGCTGACCTGGCCACAGAAAGGTGGCTGTGGGCCCAGAAGGAAGCCCTAGCAGGCTCATCTCATCTCTGGGCATAGATGCCTTCCAGCACCGCTCTTACAGGCTGGACCTTCAAAAAAGGCCGACATCCACTCCTTGCCATCTTCAACACTGTTTACCACTTTCAAAGAGGAAAACAAGGCCAGCAGCTGTGTGATGTGGGCTGAGCTTTTTGGCATTCTCTGTTTCCTCCTCCATAAAGTGAAGACTCTCAAAGGTGAGGGGCAGGTGCTGTATGTTACTCATCCACCCACCCAACCACTCGTTCACCCACACACCCACCCATCCACCCATTTACTCACCCACTCACCACTCACCCATTAAATCACCTGCCCAATTACCCAGTCACCCACCTACCTAGCCATTAACTCACCTACTCGCTCACCTACACAGCCATTAACTCACCAACTCACCCACCCACCCATTAACTCACTCACCTACCCACCCATCAACTCACCCACTCACCTACCCACTTACCCAGTCACCCACACATTAAGTCACCCACCCACCCACGCATTAACCCACCTACTCACCCACCCATCCACCCGTTAACTCACCCACTCACCTACCCACTTACCCAGTCACCCACCCACCTACTCAGCCATTAAGTTGCCCACTCACCTGCCCACTTACTCATCTAGTCATCCACCCACCCACTCATTCACCCAACCATCCACCCATTATCTCACTCCCTCACCCACTCACCCACTCACCCACCCGTCACTCATTTACCCAATCACTTACCCACCCACACACTCACCCACCCAGCCAGTCATCCACTCACCCACCCGTCACTCATTTACCCAATCACTTACCCACCCACACACTCACCCACCCAGCCAGTCATTCACTTACCCACCCACCCACCCAATTAACTCACCCACTCACTCACCACTCACTCATTCACTTATTCAGTCACTCATTCACCCGCCCACTCATTCACTCATTCACTCACCTACTCACTCACCCACTTATTCACCCACTCATTCACTCATCCACTTGCTCATCGTCACCCACTCACCCACTTATTTACTCACTCACTCGCCTACCCACCCACTCATTCACCCGGCCACTAATCTACTCACCCACTTATTCACGCACTCATTCACTCACCCACTCACTCATTTATCCACTTATTTACTCATTCACCCACTCACCCACCCACCCAGTCACCCACTCACTCACCCACTCACCATTCACTCATTCACTCACTTATCCACTCATTCACCCACTCACTCATTCACTGACTCATTCACCTACCCACTAATTCACTCACTCACCCACTAATTCTCTCACTCCAGGTCTCCTCGGCACTTCTGGCAGGGTGTTATGGATAGAGGGATGGACTGAAGAAATTTACAGGATTATCAAGCAATCTAGTCCCACTGGAGAAGAAATGCAAAACTCTATTTCTGAGCAATAACAAATATAATTTAACTCCACCCACTGATTCAGTGGTTGAATAATTAACTAACATGACTTCTGGAGATACAGATTAAAATAAATAGACACAATCTATCAGATGTCATCATTGCACCTAAAATATATATGGAAGGATTTTGTTCCTGCCAACAGATTATGAAACAAGACAGATCTTAAATCACTGGCCTCTATTTGAACTTACAAATATTTTTAATTTTAAAAGTGTTTAGTAACTTTCATAAGTGAAGTTGTAACGGTGTGACAAAATGGAGGAGTCACTGAGCTGGACAAATATTTTCCTAATGGTTTTGCTTTTTTCATTCCTTTAAATATCAAGTAATAATATTTTTAATGTTTTTGTAAACATGAGATGTTTTAATGCTTGAAAAATTGTATCTCATAAATAAGCTGTATTATCTGTCAAAAAGGATGAAAATATAACTTTACATTTCTGTTTTAAAGTAATTTTAGTGCCTATTAGCTATAAAGTAACAGTTATATATAATTTAGAGTATGTAGTCACTCGAAACAACTTGACATTTTCACACAAACACAGAACCGTAATCATAGTCTTGGGATTTCATTGGAAGTATGCACCACTACAGGATATTAAAATAACTTATGGGGCACTGTAATTCTTGTTTTGTATTTGTCCAAGTAGTTGTGAAGCAGGCTATAAAGTAGCAAAATAAAAACCTAAGCTCCAACTCCAGCTAAGCTGCGTTCTTAAAGTTATAGTCATCTTTTCAAATTAAGTGTGATTAACCTAGCTGACATTTCTTGGTGTCATCTTTGACTTTTTCCTTTCTTAATGATATTTTCTGTTTTGGTGACAAATTCTATTTATCGTAGCTTATTATATGAGGCAGTGTAATTGTTTCCCTAAGATAAAAACTCTGATTGCGTGTAGTTGCAATTCTGCTCTTTAATTGACAAAGGGTACATTACTTGTTGCTTTTAAGGGAGTGTGGACATGAAAGAAATTTTTGCTTTTGCTAAAACAAACAAAAGCTGAATTCTTAAGGGTGGTTTTGCCTACTGTTTTAATTTGAGTACATAGACAAGAATCACTAGTCGACCGGTGTGAGGCTGAAAATGTTTAGCAAATGGCAATGTGTATACAGGATGTGTGTGGAAATGAAACTGAGTATTCAGTCATACTCCGCTGGCTTAAAGGACAGATAATTTGGAAACAGGCTGGTTTCAAGTGTATCTTTGAGGGGTCTATGAGAGGAGTATTCTGCGAATATTGTAAACCAGATGTAAGGGCAATATTTAACATACTTAAGAGAAAAAACCATTTACCGCATCATTTATAGAGCTGACACATAATTACGCTTGCCTCATTAAAGCAGGCCCAACATTATCCTCTTTCTGGCAATGCATATCACCGTATGCCCTTGAATAGAATGAAAAGGCATTTCTTTAAAATATTCCTTAATTGTACTTTTGCATTAATTTTGATTGGCCTTTAGCTCATTGGTGAGGTCTCCCAGTATCATGCGAAGCAGTAACACAATAAATGAAAATTCATCCATAATAACGAGCTCTATAGTTAAATATTATTCCTGAGAGAAAGGCCAAGGAAAAAATAATTTTTGTGTGGTTGAAGATGGGCACCATTTATAATCTACATATTGCAATTAAAACCATTCAAGGATTTGACTTCCGTTAATTTTAATTGAAGTGGTATGCGGGTAGGGATTAGGTGAGTGCACAGACGTGCACAAAAATTAATATGAACCCGGAGAAATGTCTTTTCTCCATAAAAGGACTGACCAAATGTTCACAGATGGAATTTGAGAGGACCCTTATTGAATAAACCAGTAGGGCTCAGTTGGATCATTTTGGTAGCAATTCCATATATTTTATGTTGGAAAAGACATACCCCTTTCTTTTTCTTTATAAATTATTCTCAGGCCTGATTAGTTAATGTCTTTAATTTGCATCCGTGCACCTAAATGAAAGTAAAAACAAAGTAGCCCAATAAATGTACTTTATAGATGATGGTTTAAGGAGGTGACAATTCTTGGCTAACAGATATTAATTAGGAATATTAATCATCGACGTCTCTGGGGTCAGCTGAGATGTTGGGGACAAAAGCAAAATGGAAAAGAAAAGAAGGGGACACAGTGTGAGGAGGCGCTTAGAACTTTTCAAATGGAAGAACTAATGAGAAATTTGGAACTGCGAGATAAGAAAGCTCTAAAAAACACCTCCACGTAGTTTCTTCTGGTATTTCTGAAGACAAGTACAGTGGGTCTCACAACAGGTGTGCAATAAAACATTCTGAATAAACAAAAAGATGAATTGATAGATTGCATTTTAAATTTTAACACAGATTTCTCCATACATTTAGATAAATAACACAGGAAAGTTCAAAAGCACACCACCTTAGATTTCAGTAATTTGTGATCTTACAGCACAATATCTCATTCTCTGCAGAATTTCACACAAAAGAGGCAAAAACTGAAAATGAAAATAAAACCCCACAGTAGCCAACACAAAATGATTTTAATTCTTAAAGTGGATCTGATAAAATGTCGAAGATAGGGAAAAATGTTATCAAAAGCAAGTCTAACAAAGATTCTTATTAATCACTTTCTATAGGGAGACACGTGTTACATCTTCCCTTCCTTATTTCTTTAATTCATTCATAAAGCCAATAGAACACTGACCACAGAGGCAGGCCGTTTGTCTTGAGGAGCTTTCTGGGCCAGCACTTGGAATGATACCCAGGTTTGGTGGAGGGTTTGAGGTCTGCCCTTTCCTTTTGCCATGGGACCACCCTGCCTTTGACACTGGAAGAGTCCATTCAGCCCACAAGCAGGTAGCCTTACCTTAAAGAGATAATCTATGTTGTGCCAATAATTTTTTAAAACGTGGTTTTTTTTCTATGTTTTTAGACCACTTAAAACCCAACTGTTACCTCAGTCAGGGGCACATTCATATTCAAGAAGAACAATACTGTCTCATAATAAAATTCAGCCCAAGACTTCTCTGGTTGCTGAGTTCCTCTTGCAGGCCTGGGGAAGGGGAGAAGGCTGTGGTTACATTTCAGTAACCTAAGACTCTGGGATAAACTTTCTCACTTCCTGGCCAATGCTCTGGCTGTTGGGATAATTAATTTATCTGTTAAAGATTACATTTTCTCTTCCCAAAATATAGGCAGTTCTGGTAAATCTAGATATACTTGTCATAATTATAAAGAGTTTCAAATATCTCTTTTATGAATTTCACAATTCTCCCAAATTCTCAAGTTGAAATATTATTAACTTCGACACTGGTGTCTCAGTTGTTAGATTTGACATTGGCAAAGAGGATGAATTAAATTCCAAAAGGATCACAGAAGTCAGAAAAAAATCCAAAAATGATGCATAATTTCTACCTATATATTTTACTAATTGGATGAATGTTTTAATTTGATTTTCCCGCTGAAATTCTATTATATAAAAATGACCTGATGGAGACTCTTTTGACTTTTCTGCCATCTGCCAGGACTTGTGCAGTCTTCATTTCAAAACTCTGGGAAACGAACAAACCAACTTCTTCCAAGCAAATCAGTAAATTCCAGTTCTGGATTAGGTAAATGTGGGAGATTTATAGGAAACTCAGGTCACTAGTAGAGCGGGCTCAACCATCTCTTAAAAGCTCTGGTCCTTGGCACTTCCTTCTGAAGGGGATGCACCTGGCTGATGACGTCACGTCTTTGTTGTTCATAACTTTAGAGTTGTAACAATACCCCTTTAGGTCAAGATTACATATCAGATTGTGAGTGAGAGTAATATTAGTGACAACTTTTCATCTGCTCTTATTTTTATAAACAATAAGCTTTTGCAAACTTCTGTCATTGTATAATTGATAATTTATGTGCAGCCGCCCTCCCCATCCAACATGACGGTTTCCTTTGTCACCAGATAGAACCCAGGACACGTAATCAAGGGTCAGCTAAGCCCAGCCATAGTGCTAGGAAATTTACTCACATCATCTCTGGTCTTCACCCCAGTTCTGCAAGGCAGGCAATATCATTTTTACTTTTTGATTAGAATATTGAAGAACAGAAAGAGTCTCGTTTATGTGAATAATTTATTATGTTTCTTACTGTCTCTGGTCTAAAGATCCAGGCAAAACAATTATTCTGAAATTTAGTACCAGCTCCTAAGAGACTTGTGCATTTTCTTTTCTCAGAAAAGAGGAGAATCACGTAAGTACATGCTATTCTCCTCCCCTCTTTTACTGTTGGAAATTCAGTTAAGTTTATTGTTCAATGGCAATGTCACAGTTAAGATAAGCTAGGTTGTGCTGCAAGAACAAACAGCCCCCAAATCTCAGAGTTGAAAAGCAACTAAGGTATATTTTTTGCTTATGCTAAAAGCCCATCTGAGGTTGGCCAGGACCTAAGCTGACAAAGCAGCTCCTCTCTGGAACATCGTCAGCTCTCGTGGCACAGGGGAAAAGAGGGCGCGGGGTGAGGCACAGATTCATTCTTAAAGCTTTCCTTGGGAGTAACATGTCACTTCTGCCAACATCTCACTGGTCAAAGCAAGTTATGTGACCACACCTAACTTAAAAGGATAACTCTTCTCCGCAGGGATGTGCACATTGAGTCAAGATGACAGTGTGTTGGGGGAAGGAAAGCAGCTCACGGGTGTGAGCTGGGATCCCAGCTCCTCCACCTGCAAGCTGTGTGATGTGGAGCAAATTTCTTCATCTCTCTCTGCTTCAGTTCCCTCACTTTAAACATGGAAACCATCCTAGGACGTTCCTCCCAGCATCCAGCCCAGAGTGAACACTCGCTCAATGGGAGCTTTGGGTCTTCACTTGGCAGGAAACCCAAGATGGCGGTGATGAATTCCCCTGCAAATGGGCTTCAGCAACCAGGGCGATGCTGAGCATTGACCTGACAGGCACACAGGCCACACAAACTGTGGTTTTCTGAAAAGCTTCCAGTTGGCTTACAATTCCCAGAATTTTGTTGAGGTTAAGAATATTTGGAAACTTGATGATAATAAGTTGCCACAAAAATAAAATGTCATGTTTCTTTTCCCTATGTATAAAAGTAAACCATGTTTATTGTAAAACTTTTGAAAGTCAAAGAGAAGATAACAACGCCACTCAGAAATCTATTCTGAATGGTTTGGGCATATCCCCCCAGCCTCTTTTTAGCGCAGGCTGTAGTCATTGCTTTACTATATTGAAATGATATTATTTGTTCTGTTTTGTAAGCTGCCTTTGGTACTTGACAGTAGATTTGGACTATTTAACCATGTAAATGGATATTCTCAACATGAATCTGAAAGGCAGAATAGATTCTAGTCTATCAGAGCGAAGTAACAAAATTCATTTAACTAGCCCCAATTGGACATTTAGGTCATGTAAAAATTGTCGCCATTACAAATATCATTGTGATGAACGTGAAGGTGCATAATTATTTGCAATTGCTTTTGCCTGTTCCCTTAGGAAGAGTTCTTAGAAGTGGAATTCCCTGTTTAAAGGTTGTGCCCAATTTGAAACATTGTAGAAAATTGCATTTCTGAAAGATTACGTATAAAATAATGCTCCTATCAGCAGTGCACGAAAGTGCCCATTTCCCCAGTTCCTCACCCACACTGGGCATTTTGTGTTCGTTAAGTTTTGTAGACTTGATGTCATAGAAACGATGCTTTGTTGTTATTTTAATTTGCATTTCTTTGATTACTACGAGGTAGAATTTGTATTATCACATGTTGTTGGCTATTTGGCTTTCTTCTCTTGTGAATCATTTGTTTCTGGCCTTGGACTCTTTATCAATGTAGGTATTTATTTTTCTCGTATTAATTTTTTAAGAGTCTTTTATAGATTAATGATATATTCTTACATACTTTGTGTTTGCTCTTATTATTTACTTTATCTCTTGTATAACATGTGCATGTGTTTAAAGTGATCGCTGTCTCTATCTTTTCCTTTTGCTTCTGTGTTCCTACCTCTATCTTCTCCCAAGTTCAAATATTTATCTATATTTCTATATTTTCTTCTTCTTTTGTGTGTGTGTGTGTGTGTGTTTTTGTATTTTACCTTTAAAAGAATCCATTACGAATTAATTCTAATGTTTTCTGAGAAGGGGAATTTGACTTAATTTTTTCTAATTAGCCACTTGAACTTGAGCTATTTATTGGGTTAGACTTTAACCTTTGCTTTGAAATATGACCTTTAATATACTAAATTTTTTTGAAATGTAGCAATTTATTTATTTTATTATACTTTAAGTTCTGGGATACATGTGCAGAACGTGCAGGTTTGTTACATAGGTACAAACATGTGCCATGGTGGTTTGCTGCACCCATGAACCCGTCATCTACATTATGTATTTCTCCTAATGCTATCCCTCCCCTAGCTCCCCACACTCCGACACACCCTGGTGTGTGATGTTCCCCTCCCTGTGTCCCTGTATTCTCAATCAACAACATGCTAAATTCTTATACACACTCCCACTAAGATTTTTAGTCTCTCCCATTCTTCTTTTAATCCTCCCCTTCTTCCTCTTAGGTAATCAGATAATCAGTGTCAGTTAACAGTTTTGTTTGCATCTCTATCTATCCATCTAGTCATTCATCCATTCACATATCCAGAATATAGACATTTTGATACTGATCTTGTTTTGTCTTACAAAAATGGGATCACAATGCATTTGATATTTTTTAAAAGTCACTTGCCCATAGATGAAGTGACTCTTTTGCCAGTGCCTCGCTGTCTCAGCTATGGTGGCTTTATCGTTCATTTCCCCATCTAGAAACACAAGTCCCTCTCATTTCATTTCAGACATTTTCTGATTGTTCTTCTTCACTTATTTCCAAGGTTAATTTTAGAACCATTTTTATGAGAAAAAAATATCCCTTTTGGGGTACAAATGGAATTAAATGTATAAATTAGATTGGGAAGATTTGACATATTGTATTTCTGCTGTTATTGTTTCCTATTAATGGACATAATATGACTCTTGATCTTGTTTAAATATCCCTCTTTGGCTCTCAATAGATTTTGCAGTTAAATGTGAATATTTTTGTTAAAATCATTTTTTGTTATTCTAACTTTTTTCTTTCTATTGTGAATGCAATTTTTATTATATTTTCTATCTTTTTATTGTTCTTATATAGGAAAAAATACAAATTTTTTAAACTTATTTTTTATCTCATGATCTCTGACCTATATAGTTAGTTGTAATAGTTCTTCAGTTCATTACTTTCTCTCCTATGACAGACAATCCATGAATAATGATTCTTTTGTCTCATATTTTCCAATATATATTCCTATCTTTTTCTGTACTAATTGAATTGAAAGACATCAGTGTTTCTGAGTTTGTTGGAAATTTCTTAGGGATTTTATCATTAAGTGCATGAGTGTACATGTTTATTATATACACCAATAATTTTATTATGTACATGTTTATTACACACACTAATGCACTTAATGATAAAATCCCAAAGAAATTTATATCCTTTTATGTTTGCATATGCAGTGCATTTTAAGACCATTTCTTGAAATAAATACATTATTTTTCTCTTTTGAGCTATTAATATAATTGATTATATTACCAGATTTTCTGGAATTAAACCATCCTTACCTTCCTGGAATAACTTTTATTTGGTCATCTCTAAAATGTGTTCATTTTTCATCTCATTTAGATTTTCAAAGATATTATCATAGGTGTCTACACCGAATGGTCTCTTACTGTTCCTTACATAGCCTTATTTGTAATTGTCTCCTTTCTCCTTCCAGAAGTCATGCATTGCCTTTTCTTTATTTTACTGGTGCTTCATATTTTCAATTTTTGTTATTAAATTAGAACAAATAAAACAATCTAAAATTATCTGAATAAAGAGTTTATTTTTCCCTACTCCCTCTCCATTCTCCCATTCTTCCTTTTAGGTAATCAGATAATCAGTGTTATTTAACACTTTGATTTGCATATTGGTCTGTCTATCTATCTACTCATTCATCCATTCATATATCCAGAATATACACATTTTGATATTGATCTTGTTTTGTCTTATAAAAATGGGATCACAATGCAACTTGATATTTTTTAAGTAATGGTACATAGTGAATATCTCCCTGGGCTGATAAATAATATAAAACAGCTGCTTAATATTCCATAATGTTTTATTATAGGATATTTAATTTAAGCTCTACTGATGGTTGATTCCAGTATTTTTGTTTTCAAATAATGTTTTACAATTATACAGATAAATATGCATGCTGAAATTTTTATTGTATAGGGTAAATATCCAGAAGAAAACATGGCTGGTTAAGAGAAAACATGACTTTAACCTTTTATAGATAATGCTAGTTTATTTCATTTAAAGTTTGTAATGATTCATTTTCCTAACTGCACTGCCTGAGAATGTCCTTTTCCTAATGTTCTTGCTAACACTGAATGTTACCGATATTCATAATTTGTGCTAGTGTGTAAAATGAATGAGATCTCCTCACTGCTTCAATTTACATGTCCTTGACCACATATTTATTGATAATTATTTGAATTTTCTTTTCTTTGAATTGTCAGTCTAGATATCTGTCCATTTGTTGTTTTTTTTTTTTTTTTTTTACTTACTCTTTACTCTTCTACCTATACATTTGCAGAAGTTCTTAGTGATTTAGGGATACAGATATTTGTCTATTATGTGGGTAGTCAAGAAGGTTATCATTTGTCTTTCTACATTGTGGCATCATATGGCACACAGTTATTTAAAATATTTAAAGGTGAGCTAACTCCCTTTTCCTGTGTTCCTTTTGGGTTTTACTTGGGAAAGTTTCTCCAGCCTCACTGCTATTCAAATATTATCTTAAAATTAAGTGTAACATTTGATACATGGGTTTATTATCAAATGAAAGTGGCCAAATTGATCTAGTCACTTCATATCATTTTGTTTGTTTGTTTGTTTTTGAGATGGTGTCTAGCTCTGTTGCTCAGGCTGGAGTGCAGTGGTGTGATCTCAGCTCACTGCAATCTCTGCCTCCTGGGTTCAAGTGATTCTCTTGCCTCAGCCTTCCGAGTAGCTGGGATTACAGGTGCGTACCAACACACTCAGCTAATTTTTATTTTTAGTAGAGATGGGGTTTCGCTATGTTGGCCAGTCTGGTCTTGAACTCCTGACCTCAAGTGATCTGCCCGCCTGGGCCTCCCAAAGTGCTGGGATTACCGGTGTGAGCCACAGCATCATATAATTTTTATTTAAATTTTGGGTGGATTAAAATTAAAAAGATCTTGACAACAAACTAGATTTGGACTTATTTTATTGATTTTTCTGTTTTAATTTATTGGTATCTTATTTAGTATACTAGGTATTTGTTCTGATTTCCTCTTGTTTCTAAGTGAAGGGATTAGTTCATCAGTTTCTATGTTTTGTTAATAAATAAGTTGATAGAATAATGAATGGCCCTCAGAATTGCTTCACCAACAACAAAAAAAGCAGCATAAGGCATAGCACTGTTTAGATTTGTTGCTTTAGAAAAGGCTGAAGAAGAGTGATCTGTAAATATTTTTGCTTGTCGTGCTTTTAGTCAACTCTACTCTATTTTGTCATTGTATGTCTGTTACTCTCTTTTCTTCTTAATGTGAGTTCTTTTTATCCTTATGGTCACATTGTGACTTTCAATGGAAAAAGTATTAATTAAATTCAATCCAGCTGAAAAAAATATAATTGCTTCACCAACAACATATCACTTGGCTGGTCCTATTTGTAAGATATAACTTTTTTTCCCTCTGACTTGTTAAGATTCTGCTCCCAGTCTGGCACTGCATGTTCTAAAGGATGACTTGGAGGCCATCTGTCATTGCTCTTTTATGTAGATAAACTCTGTTTTATCCAGAGAAAGGCAGGATGTGCTTTCTTCCTTCTCCTTGCAATTTTTCATCACTTGCTGGAGGATATATAAATATGCCTCTCACCGATGGCTTTTACATGAAACACTGTGAACTTTCTAAATCAGCAAGCCCACATCATTGCTGCTCTTTTAGTTAGAGAGGGTAACGTTTGATAACTTCTGTTCTTTGGAGGGACAAGAGATCCCTTCTAGACCACCAGTTAATTTTTGTATGTTTAGACTGTTATCTGTGCTCATTGATCATGCTCTTTTCTTTCATCATTTTCATTTCTTTGTCCTTTTTCTCTCTGTTCAAAAGAGAATCCCAAATACGTATGCCATAGTCATGGTCAGGTGTTCTGTGGTTCACTGTCTACAACATGGCTTTAAATCCTGTTGCACTTTTAATCTTTTGTATCCCTTTCTTTACTCATTTCTCTCTCTTTGTTCATTCTCTCCTTTCATATTATTATTTTTTATTACTATTTTTTTGACACCAAGTCTCACTCTGTTGCCCAGGCTGGAGTGCAATGGCATGGTCTCAGCTCACTGCAACCTCCACCTCCTGGGTTCAAGCAATTCTCCTGCCTCAGCTTCCTGAGTAGCTATAGTAGGACTATAGGTGTGCACCACCACACCCGGCCAAATTTTGTATTTTCAGTGGAGATGGGGTTTCACTATGTTGGCCAGGCTGGTTTTGAACTCCTGATCTCAGGTGATCCACCTGCCTTGGCCTCTCAAAGTACTAGGATTACAGGCATGAGCCACATGTCCAGCCATATTCTTATTTTTTTAATCTTGTTGGCTTTAATTTCCTGTCCTTTTTCACTGGAGTTGAGTTTTGAGCTCTTGAGTATGCTGAATGAATTCCAGGGGCTCACTTCTAATTTATGTTGTGGTTACCAGCCAGAAGGATGCTTTTTCTCTAAGTTGAGAACAAGATTCTTGATGTCTTACTGTGTTGTGCTTTTAGAGTTGCCTCGTGTTGTATTTTTTATTTATATTTCTGATTGAAACAAAAAGATGAAATAAAAGAAGAAAGAGCTCCCCAGTCTCAATGCTTCAGCTGCCCAGAAAAGTGGGTGGAGACAGGGACCTTTCTCCACTGGTGGAGGGAAGGTGGCTGGACTCAGGGTCCCACTGAGTCCTTAGATACTAGGGGGCATCATTGAGCATGCATCTGTCTATGTTCACATACACCCTCTTCTCACCTAGTGTGGTAAGTGAGCAAGGTGCGCAGAAACACTTCCTTCCAGCTGGCATTGCACTAAGCATTTTTCCTGCATCTGCTCCTGAGTTTGTAAACCAGGATACCATGTGCACCATACATCCCACACCTTGTTCTGTTATTTTCTGGGGGTTTCTGACTTTTAGCTCATGTGAAAGAGCACCAGGCCTTCTCTTCAAGTGCTCTGCTTGGAGTGATGATGGGTTCTTCCAATGTGCTCCTGGCTTTCTGCAGCCGGAATCTTTCTTGTGAACCACAGCCTGAGTTTTTCATGAGGCAAAACCTGTATAAGGGGGTGTTGATTGATTGTTGATTTTAAAAGTAGAGTTGCATTTGACTCATTTTTTGAGATTTACCCGGAGTCTGCCATTAAGCTCTTAATTCATCTTAGTTTTCAGAAGTACTGTGGTGCTTTCAATATTTTTAAAGTTGCTTTGTAAGTGTCTTCACAGATATACATCATTTATTTAACAAATAGTTTTGAAAACTCCTCATGTGCTAGTTTATGGGAATATAATGTTCTGAAAACAGGGTCAAAGATAGGTACAGGCTGTATCAGGTCTGCTAGCCAGGTGCCATTTCAAACCAGAAGAAAAAAACAGGCGTGTATTTAAAATACCTAGAACACTACCCAATGAACAGCAGATGCAAAATAGATTGTTCTTCTCTTCTACCCCACTCCTTTTGTCTTCATGTGAGGAAGGCAGGCTTGGTGTTTTTTTTTCTTTGGATGCTCAAACCAGAGAGGCAGAAGGAAATGCAGTATCTGTGTTGGCACTGGTGATGTGTAGGTGTCCAGGGCACACATTCGAATTCCAATAACTGGTTATTCCACTGACTGTAGAAAATACCTACGTACCCATGCTAGATCAGTCAATAAATCTGAAATATTCATGAAAAACAGCAATAATCTTATGAATTTTTTTAGGAGGTAGAAGGTAGAATAAACCAAACAATTCTGAATTTTAACATTAAAAAGTTTCAAGACAACAAAACCCTGAGTTAGTTTTGTATAAATAACAGATGAGTGTACCAGTCGAGTGTGTAAGTGCTGGGAACAGGAAAACACGCGGGCCCATTGTCAGCTGAAATACGATAAGAGCATCTGTGTTTTTAAAGATATGGTGGTGTAGTTCTTAAAGGCAGCACTTAGATAAAGAAAAGGATGGTAGCAAGACCCAGTTCCCTTTGGGATTCCCGATGACAATGTAACAGATGACTCCAGATGACAATGTAAGAGGGGGAATGGAAAGAAATTATATTAACAAACTGTTGTTGATGATTATAATAAGATTTAAGCAACCAAATAACCGAACCTGAAAGACCAACATATTTTTCAAGATGATTTAGAAGGAGCCTAACATTGAGGATGTCAAAGGCTGCAATTACGTCTGAACTCATTTTGGGAATGGCTTCCTGGCATCAGCTGCACTGAGAGTGTTATCGCATGTCTTGATGAGGGCATTTTAGCACGCCACCGAAATTGGACTCAACTCCTCAAAATGCATTATTGTTATTTAGTTGCATTTTCTCCATAGTGTGATCACCAATTTGAATTAGATTTGCAGTTTAAAAAAATAATGGAGACTGCCAGTTGTAAAAAATTCAGTGTGCTTAAAAGGAACCACATTTAGACAGCTTGCGATTGTCCATAGGACAGAAGCATCTACGCCATTTCAAATAACAACACAAAGTAAAGAAGACTATTTAGAAAACTTAAAAATTTATTCATCTTAGATTTTAAGATTCAAAGACATTAGAAAACAAGAGTGTCCAATCACATTACTTTCCGGCTATTATTTTTCCTTCACAAAATGGCTATATCTATACATCTATATTAATGTATAGATCTATATTAAATTCCTAAATTTAGGAAAAGCATATATCTCTTATTCCCTTCAATGATAGCTTGAAAATTTCTTTCATTCTTAAGTTAGAAACATTTTCTTGCCTTTTGATTAATATTTATTCTCATCAGCCTTAAAAATGGCAGGAATTATAAATTCCAAATATAGCAGGCCGCCGTGGCTCAGGCCTGTTGTCCCGGCACATAAGGAGGTGAGGCTAGGTGTTTGAGGCCAGCCTGGGCAACACAGAAATCTTTCATTTATATAACTGAAAAATTCTGAATATATTTCTAGGGTTTATTAAACTGTTCTAATTTATGAAATTAAATTTCTTTGAAATTCAATCTATAACCATGTAGTTGTTGAAAATCAATTGTTTAGCTCAGGGTTTCTCATCTTTGGCAAAATTGGCATTTTAGACTAGATATTCTTTGTTGCAGGGGCTGTCCTGTGCATTGTAGAATATTGCGCAGCTTCTCTGGCCCCTACCTACTAGATGCAAGTAGCATCACTCCCATCCCCAAGTGTATCAAAAGTGTAACAAAAATGTCACCAGGCATTGCCAAATGCACCCAGGAAGGATGAAACCACCCTGGTTGAGAACCACTGGGTTGACTCACTAATGCTTTCCATGGATTTCACTCCTCATGGAGTCAGTCTCCAGGACTTTCTTTTCCCCGCTGCCTGAGTGTAAACAGTGTCTGAGGTTTGTGTCCTACTGTGTGGGGAGCCTTTTCGGACACTCTTCGCTGGGCAAAATATTTAATGATGCTGCTAATTTGATCTGTAAGTCTGTACTGATATAGATGAATTAATAAATAAATGAGGGGAAGAAGCACAGCTCTTCTTCACAGTTGATTGACAAGTAGAAGAAATGCTGGTGATTTTGCAATCATCATAGTAATGACTGGATTAGTCATGAATCCTCAAATGGATGCTAAATTTAAGTGCAACTTTTGAGACTTTTACTTGATATAATTTCCAACCCATACAGAAGTTGCAAAGAACTGCCAAATTTATCCAGGATTGTTGATTGCTAACATTTTGCCCTATTCAACTGTCTTTCTGTCATACATATCTATAGACATACATACACACAAACACACATGTGCATATATATATACTAATACACATGCACCATATTCATACCCATGCATGTATACAAGCATACATGAATACACACACACATATTTTTTCTGAATGCATTGAGAATAAGTGATAGATATCATGTTGCATTTATTCCAAAAACCACTTTAAAAGTAATTTCTAAAAACAAGAAAATTCTGTTACACACAGTATAATTATGAGAAAGAATAACTTTAACATTGATGCATAGTCCATTTTTAAATTTCATCAAATGCACTAATAATGTTCTTTAGAGCCATACATATTTTCCCATAAGTGGGTTCTAGTATCTCAATTCTAGCCTGGATAGTTCCTGAATTGTTTCATAGTCTTTTTAAAAATCTTCTTGACCTTGATATTTTTGAAAAGTATAGACTAGTTATTTTGTAGAATGTTCTTCGATCTGCGTTTGTGTGATATTTTCTGAATGCTTGGGTTCAGATTTTGCATTTTCGGCAGGAATATCACAGAAGTGACATGGTGCCCTTCCCAGTGTTTCGTATCAGGAGAAACCATGAGGTCACTTTGTTCCAATATAGATGATAGTAACTTTGGCTACTTGGCTAGGGTGGGGTCTGCCAGATTTCTCCATTGTAAATTTACTCTTTCTCTGATAGTAATAAGTAATTTGTGGGAACATACTTTAAGAAGGTGTCAATATCCTATTTCTCATCCAAGTTTCATCCATTAGTTTTGGCATCCATTTGAGGATTCATGCCCAATTCAATCATTACTATGATGATTGCAAAATCACCAGCATTTCTTCTACTTGTCAATCAACTGTGAAGAGGAGCTGTCTTTCTTCCCCTCATTTATTTACTAATTCATCTATATCAGTACAGACTTATAGATCAATGAGTTTTAGTCTATTGCTATCAATGTAATTCTGTGGTTCGAATTGCCTGGGTTTGGCCAACAAGAGCCACTCCAAACTGGTTCTGTGTTGTATTGACATGTCTCCATCATTTTCTAAACACTTTCTGACTTTCTAGCACAAAAGCTCTTCCAGGATCATCTTTTCTGGCTTGAGCCTTAGAATCACCATGTGTCCAAAGACCCCTAGCTCTTTTTAGTAAGGATGGGTATTTGAAAACCCCAGTCTGGGTGCTCAGTGCTGTAAGTGATCAATAAAATATATTCAAGCACAAGGTTGGGGATGCACCAGATACAAATCATCAGAAAGAAAATACAGGATTCAATGGACCAGGGAGGGAGGTAATTTGGAAATTGATTATCCCTTGAATTTGCCGGATGAATTGCCCGATGCAAATTCATTCACCTTCAGAGCTTCATTTGCAAGCGTACACAGTCTGGAGAAACTGGTTGTGCTCTGTTTCTCACAAGAGTTGACTTGGAAATAGTTTGACCAGGGAGCTGTGGCCTCTCCAGTGGTGTTTGCAAAGCCATCACACCGGAGCCACCTTCTGTGCTGCTGAAAGGAGGAGTCGGTGGAGGCAGCAGAAATGACAAAGTGCAGGGCAGCCTGAGCCTCCCTTGCCCAGCTCGGAGCCCCTTGAAATTGGCACGGTGATTGACTTCTTTGGGGGCTCAGAGCGTGGAGGGGAGAGGCCCAGCAGGAGCGCGCGCCTCACTAATTGCATTACGATTGCATGAGATATTGCAAGGTTTACTATGAACTGTTGGCTTCAGAACACAGGCTGGTGAGCTCCGGGAGCAGTTGGCAGCAGGAGAGGAAAAAACGACAATCATTTGAAGAGTCAGCGCGGAGCTGCAGCCAGAGCGTGCGCTCTTGGCCTGGCACTCCAACTTCTGGCTGAGGCGCGCGCTCAGCGGAAGAATCGCGCCGGTTAAAATGTTGGCAGGTTGCAGAAGGTATCTTCTCCTTCTTTTGTCTGGTTTTGATTGCAATAGTTTGGGAAGCTGGCAAACAGTTTGGTTTTGTTCTGAATATATTGGCTAGGAGCCTAAGCCATTTCTTTCTTTTTAAGCTATTTGAACTTGGACCAATCAGCTAGTTCATCAAGATAATTTATCAAGCCAGAACCACAATTAAAAATATTAAGCTTACAAAGCTGGCTTCTGATCTGATTATTAAACCACCTATTACAAATAGCCAAACTAGCACATAGATGTCTCTTTTGAATGCTCTAGTTACGACACCTTCTTAGTTATTTCAGACTACGCGGGTGCTGACCCTTTTAGACTGCAGCCCTAGAGTTTCTAAATAAGAATTTAATTCAAGTTGACTGGGGAGTTTCCTAATGATCCCAAAACTTTTCTTAAGCTGGAGAACTATTTTGTATTATGCCTCTAATAAATATACAGACAAACCCTCGTGCGCACCACTGGGAGAAAGGTTGTCTCCTAGAAGGCACTCAGCATCGTGCTGGCTGTTCCTATACCCAGTTGAACACCTGCGTGATCCTTGGCCACACGCCACCGAAAAATTCAGAATAGCTGACTTTTCAGACCCAAATGAACGTCTCATCTCATTTGAACATTCACCTCAGACCTTTAGAAATTATTGGAAAGCTAACCAATGTTCATAGTGACTATAAATTTAATATTGAATCTAAGTTAGACTAGTATTTTAAATGGTTATTATAAGATGCAAAGCCAAGATTGACTCCATCTATGCAAAAATGTGAAGAAACTTGTGTGGGTCCATGATGACATTCTCTGATGACTTTGTGGATGGAAGAATATCTTAAGGTCTTGCCAATGAGCCAGATGCACTCTTGTTGGGCTTATGTACATTTTGGGAAAGAAAATAAAAATTCTGATTATTGCAAAAATGAGAAATAACAATTAAGTTGCTAAAACCTCAGATAAACATCATTTTGTTGTAATTTATTCATTTATTTAAAATATCTAATCAGAAAAAAAATAATTAACATCCCACATCTCACAGCAATGGCCCAGGGATAAAGAAGTATAAAAATAGCACTGTGCTTGGATCTAAAATGTGTGCTGTTAATACAAATGCGATATTCACATAAGAGTTCTTGATTACCTTAAGTTGATATTACCTCTTTAGCTATGTTACAACTGGCTCCAACTGAATTAAAGAATTTTCTAGATGATCAATGCAGTAAACAGTTTGCCTCCAAAGAGACAAAATGCCAACAAAATAATTACCTCATGGCACTTTATGTCAATTATTTCATTTGTATTTAATTAAAAGCAGTCAAAACAGTTGGCTGAGGCATAAAAATTCCCTTAGCTCTATAGTTTTTAAATTGCCATAAGAGTGTTTTGTTGCCAGGTGTATAGTTGGCCTTTTGAAATAATCTGGAATCTATTTTACAAGCAAACCATTGGCTCTAATATTTCTGTTGTTATTTCTCTGGGGAGACAACTTCCTACGGTTATTCACTATGATCCATTAACATGGTGATGTGGCCAGCATTGGAGGCAAGTTCTTACGTAGCCAGTGGCCACAGGTGGCCTCTGCAGAGGAGCAGTTTCAGGTGGATGGCCAATGGCAGACCCAGGTGAGCGTGTTGGCATTGCTAAGAAGATAATATGGCAAACTGAGGCAATTGAAAATTGGAGAAGGGTTAGACGAGAACTGAAGAGTTTCCTGTACTGACCACAGGAAAGGCGGCCACAGGCAAGGTGTGCTAGCTGCTTGAATAATTTTCACCAGTGTGAAAAACTGAATGTTTTCCTTGTTTATTAAAACTGATCTACTATTACAGTACTGAAAAGCTGAGGTCATTTCCAACATGCTCTTTTCCTTTCCTTCATGTATTCCTCTTATACAAGAGATCACATCTTGTGTCAGCATAAGTAATGCTATCTGCTGTGATGAACATCACCAAACTGTCAGTGCCTTCATATAATGTAAGTTTCTTTGAAAGAGTTCTAGCATTTTAGTCCTGGTAGTCTGTTAAATGGACATTTGAAATTAACCCCACCCCTCAACTGCAAAAGAACCCCCAAAACAATAGGGGGAAGGGCAGGCACTCAGAGGGACTCACCCTGAAGGGGTTGGAATGATAAACCCAGCCATGTTTAGGTGTCCACCAGGGGCTGGGTGGACAATTCTTGCTGTCTTGTAAGTTTTGTGATCCTTTGTCATTTAAAAAAAGTCCATACTAGAAGAGGAAACGATTTTAGAGCCTACAAATATTGCACCTATTTCTCAGGTGCAATATTAAGTAATCTGAAGTCATTTCAGGACATGTCTCTCTTTTTTTCCCTCTTTACTTTGCCTTTTAAGAGTAGCTGCTTGAAATAGGCAAAGCATGTGTGTCACACACATGCTGCCCACAGAGCTTGACCCTATAAGAGACCCTGCTCCAAACCTGTCCCTTCCTATATGCCCCTGTCTAGCCTCTGCCCCACTCCTCACTCCGGAAGGTCCACTCTCCCTGAGGAAAAGGAGCTGGAATTAAAATTTTGGTTTTATTAGACATGTATGCATGTTTGACAGTACATTATGTAGTTTTGTTTAATCTTGGGCTTATAAAAATGGTATCATTCCACATGCAGCCTTCTAGGGCCAACTTTTTTTCACTCACAATTGTATTTCAAGATTCGTCCATGTTGTAAGCAGTTGTGGTCCAGTCACGTAATTTCTGTGCATGTTGCATTCTGTGAATATGTATCTGTTTATAGGCCCCGTTTTCCCAGCCGTGGACCGGAAGGCAGTCTGAGAGATAATTTCCAGTTTGTCCAGCATGAGAAGTTCTGCTGTGGACATCCCTTCACGAGTCTCCTGTGTAGTGTGGGAGAGTTTCCCTTGGCCCACATGTAGGCATGTGATGACTGGGTCGTGAGGTCTTTTATCCATCATCCCCTCACGCCTCCTCTGATTTTCCTTTGCACCCAGTTTCTTCTCTTTTCTCCTGCCTCTGGTCTTCTGCTCCCCAGAGGCACTCATAGGGAGGGCTCAGGTCCTCCTTGGGGTCCTCCCTGGGGCATGGCTTCTTCCCTGTCTCAGGCTAGGAAGACAGTGCTGACACTGGTCAGGTCATGGGCACTTAGTTCACAAGTAGATGTACTTGGGTCTGTTTTGTCTTCCAGGCTTACCCCAGACCCTCGTGGGCTCCAGAGGCAGGGTGGAAAGGAGGGCTCTGTGCCTTCTGCCTCATGTTCGTGAGCAAGACTTTCAAGGCAGGAAATTAGCTGGAAATGAGAGTAGCAGACAGAAAGCACAGAATGTGTCACATTGGACACTCAGTGGAGCAGCCTGGGGAGAGGGGAGAGTTCTGATGGTAACAGGCTTCATGTGTCATCATTGCAGAACTGATGGCTTTCACAACTTTTCTTGTACAATTGAGAGAACTCTCAGTTCCACCAGTGACGTGGGCATGCTCGTAGTAGTAATAATAGTAGTAGCAGTGGTAGCAACAGCAAACTCCGATGGAGCCCTTACTAAAGGCCATTACTGTGCTGCTTGCACTTATACAGGTATGCCTTGTCATTTGCACATCACTTTGTTGAACTTCACAACTTCACAGACACTTTTTTTTTTTTTAACAAATTGAAACTTGGTGGCAACCCTGAGTTCATCAAGTCTGTCAGTGCCATTTTTCTAACATGTGCTCACTTCATGTCTCTGTGTCATATTTTGGTAATTCTTACAATATTTCAAACTTGTTATTATTATGATGTCTGTTATGGTGATCTGTGATCAGTGACCTTTGATGTTACTATTGCAAATGTTTGGGGACATTGTGAACCATGCCTAAATAAGATTGCAAACTGTATTTGTCTTTTCTCACACTGCTAATAAAGACATACCCGAGACTGGGTAACTTATAAAGAAAGAGAGGTTTAATGGACCCACAGTTGCACACGGCTGGGGAGGCCTCACAATCATGGCAGGAGGTGGAAGACACATCTTACATGGCAGCAGCAGCAGGCAGGAGAAGTGCCAGCAGGGGAAATGCCAGACACTTATAAAACCATCAGATCTCACGAGAACTCACTCACTATCATGAGAACAGTATGAGGGAAACCACCCCCATGATTCAATCATCTCCACCTGGCCCCGCCATTGACACGTGGGGATTATTACAAGTCAAGGTGAGATTTGGGTGGGGACACAGAGCCAAACCAAACGATATCATAAACATACTCAATAACTGTGTTGTGTTCAGACTGCTCCACCAATCAGCCACTCCCCATCCTTCTTCCTCTCCTTGTGCCTCCCTTTTTCCTGAGACAAAACAATATTGAAATTAGGCCAATTAATAACCCTGCAATGGTCTCTAAGTGTTCAAATGAAAGGAAGAGTCACATATCTCTCACTTTAAATCAAAAGCTAGAAGTGATTAAGCTGAGTAAGGAAGGGAAGGCGTGTCCACTGCCAAGATAGGCTGAAAGCTGGGCCTCTTGTACCAAACAGCCAAGTTGTGAACACAAAGGAAAGGTTCTTGAAGGAAATTAAAAATGATACTCTAGTGAACAAAAAACATAATAAGAAAGCAAAAAGAACCTTATTGTTAACATGGAAAATGTTTTAGTGGTCTGGATGGAAGATCAAACCAGCCACAACATTCCCATAGCCAAAGCTGAATCCAGAGGAAGGCCCTAACTCTCTTCAATTGTATACTGGCTGAGAGAGGTGAGGAAGCTTCAGAAGAAAAGCATGAAGCTAGCAGAGGCTGGTTCGTGAGATTTAAGGAAAGAAGTCACCTCCATAGCATAAAAGTGCAAGGTGAAACAGCAAGTGCTGATGCAGAAGCTGCATCAAGTTATCCAGAAGATCCAGCTAAAAGCACTGATGAAGGTGGCTATACTGAACGAGAGATTTTCAAGGTAGATGAAACAGCTTATACTGGAAGAAGATGCCATGTAGGTCTTGTATAGCTAGAGAGGAAACCTCAGAGCCCAGCTTCAAAGTTTCAAAGTACATACTAATTCTCTTGTTACAGGCTAAGGTAGCTGGTGACTTGAAATTGAAGCCAAATCTCATTTATCATTCTAAAAATCCTAGGGCCCTTAAGAACTATGCTACTTCTACTCTGCCTGTGCTCTATAATTGGAAGAGCAATGCCTGGATGGCAGAACATCTCTTTGTAGCATGGTTTACTGAATATTTTAAGCCCACTATTGAGACCTACCACTCAGAGAAAGATTCTTTTCAAAATATTACTGCTCATTGACAATGCACCTGATCACCCAAGAGCTCTGATGGAGATGTACAAGGAGATGAATGTTGTTTTCATGACTGCTAACCCAACATCCATTCCACAGTTCATAAATCAAGGTGTAATTTTAACTTTCAAATCTTATTAGGTCAGAAATACATTTCATAAAGCTATAGCTTCCATAGCCTGGACATCATGATTGTCCTGATGCAGCCGGGCAAAGAAAATTGAAAACCTTCTGGAAAGGATTCGCTATTCTAGATGCCATTAAGGACATTCACGATTCATGGGAGGAGGTCAAAATATCAACATTAACTGGATTTTGGAAGAAGTTGATTCCAACCCCCATGGATCCCTATGAGGGGTTCAAGAATTCAGTGGAGGAAGTAGCTGCAGATGTTTTGGAAACAGCAAGGGAAGTAGAATTAGGAATTAAAGCCTGCAGATGTGGCTGAATTGCTGCAATCTCATGATAAAACTGGAAGGGATGAGGAGTTGCTTCTTATGGATAGATGAGCAAAGAAAGTGGTTTCTTAAGATAGAATATATTTTTGGTGAAAATGCTGTGGACATTGCTGAAATTGACAACAGAGGATTTACAATATTACATAAACTTAGTTGATAAAGCAGTGGTAAGGTTTGAGAGACTTGGCTCCAGTTTTGAAAGAAGTTATACTGCGGGTAAAACGCTATCAAGCAGCATTGCATGCTTCAGAAAAATCTTTCATGAAGGGAAGAGTCAACCAATGTGGCAAATTTCATTGTTGTCTATTTTAAGAAATTGCCAGTCACCCCACTTTCAACAACCACCATCCTAATTAGTCAGCAGACATCAACATCAAGGCAAGACTCTCAACTAGCAAAAAGATTATGACTTGCTGACAGCTCATGATCTTTAACATTTTTTAGCATAAGTAGCAATAAGGTATTAACTTTTTATTTTTTAGAGACAGGATCTTCCTTAGTCACCCGGACTGGAGTGTAACAGCATAATCATAGTTCACTATAGCCTAGAACTTCTGGGTTCAAGTGCTCCTCCTGCCTTAGCCTCCTGAGTAGCTGGGACTACAGGCGTGAACCACTACTCCTGGCTAATTTTTTACTTTTAATTCTTTGGGTAGAGATAGGTCCTTACTATGTTTCCCAGGCTGATCTTGAACTCCTGGCCTCAAGTGATCCTCTTGCCTGGGCCTCCCAAAGTGCTGGGATTCCAGGCATGAACCACCATGCCCAACCTTAAAATATTTTTTAAATTCAGACATGTACATTTTTTTAGACATCATGCTATTACACACTTAATAGACCACAGTGTAGTGTAAACACAGCTTTATATGCACTGGGAACCCAAAAAATCCACGTGACCCATCTTACTGTGATATCCACTTTATGGCAGTGGTCTGGAACCAAACCCACAGCATCTCCTTGGTACTCTTGTTGTGATGGTTAATACTAAGTGTCAACTTGATTGGATTGAAGGATGCAAAGTATTGTTCTTGGGTGTGTCTGTGAGGGTATTGCCAAAGGAGATTAACATTTGAGTCAGTGGGGTGGGAGACGCAGACCCATCTTCAATCTGGGTGGGCACCATCCAATTAGCTGTCGGTGCGGCCAGAATAAAGCAGGCAGAAGAATGTGGAAGAACTTGACTGGCTGAGTCTTCCAGCCTTCAACTTTCTCCCTGCTGGATGCTTCCTGCCCTCGAACATGGGACTCCAAGTTCTTCAGCTTTTAGAATCTTGAACTTATACCAGTGGTTTGCCACGGCCTTTGGCCACAGACTGAAGGCTGCACTGTCGGCTTCCCTTCTGTTGAGGTTTTGGGGCTCAGACTGGCTTCCTTGCTCCTTAGCCTGCAGACAGCCTATTGTGGGACTTGTGATCGTGTGAGTCAATTCTCCTGATAAACTCCCCTTCATATGTACATCTATCCTATTAGTCCTTTCCCTTTAGAGGACCCCGACTAATACACCTGCGTATGAATTCTTTAACCTTGCAGCAGTCCTCTGAGGCAAGTACTACCAGTGTTCTCCCAGGGAAGTGGGCTGCTGAGAGTGAGTAAGCTGCCCACCCTCACACAGCCTGTAAAGAGAAGGACCAGGATTCAGCCTCAGCTCCCTCCTTCATGGTCTATACCCCCTGTCATGACCCCAATTGCCCCTCCTGCATATGAATACAGGTGTATTCATATTCACAGAGCCCAAAGGAATGCAAAGAACATGAGACACTGTCTGTGTCTTCAAGGGACTTAGAGCTAACAACCTAAAGCCCTACCTTCTGGTGGTAAATGAGACCTGCAGAAAACAGGATTCATTCCTACAAAGGAAGAGGTGATGTTGCCCTCCTCGGCTGGCTGCTCAGTGTCAGGGAGGTGGTGGTGCTCCCTTCTCTGAAGGAGGGAGTGGGGTTTGAGTGAGAGAGTCCTGGACACTTTCTGCTGTGGCTGGTCTCGCCCAGAGCCCCAGTGTGTCTCACGAAGGGGCACCCCTCTTCCCCAGCACCCCCGTTCTGGGCAGAGTGCCTCAGATGACTTGAGCTATGTTTTCTTTGACCCCGCCAGCTTAGCTTACAGGTCCCAAGTGTGTTTTAGGATCAAAGCAATTGCATGGGTTTGAAGCCATTTGAAAGTTTTCTGAATGATGTAAATTGTTGTTCTATCCACTATAGGAAGGACATAGGTGTGTTTCCCTCTGCCTGAGAAATGTTTCTGAGACATTTTTCCTCCAAGGGAACTAACTAAAACCCCAGGAATGCATGGAAACAAAGGAAAAAAAAGACTCAGAAAACAAGATGGTGTATGAAAATTTTTTAGAACTACTCAAAGTCAGTAATAAAACTTTAGAGTGCTGTAGACTTGGCTGCATCATGAGGGCACCATTAATGGCAAACCTGGCACTTGACATAGAGGACATTTCAAGCAACTTAGCTGAAGTCACCTGCATTTTCTACCCCATATCCATCCCATATTTATTTGGAGTGCTTTTTGCTTTTTGCTACCCTTTCTGCAATGCTTCTTTCATAGAGGTTTCAACACAATTTTCCAAAAAAAAATTCATTAAGTAAACGAATAAAATTAAAATTAAAAAGAAGCTAACATTTCCAGTTCCTGAATGCACACAGTGGTGAACAATGGTTTATTCACAAGATGTCCCTGATTACAACTTTGAAAGTGGTCCTAGGAAGACCCTCTTTCTTCTGTTCCCTCCAAACTAGGCTCCATGGCACAGGCAGAAACAAACTGTCTTTCCCTTTCAGTTTCTTATAAAGGTATCGTGTGCAAGTTTTTCTTGTTATACGTCAACTTAAGTAGGCATCTGTATTTTTAGATATTTATGTAAGAGCGATCATAATTTTTACCCTACTCCAAACACCACTAATTCCTCCCGATTGTAGAAATATTAAGTTCTGCTATCATTTCTGGTTTGTTCAGCTGGAGCCATTTAATTGTAATTTTTTTCCAATGTCTTGAACTTCCAACAGTTTGGCTATCCATTTAAAAGTATCCATTAGCACAGCAGAGAGGATGCTGTTTTATTAACAGCAGGCCACAGCTGAGATTGTGCCCGGGCTGCCTGTCCAGGCCATGCCTAAATGATGATTCCGTGCCATCTTCCTGTGAGTTCACACCGAATTATGTATCTCTGCTCATGAAGCTTTTAGCAACTGAATGTCTATGGCCTCCTGATTTTTAATGCAGCTAGTTCAAACTATCACAATCTTTGCAGAGTCATTTGTAATATATTTATAGGAAACTATCATTCCATAGTGTTCTGAATTTCCTGCTTAGGATGCAATGGCAAAAGTCATTAAACATTAGCAGTAATAGTATTTTCACTGTAATAAAGTGTTAATTACTTCCACATGTTAATAGAGTTGGGGGAGGGAGTTTTTGCTATTGTTACTCGGCCTAAAATAATTTCCATGTGATAATTTTCCAGGATATCAAAAACTGAATAATTATGCACTAATTAAGAAAGTAGGGCCTGCTCTAGGAGTTAAGACTGCATTAATTTTAATGTTTTTACAGTCCTTTAATTGGAGAAAGGGCTGTAAATTGGGAGCTGAAGCACTGTTCCTCCTTAAGTAGGCCTGCCTTTGCAATCTGCCTCCTATATACGGCAACCCAAGGTCAACACAAGTTTGCAAAATCCCTCTGCTCTTCATACGAAATGTATTGGTGGTGAAGCGTGCATCGCTCACTCTGACAAGCATTTAACTCTCCAAAAGCACATGCTCTCACTTCTTAAATTATTAATTGCATTAAATACATTTTCATATTGTGGACGGTTTGCTACAAACTGTTTCCTGGTAGGGAGGTGCTGTCCCCCCACAGTGGGGATGACTCACCTTCTGTTGCTACAAAAGACTCAGTGGTAGGTTGGCGGGGCTTGCAGAGGAGCATGTCTGTCAACCCAGGGTTGGCCAAAGGAAGCAACCTCGATGGTAGTGGTGGTGTTTTCTTTATGGCTTGTGAAGTTTTTTTGTTATCATGTCTGTGTCCTCTTCCTTGGTTGGCCCTGCTACCTTGAGGCCAGTGCTCAGATGAGGAAGAGTGTGTCTTTCCTTATGGACCCTCTATGGGGATCTTCACTCAATGTCCCATCAGTAGCAGCTCCTGCCTTGTTAATATTGGGTCAGGAAAGTGGCAAAGAGAGCTGGGCATTCATAGGGGACCCGGTTTGTGAATAAAAGTCGGATTCAGGGCATCATAATGATCTTTTAGGAGTCCTACCGTGATGTCTCATACAGGCATTTATTTTTTGAGTAGCTACATTGTGCTAGACACTGCAGCAGGGAAAAATCCACATCACAAATTGGGCAGATTAAGTACTGGTGTCAGCCTGCCGTTGCAGAAATAAGCTGTGGGAGTCTGCCTGCCCAGGGCATGTGCGACCTTGACTGTGAAACCAGCCTTACCTGCTGAGTTAGAGGCAGAGTTGGGCTGGTGCAGGACACGCTGACAGAATCAACAGCAAGGTAGCTCGGCTTCCTGAAGGTGAATGGGGATCAGGACCTGGGCTAGGAGGAGCAGGTTGGAGGGAGGGTTCTAGATTCACTGACTGTGATCCTCAGACAAGTCACAGGGCACTGCAGGTGCGGCCTGCCTGTTCCAAGTCCTGTTGTCTGCCTTCTTAAGGGGCTACTCTTTGCCTGTCTGAAAGCATCTTTGTTTTCAGGCTGTCATTTGGCTGATGAAGTCCAAGAAGGTGATAATGACAGATCCAGGTTTACGCTTATCTCTTATCACTAACTTGGAAAATTAGCATATTGGAGTGCACTCCCTGTTTGTCCACTATGGATTTGTGTTGGGGACATCATTGAAATCCTGGAATGCAGAGTCTCCACAAAGACCTGGATGATTTCGGGGTGAAGGGAGTGCAGAGCAGAAGCATTTGATCTGGAAGTTTGTTGGGTTTAGGGTGGATTAGAGTTTGCAATGGTGTCATGGATGTCATTGTCCAGCTTGGAGCCAGGGGGTCTTTCTCCTGGGAAAGGATGAAGGAGGTCCCCTGGGGAAGAGGGAAACAGCATATCGGAGTGGCTGTAGTCTGGTGGGGCTGAGCCCAAGTATTGTGTGGGGGCCCAAGTCACTGACATTATTCCTGAATATTCTTCTTAATGTGGAATTTTGATTTTGGCCATGGGGTCATCTAATTGACTCAAGGAAAGTTTCTTTCTTTTTTTTTCCCCCTGAAAGTAGAATGTACATTTCTCACTTAGAGTGGCTTTTAAGGGATGCAGTATAACTGCCAAATGTGGACAAGATGACATTGTCTCTCTGAAAGTCTGGGTCCCACAGTAGAAGCCTAGTTGGTCTGTGGGTACTGGGAAGGCTGCTTAGGGCCCTCATTCACAGGGGTGGGAACGGTTCCTCTGAGTGTGATGACAAATGGAATCTTTTGCTCCAAGGAGCCACATCCCAAATTTACATCAAAACTTCCAGCAATATCAGTTTGGTCCTCCCATGGGGTGTCTTCACCAACTTTGACACAGGGCTTTGGGATCAAACATTCCAGATGGCATTCATTCATTCATTCATTCATTCATTCATTCACCACATTCAACAAATAGGTACGGAGTGCTTGCTGTGCACCAGGGACTGGTGTAGGTGCTGGGAGTACCAAAGTGAGCAAAGTAAAGGAGTATGAGGTCACAGGAGGGAAGCAAGGCAGATGTCCAGTACAAAGCAGCAAGACTGGAAGTCTCCAGGAGGGACACACAGTATGGGCAAGGGGGAGCAAGGAGGAAATGAAGTCAGGAGTTAATGGAAGGGCCTGATTGTCCAGGGCCTGTGGGCATCGGTCAGAAAATTGAACATAAGCTGTGTTGAGATGAGATGGTAGAGGGCGCGGGGTAACAGCTCCAGGAGACCCCTTCACTAGTCCAGATGAGAGGATGGTGGCTTGAATGGGGTGGGTGGGTAGAGGCATAAGAAGGGGTCAGATTCTGGGTCTGTTGTGGGAATCAGGCCAACTGAGTGTTTTGGTGGATCAGACATCAAGTGTGAGAGTAAAGAGGAGAAAGAGGCCACCCATGGTTGGCAGCTGGAAGGGTATATTGGCCACTTGCTGAGATGAAGAAAGTGCTGCAGGGTCCAGCTGGGGAAGGGGAATGGGCAGCTGTGTTTTAGACGTGTTAGGTTTTAATTCTCATTGGATAATGAGTAGAGATGTCAGCCAAGCTGCTGGCTATTGAGCCTGAAGCTTGAACTCTCAGGGGTCAAGTGTCTCTTAATGTTCTCCACAAAAAAATTTGCTTCTGTCTTACACTTACTGCCTTTTTTGAGGACTCTTACCCTTCTGTGGTCAGCTGAGCATCTTGTCTTGGAATGCTTGAAGATAAGTATCTGAGTAGAAAATAAACACTCCCTTTATAATTGGCAATTTAGGTTCAGACTAAGGAAACTTTCCCCAAAATAGGGAAATTGGTTAACCAGACAACCATACTTATCTTCCAGATGGGCTGGATGACACAAGTCTTCCTTACACACACAGTTAATATTGCACTGTGAACACCTGGTTAATGATCCTGTCCAGCTCCTGAGCGCTCACCTCACCAGTTGTCTACAATGGTTCTTACCTGCCATGCTCATTTGGGTGCTTATAAACTGCCTTTTGACAGTACATTCCTAGAAGGCAGGGATCAGGTGACATGAACTACTATTGTCTCCTTTCCAGTGTCTGTCACAGTGCCCTATGAACAGTGTGTAATAAATGGTTGGTTGGTTGGGTAGATGAATGAATAAATGACTGTAGTGACTAAAATATAGAGTGATACGGTTTGGCTCTGCATCCCCACCCAAATCTCATCTCGAGTTGTAATCCCCGTGTATCAAGGGAGGGACCTGGTGGGAGGTGATTGGATCATGGGGGTGGTTTCCCCCATGCTGTTCTCAAGATAGTTAGTTCTCAAGAGATCTGATGATTTGTAAGTGTTTGGCAGTTTCTCCTTCACTCACTCTCTTTCCTGCCACCTTGTGAATAAGGTACTTGCTTCCCCTTCACCATCTGCCATGATTGTAAGTTTCCTGATTCTCCCCAGCAGAACTGTGAGTCAAACTTCTTTCTTTATAATTTACCCAGTCTCAGGCAGTTCTTTACAGCAGTGTGAAAATGGACTAATACATAGAGGAAGAGTCTGTCCTCATGGAAGAAGAAGAAAAATAGATGTGTGCTTTTAATTTTGCTTAGCAAAAACTCCATTCATAATTCAGGGCTTTTTTGGTTTTAGAGTCAATGGAAAGAAAATAGGAAGTAAATGTATTAAAGAGAAGATGTGGTTTGGGGTTTGGCAGTCTGGGTTCTAATGTGACAGTCGATCTGAAAGATCTATTAATGGTTTAAATGCCTGTATTTAGAGTATGAAGAGAAAGAGAGACAGAAAATGAGAGAGAGAGAGAGAGAAAGAGAGAGAGGTGAACATTACAAAATTATATAATAAAGAGCAGAAGGATGATGATAAAGAAGTACAAGGTGACATAAACCCATCTTTAGCTGGATTCACCAATAAGAGTGTTAATTTTTTAAAATGCACTTCTGCTGCAGAGAATTGTTTTAGTACTGGTCCTTAGTTTATTAATCTCTGTCATCATTCGACCATGCATAGCCCTATTTTACATATGCATGGATTAATAATGTAATGAACACCCATAAACCCACAACTGACTGGAGACCTAGACTCTAGATGAATGACAACGACAGTCTCTGTGTGTGTCTACGGTCCTGAGTGTGGCCATTCTGGTTTACCATGTTGTTGGGGCACATTTACTGACAGTGCCCCTTGGACTCCCCAGAGGGTCCCATTTTGGACGATGCACTTTACAGTCATGCATTCATCCTCACCCTTGCTTTCTCTCCCCTGATGCACCTCTACTTTGAATTACATGTTTATCCTTTCCTTGCTTTTCTACAATTTTTTTCAAAAACAAGTTTTCTACTGCATCCTGGTTTGTTAAATTTTTCCAAGGCAGTAGAGAAAGGGAATTCAAAGAATAAAAAGCATTAGAAAATGTTTCTGTGCTCCCGTAACAAGTGGAAGTGTTGCTGGAAGTGAGAAATGTCCAGGTCATGGTCCCCCTGATGTGCCATTTAGTGGAGTGCCGTTTTATATTACGTACTGACGTGATAACTGATCATAGCTCCAAAAGAAGAGCTATCAAAACCATCCCAAGATGGTGATGTGTTGGAGCTCACTGCACGAGCTGTGCCGGCTCCCTCTTCCCGTCACCCCCCAGTGGCTCGAATTGCTCAGCACTGAGAGTCAGTGCTACCTCCAGGAAAGATGAGTCAGGCTTCGGGTGGTGGTGGCATACGTGGTAAGGCAGCTGGAGGCTCAGAAACGAAAATTAAATAACAATCAAGGAGAAAGCAATTAGAAATAGGAGTTCTGCGGGTCACTGGCGAGTCTTCCTCAAATCTGGAGTCAGGAGGTGTTAACCAAGAGTTCCACGTGCCCTGTGTTAAATACATGTTAGTTTCTGTTGCTCTGTATCAGGGATTCTCATTTTGGAGAATGGTAACCTAACACGTATTTGATTTTGGTTTTCACAGGAATCCAGAAAGGGAGAGAGTGGAGCTAGAGTGGCTTCTGAGTGGATAGGAATACTCATGACCTTGGCAGAACAGACAGAGTCCCGTCCACATTGGGGCTGCCCTGTGCCTCCCCTGTTGGGGAGAGAGGGAGTGGCTGCTGGCAGGAACTCTCTGTCTCTCTTGCTAGACCCTGGCTCAGCCTCAGGGCTTCTGCATTTTGTCTGTGTGGAGTCATCCACATCGGAGCCAACTGAGTGTCTGATTTAGCCAGGGGGGGATTCTTTCTGAAATTGGAAAGGTTCAGCATAAGTTTCTGAGAGCTGCATTTTCTGGGATTCTTGGATCATCCTTGGGAAGAGTCTTTTGTTGCATAACATGCCAGGATGGAGAGAAACATCAATGCCAATGCACTGTTGCAATGTCCTAGCGAATCTTTATTGAGTGCTACTAAATGTCGGGCTTGAGATCTAAAACCTGGCAAGATCCAATCTGCCCCCCAGATGGAGGTGGAGACGGCCTGATGGACAAGAAGGAAATGGCCAGCCGTGCTACTGCTGTGCTGTCACCAGGATGCAACGGGCACATTGTTTTGTCTGGGGAGAGAAAAAGGGAGTCCCAGGAGGAACTCGTTTGCTAGATTGGGGATGCCTGGGTGTTACCTGAGTGGGAGGGTTTGCTTCACGGACCCGGGGACTGAACACTGCTCCACACTGGGTATGACTTTAGAGTCTCACTTTCCTTACCCTTTAAATTAAACACAGGCGTGGTACATGAGGTCAAGGATGTTTTTAGGTCTAGCATTCTGTGTTTTTAAAGTCACTAGCTTGTAGTCTCCCAAGCTCATGACCTCCAAATTCCCCAAACAATTAAAGAAGTACATGTGTGCGTGAAAGACAACTTGGTGGAGGGTTGCCGCTTGCATTTGCCTGGAAAACAGATGGGATAATGGGATTGCTGGAAAGTAAGGGCTGCCCCTTCTTTGAGAGAAAGCAGTAGCCTGCTGTGGATTTGAGGATGTCTTCAGACACCATCTCTGGTTCCAGAAATGGTCAGTGACTTTGATTCACTGCACAAAGCAGTCACCCTGGCTGGGAGCCAGTCAGGGTCCTGAGGCTGCAGTGCACTTGAAGATGTCAGCGGGGCCCGGCATGAAGATGCCTTGGACCCATGCCCACCCTGGTTAGTGGGAACCAGCTGGGAGCACCTGAGGCCCCCGTTGGCAGGGCTCGTGAATGCCCCTTTAAGAAAAGGCAAGCTGCCAACCACAATGAAATATGCAATTGTCCATCTGTTGCTCAAATTAAAATTTTTTTCCTTTATATTGCCAAAAATTTCTCTAACTACTGTCCGGTGCTCTAACCTCAAGTTTGAGTGGGTCAGGAGAGTAGGGGATTGAAGAGGTTATTATTTGGGGGGAGCAGCTGAATTTAGGGACAAGGACTCTCACTGGTATGAAGGAGACAAAGGTAGAGGGTTCTAGATAATTTCAAGAAAAATACCATCATCTTTTAAAAACAATTTGGGAACTTTATAAATCACCAACTGTTTCTTGTCAAAAATCAACCAGATTCCTAAGAGGTCATTTTCCTCCTTTATTCCAGATAAGTTCTTGTTTCTAGGCCCCTACAGGGGCTGGGGCTGGGGCTGGGGCTGGGGCTGGGTTCTGCTTCAGTGATTCACTTTTATTAATAGGATAATATGTGTGTATATAAAATATATTTATGTATAAGAACTTTCTTTTATATACAAAAATTTACTCTTTCTCACACCTAAAACTCCGAGACTCAAATCTTATTTTGTCTCATGTTTCTACCCACTTCCCTCCTTTTTTTAATAGTAGATCTTACCCTTTGAATCAATTATTTTCTTCTTTCTTTTCTTTGGATGAATATTCATGAGTATGGAATAATCTTGAACACTGCAGAAGGAAGTCAGACATGTCAGGCAGAGATGCACATCTCTGGTAACTGAAGATAACCAGAAAAACTAGGTGGTTAAGAACCAAGCAGGAGGAGCCTGAAGGCAGCCCTCCTGGCCTTCTTGCTCCATGCTGCTAGGCACGGTACCCAAGGAGTTTGCCACAGTCTTTTGCAGGGAGAGTTTCCAAGAAGTCTCCAAGGATGGGATGAAGTGGAGACCCAGAAGTAGGGGCTGGGAGAAATAATTTGTTTTCCCTCCCACTTTGCTTCCCCATTGTGTTGATGGCAGGTGCAAGCTAGAGGGTGATGCCACAGGCTCCTGGCAAGCACCTGGAATGACTGCAGGACAGGGTGAAGTAGGTCCCTAAGGAAGCCAGGACAACAAGGACTCTGAGAACAGAGAGGAGAACAAAGTCCAATAAAGACTGGCAATGGTGTGTCTCACTGTGTTTCCCCCATCTGTTCCAGAAAGTCTTAATCCATAAAACCATTCTTCTTTGTTGTTGCTTTTATTGCCTCTCTTTGCTTTGAGAGGATATGTATGTTCAAATACCTCCTATGAAAATACCCTCCCTCAATGGTGGGGCTTCCCATTGGATAGTATCTTTCTTCCCCTCCTTCACAATCAAGCTTTTTGAAAATGCATGTTTTTATTCAGTCTTTACTTCTTCACTTGGCTTTTTATCCCACAACCCACTATAATTTATTGGATTTAACTTATACTTTAAAGTTTACTTATATCTAACTAAAACTAACATTCTAAGGGACATTTTTGAAGTATTTTCTCTGATCTCTGTTATGTGAATACACTAAAAGTCATTGAATTGTAAACTTTAAGTGGTAAGGAAATTAAAAGGAGTGTGAATTATATTGAATAACACCATTAAAAAATGTAACATGCCTTAACATTCACTTTATTTTTTCAAAATAAAAGAGCTATAACATTTTCAACATAAATGTTGCACATACTTATTTAAAAAAATGAAAATTCTGAAACAATGAAAAAAGAACAAGATAATTCCAACTACCTAAAATAACGGTAGTTATCTTTATTATATATTCCTTTCTTTCAGAACTCTCTGCATGTGGGCACACACAAGTTATAGGAAGACACACATTATATATAATACATGAACATATACTTATACATATGTACATACATTTACTTTGCATTTTCTGTATAGTATGTTGTAATATACATTATATTGTATGTGCACTATATATATGTATGTGTATATACAAATATATGTAGAGAGAGGGAGAGAGAGAATATGTATATTTTTTCTTATACGCTGTAATTGGCATTTGCTAGTCTCACAAACAAATTGGGAAGTATTTGCTCTCTTTCTACTCTTTGAGGGAGCTTGTGTAAAATTGATATTATTTTCTTCCTAAATGTTTGAAAGAATTCAACAGTAAAGTCATCTGGGTCTTGTATTTTTTTGTGTGGGAAGTTTTTAATGGAGAATTCAGTTTTGGTTATTGACACAGGACTATTCCGATTTTATGTCTCTTCTGGTGTCAGTTTGGTAGGTTATATTTTGAAAGTAATTTGTCCAGTCTGTATTTTCAAATTCACTGGCAGAAAGGTATTCATAGTACCATCTTATTACCTTTTAATGTCTGTAGAACTTGTGGTGATGACCCCTTCTGTATTCCTGATACTGCATAATTTTAATTTTTAAAATTTGTTGATCTTCTAAGGTCTTAGAGATATTGTACGTTTTTTTCCTCAAAGATGCCAAATAATTTTTACTTACTATATGTTTCCTTTACATTGCACTGATTACTGCTCTCATCTTTATTATTTCCTTTCTTCTGCTTTCCTTGGACTTAATTAGCTGTGGGTTTTTTTTGTTTTGTTTTTGTTTTTGTTTTTAGAAGATGTCTTTCTTTGATGCCCAGGTTGGAGTGCAGTGGTGTGATCATAGCTCACTGAAGCCTCAACCTCCTGGGCTTGAGCGATCCATCCACCTCAGCCTCCCAGATGCTTGGACCACAGGTGTGTGTCACCAGGACCAGCTAATATTTTTAAAAAATTTTGTGTGGAGACAGGGTCTCCCTATGTTGCCTAGGCTGGTCTTGGATGCCTGGGCTTAAGCAATCCTCCCACCTTGGCCTCCCAAAGCGCTGGGATCACAGGTATAAGCCACAGTGCTTGGCATAATTTTCTGTTTTTTATTTTTATTTCTTCAGAGGGATGTTTAGTGTTCAATTTGCAGTCTTTCTTCTTTCTTTTAATGTATATATTTAAAGTGACAAATTTTCCTCTAAGCATTGCTTTAGCTACATCTCATATAATTTTGTTTGTTATTTTTAGTTCAATATAATTTCACTTTTATATTTACATAGGTGGTTATTTTTTGGTAAACGGCCTTATTTCAAGCAATTGCAGAATTTTTAGTTATCTTTTTATTATTATTTTCTAACTTATGTACACTACGGACAGAGATCATGCTCTGAATTTTTTTAATCATTTAAAATCTATTGAGATTTGCTCAACTACTGGCATTAGGCATATTTTGGTATGTGCTACATGTGCACTTGAAAAGAATGCTTATTCTAACATAATTGAGCATAGTGTTCTGTCTTTGCCAATTAGGTCAAGTTTGTTAGTCGTGCTGTTAAAATCTACATTATTACTGTTTTTTCTCACTTTAATTACTTAGAAGGTGTGCTAAATCTCCAACTGTGATTGTAGATTTCACTATTTTCCCTTTTAGTTCTGTTACTTTTTGTTTCATAGATTTTGAAGCTATATTATTAGGTACATGCACATTTATGATTGCTATTTTTTGCAGATGAATGGACTCTTTAAAATTATGATACATTCCTTTTTATCTTTGGCAATAATCCCATTTTGAAATCCAATTTTTCTTACTTCAACATATACACAACAGTTTTCTTTTAATTAGAGTGTGTATAATATGTGCTTTCCCACGCTTTTGCTGTAAGCTTTCTGTGTTCTAACATTTAGGATATGTTTCTCCAAGTAGCATGAGATTGGGTTCTTCTGATTTTCACGTAGTCTAACAGCTTTTTCCACTTCATTTAATTAGAAGACTTCATCCACTGACATTTTGTGTAGTTACTTATATATTCAGGTATAAATCTACCATTTAACATTTTTAAAATGTGTCTTCTTAAAATTTTCTATTTTATTATTAGTATACTTAGAACTTCCTCACTCTAAAAATATTCCTCTATTGTTTTCAATTAACTTTCCTCTTCTTGAAACCCATTTCTCTTTTGCCATTTTAATCACTGAGATATCTGAATGTTCCATGTGCTTTCAAACCATTCTTCTCTCATTCAACCAACTCTTCAGTCTCCTTTGGATATTTTTCTTCCTATAGCTGACTCTAAATATTTGTCATTTCTCAGGATCCCTCCTTGGCACTCTTTTCTTTTACTCTCCAAATTTGCCCTGGGAAATCTTATATGTTCTCATGACTTCTGGTCTCCTATGACTACCATTGAATATGCTATAAGCTTCAGATGTGTATTTCTGACTGCATTGAGGATTTCTCTATCAGTATATCCTTTAGGCACACAAAAGTCTTTGTGACCAAAACTTAACTTATAAATTACCTTTCCACTTCTACTAGACCTGGCCCTCCTCCTTTGAGACCTCTATTTTTGGCAAATTACATCACTCTTAATACAGTTACCTGAGCCAGAAATCTGGAAGTCATCTCAAGCTTCTGGCTTTTCCTCACTCCACATAGTTTCTTGGCCAAACTGCAGACTAGCTCGTATGGTTTGGCTGTGTCTCCACCCAAATCTCATTTTGAACTGTAGTTCCCATAATCCCCAAGTGCCATAGGAGAGACTCGGTGGGAGGTAACTGAATCATGGGGATGGGTTTTTTCCCATGCTGTTTTCATGATAGTGAATAAGTCTCATGAGATCTGATGGTTTTATAAAGGGCAGTTCCCCTGCACATGATCTCTTGCATGCCTCCATGTAAGATGTGCCTTTGCTCCTCCACCTTCTGCCATGATTGTGAGGCCTACCCAGCCACACAGAACTGTAAGTTCATGAAACCTCTTTTTCTTCATAAATTACTCAGTCTTGGGTATGTCTTTATTAGCAGTGTGAGAGCAGACTAACACACTAGCCTCTTAACTGAGGCCTCTATTTCACCCCTTCTAGTCATGTTCTCCTATGGGTAATGTTAGATTTCTACTTAGTCAATGCTTTTCATTATCCAAAGGTAGAGTTTAACCTATGGCTTATGAGGCCTTTGCTGATATGGCCTATGCCCCTCTCTTATGACCCCCTACATGGTCTTCACACTGCATCCTATTGGTATTGCTCACAGAGGCCTGCACTTTTGCATGTGGCACCCACTCATGCACCATGAAATTCCGTCTGGAATGCTCATCTTCTTGTTTAAGAGTTCCCACTTCTTTCTTTCTTCAAGTATCAACTCAAGTTTTGCCTCTTCCAGGAAGCCTCTTTTGATCTCAACAGACCTATTTAGCGGTCTACGTTGTCTTGTGCTCTCCAAACACCTCATCTGTTCCTCTGTTATGGCACAGACGTAGTGCTTAAAAAAAATTGTCTGTCTTCCCCACTAGATCCCAAGTCCTAGGCTGTATTTCCTCAATGTTCTCATGTTCTCAATATGCAGGCACATATTGGGTACTTGATACTTGTTTGACTATTGAAAGAATAAAAAGTATGTTAAAAATGTTATTACTGGAGCTACTTAACTCTCAGGTTCAGATATATTTTTGGTAACACATTGAAAACAGATATTTCTCTGCTTTCATTTAACTTTCATTATTTCAACAAACATTTATTATGTACCCGTTATGTACCATGGCTTTTTTCACTGACTGGCAGTGTATCCTGGTGTTTTTTGAGTTGTATGTTATAATTATGTTACGACTAATCATCTCTATCTCATAGGTGAGGAATATAAAACAAAGCATCGATAAACTAGTTAACCAAACTCTTCAACCAGGAAGCAGCAGATTTAAAAATAGATCACAAGCCATTTCAGCTTCCTCTTATAAAGTTTCTCTATTGAATGACTCTGTTCGAAGCCTCAATACTGAAATTGATTAATTAAAATAATAGTGAATGACAGTACAGGGCTGCACATTTCTTTCCTCTTGGTTTTCTGTCAATAATGGAGTCTGGCTTTGACAGTAATCATGGTGGCTCTTTAATGAGTGTCTGTCACTGTAATAGATATTTACATCTGTATCTATTGCCTCATTTATTGTTTCCAGCCTTTGAGGAATAGGTATTTCTATCCCCATTTTGGCACTGAGGATACTGGAACTCCTGAGACCAGTCAGGTGAGTTGCCCAAGGCTGCCAAGATTGGAAGTGGCAGAGTAAGAGGTCACCTCTAGATCTGCTTTGCCCTAAAGCTATGGGATTTCTTTGGGTGATGCTGCTCCTAGCCAGCCATTCCATCCCTGAGGACACAGAAATGTGCCTATCCTCTATACAGCAGAGTCCAGCACACTTCCATATGTTAAGTCTGTGCTTTTACAAATGGGGGGCAGTGGATGGTGGCAATGTCTGCATGATGGTATTTGAGCAAAGAGCGGGAACAAAGGTCCCACTGCTTATTCTGGTGGAAATCTCCCTGGGGCTGTGGACATCAATATTTACTCTGCCGGATCTCCGGCTGGCTTGGAATCTGTCAGTAATGAGGTATTAGGGTTTCGACTCCAAGGTTTACCTGGATGAATGACGTTACCCTTCAATGGTTAAAGTAATTTCCCTCCAACAGAGAGGGCTTTTTCTCTAATGGGTAGTAGCTCTTTCCCCTAAAGCAACTCAGCTGTGGAGTGAATCAGGGTTCACTCAAGTCTCCCAAGTGGGAAAACATACACCAGGGGCCACTGGGGTAGATCCTGAAACTTCTCCACCACCTCAATGTGGAGAGCACAGGTTCGTTGTCATCAAGTGGCCACAGAAATCCTGGTGGTCTCCTGTGTCCTACCTCCCATCAGACTTTGGGATGGCTGAAGGGTAGGACCCACACGCTAGGGTGTTTAATCTTTCCAAGGGAAGCAGTGTCACGGGGCTGCACGATGACGGAGTTACTAAGCTGGACCACGAGAAGCCAGGATTATTGTTATGGAAAATGGAATGCTTTTCCCCATCTACTGAGGAGGAATTGCTATGCATGGACACTCTCGCACTCTTTAAGTACCTTCAAGGCCATTGCCCTCTCTGCTAAGCCTGCTTACAAGGAAAAATTACCCTTGTTCTCCTTTTGGAAAAGTATCTTTTCCAAGGTGGATTATTATTTGTCCAGTTGCACCCCGAGCACTAATCCTTTAATGTAAAGAATGATTAGGCTGAGTACTGAGGATAAAAAGAGATTAAGAAACAAGGCTCATGACTTAATTCTTAACAGTAAAACTATGAACAGAATCAATAAGACCACACGTATAATAATGAAGCTAGAAATATTGACACCGCTGCCAGGGCCTAGTTTTACATTAAATAGGAACTGTTCCCATTAATGCAAGAGAGAAAACATCTTTATAAAAATATCATAAATGGCCCTTTGAATTTAACTGTATTTTTCAGTCCCAGAAATGTAAGTTTCTTAGTTTATGGGGATGGGGAAAGAAGGTTTGTGTGTAGCAGTGAAGCAATGGAAGGCCTTATTTCAGGACTGAGATTTCAGAGCTGCACACTTTGCTTCGCAGTAGCTATTTCAATAACTCTGCCTTTCCAAGGAGCTTTTTGATGCCAGAAAAGGCCAGGTGTGACTGTAATGTCTTGGAAGAAGTCAAAATTTCAGTGGAAATTCAGTGGAATTTAGTGGAAAGAGCTCACTCGTCTTAGAAACCCGAGCCAAGTCCTGGCCTGAACTCAATGCTCTGTGACCCTGGCAGCAGGCCTGTGATCTCCCAAACTCCAGGGCTTATTTCATAAAGTGGAATGGCGCCTGCAACAGAGGGTTGTTACGGGCCTCAGGTGAGAGATGTGAGTAAGAAACGAAATACCGTGCCTGTCACATAGTCATAAATATCAGAGTAACCACTATTATCTCAAATGATAACCACATTCCCTTGAGGTATTTCCTAAGGTCCACAGTTACAAAGACTGACAACAGCCAGGCTGGGGAAGAGCTTAGCTGGGAGTGGGCAGTTGGTGTTCTAGACCTTGCTTTCTTCCTCTAATTGTCCATGTAATCTTAGGCTTAACTCCCTAAATCTCATTTTCCTCATTGGTAAATTGGAGGGGTTTGGACTAGATAATCACTTTTATTGTTTTAATATAATACAGTTCGATGGTTTTTAAAAAATTCACACTTCGCGTAATAATAGCAGTGCTTGGCATGTTTAGTGGAAATGAATAAAAGAGCTTTAAAAAATAGGCACTGCTAGGATAGTTTGCAATAATTGAGGCTATAATAGGTAGAAATGAGTCACACGGAGGATTTTTGGTTATTTTTCACTTAACCAATGAGAAACATCCTTTTCTAGAATTTTTGCTGGGGGTTAGGCAAATAAATTTTAGCTCTTGCCAATTCTATGTGACAACAGGTCCAGTCTTCCTGTTGAGAAGCAAGTTGCTCACTTTCATGCTTCTGAAGCATGTTCACCACCAGTGACCAGAGGAAGAAGTGCAGTGCTTCGTTTGTAATTCCTTCTGTTAACTGGGCGATCCAAACGTCCCTGGTGGGCAGGCAGAGCAGAAGAGGTGGATGAAAAGCTTGGAAGAATTTCTGTCAGGACTGAATGTGTTAAAGGCATAACTGGAAATCCACAAAAGAAGTTCAAGTGATGAAGGAAAATGAGCAAGTGTACAAATTCACCAATGACTATGCCAAAGGAAATTAAAGCAACTGGAAGTGAGCAGGTAGATAATATTTTATAAATATGATAATGCAAGGAGAGGGGCTGGCCAGGGCATTGCTATGGGTTGAGTCCTGTCTGTTCTACAAAACCATATGTTGGAGTCCTAACTCCCAGGGCCTCAGAATGTGACTTTACTTGGAAATCAGGTCTTTATTAGAGGTAACAAGTTAAAACGAGGTGATCAGGGTGGCCCCTAATCCAGTAGGACTGGTGCTCTGTACAACAGGGAAATTTGAACACAGAGACAGACATGCACGGCGGGAAGATGCTATGAAGATACAGGGAGATGTCACATCACGGGGGTGTTGCGTCTACAGGGCAACATAGGTCACATCAGTGGAGTGTTGTGTCTACAGGCCAAGCATTGCTGGCAAACACCAGAAACTAGGACGAGGGAAGGAAGGATTTTCCTCTAGACCCATCAGAGAAGGCTGGTCCTGCCAACACCTGGAGTTTGGGTGTCTAACCTCCAGAACTCTGAGACAATGTACGTGTGTTGTTCTATGCCCCTAGTCTGCGGTACTTTGTCATGGCAGCCCAAGGAAATGGATACAGGTGTGATGATAGTGGCAGATTCCTATACTACCCTCTAGAGGAGGAAATTATTTTCCTTTCTGGAGAGCAGTGTGTCAACATGAATCAAGAATCTTCAAAGTGGGCCGGGCGCGGTGGCTCACGCCTATAATCCCAGCACTTTGGGAGGCCGAGGTGGGCAGATCATGAGGTCAGGAGATCGAGACCATCCTGGCTAACACGGTGAAACCCTGTCTCTACTAAAAATACAAAAAATTAGCCGGGCGTTATGGTGGGCACCTGTAGTCCCAGCTACTCGGGAGGCTGTGGCAGGAGAATGGTGTGAACCCGGGAGGCGGAGCTTGCAGTGAGCCGAGATCGCGCCACTGCACTCCAGCCTGGGTGACAGAGTGAGACTCTGTCTCAAAAAAAAAAAAAAAAAAAAAAAAAAAAAAATCAAAGAATCTTCAAAGTGATGATTGAAAGGAAATATTCTGAGAAATAGTCAGGGATTTCTGTGTAATTACAGCCGTAAGGTACATGTAATAGCAAGAGGAAAATAAAAGAGACCAAAGCATGAGCAGGCATTGACCAGGGGAAGGGAAGGGAGAGGGGAGTGGCAAGAGGAGCTTCCAAGACAGAAGGAACGGTTCGAGTGATGGCTCCGAGGCTAGGAGAAGCTGGTTACTAGAAGAAGCTTCCAGAAGCTCTCTTGCCAGGGTACAAGGAAGTAGAAGGTGACATTTGGGAATGGGCTAGGGAAGAAAGAAGGTGATAGAAAGGTAGATAGAAGATAGGAAAATAGAAAGATAGAAAGAAGGTAGACCCAGGGTCTACCTTCAGAAGTTGGGATTTTATTTGAAAGTCACTGGGATTCCTTGGTAGGGATTTGTGCCAGGAAGTGATAACACTGTATTCACTGCTTGGTTTAAAGTCCTTCCATTTGCTCTCTGGAGAATGGACAGGAGGGAGTCAAACCTCAGGTAGGGCAAGCGGGCAGGAGGCCACTGTAGTAGCTACAGAGAGTGGACAGTGGCCGAGATGCGAGTAAGGCAGGGACCGCAGAGGGAACTGGACCTGCTCACAATGGGAGTTGGTGGTAGGCCCTACAGATCTGGTGAATGAACTGGATCTGAGCGCAAAGACGCAATCAAGGAAGACACCTGGGTTTTCAGCTCGAGAAACCGGCTGGATTCTGTTCTTATGGGTGGAAAAAAGGGGTTGGAACTACAGAGTTTGGGGGAACGGCAGGGGATTCCAAAGGTCCATTTTGCACGTGTAAAATTTATGTTGAGATATCCAAGTAGAGATCACAAGTAAAAGGAAAGCACAGACTGGAAATAAAATGCGGGGCCACTAGCACACAGATAATATTTGAAATCATGGAAATGGGTGCCATGGGCTGGGAACTAGAGAGAAAGAAGATAAAATGGAGACAAGTGATGTCACAGTGCTTCCCATGAAAGCTATTTTGAGAATCTGATTGATCCGGACTCAAAATATGCCAGCTCTCAGAGAATTAAATATTTGGAACTGGAGAGTAAAAATAACTGCATGGAATGAGCCCCCCATAATGGAGGTGGCACAGGATGCCACGTTTTGGAAAGGACTCCCAGAAGCTGGCTCTATGCAGAGGACATTGACTGCTTTTGAAGGATAGGGAAACATTTCTGTGTGAGTTGCTGTTATGGGAATCAGAAGTTTGTCCTTTGGAGCAGAGGCAATTTGAAGGAGGGGGCATCGGTCATTCTCAGATACCTGTGGTTAGTTCTGGTCTCTGATTCTCTAAGTCATGGAGGAAAGCCTCAGAAGGTATTGTTTTAAACTTTAGTATGAAGAGTAATTTTCCCCTCTTCTTTCTTCACTAGCCAACTAACATCTATTAGACACTACACCCCAGCCTCTCACTAGGTGTTCCGTGCACTTCATCTCTCTTAATCCAATTATTAGCGTTATCACTGGAATGGATTCCTTCACAAACCAGTAAGTACTTCATTATCAGAATTAGGCTCCACAGATTTCTTTTCTGCAGGATATGATTTTTTTTCATGTAAAAATAAGGATCATGAAGTCAAATACATTTGAAAAATGAGCATCTAAATACCTTGAAAGATGGTTCTTTACTGCAGAACGTCTCAGAAACTTTCATGTCTCAATGAGCTCTAAGAAGAAAAGCTAGTATGCCTCAGATTTTTTTTTTCACCAAGCATTTCATGGAATTGTCATTCTAAGGGAAACACAGTGCGCACTGCTGTTTCGCATTATTATAGCTTCGTTAACGTCAGCCATAAATTCATTTCTGGAATGCGTTTTTACCTCCGTTTTCAGGGGAATTATTTTGAACTGCAAGAGAAACATCATCAAGGGTCCAACAGACAGAATGTTAAGACTTCTGTAGTAAGAGGTTGTTTTACAGCTATGCATGATTCCAAGAATTTTCGAACATTAGATGATTCATTGTATGCCAAAGCCTTAAAATTAGAAATCCGATTGCAGATGTATGGATTAGAATCTATGCCTGAGCATGGTCTAGGAGCTACGCAGATGTGGAATGTATGTCTCTGCTACTCAGGGGTGCTAGAAGTACAAATTCTTCAGGAAATGCCAACTGCATGTAACTCACCTTTCATTGCAAAGGGATTTTTTGTTGCTTGCTAAGAAAGCAGAAGGCCCATTTCCTGAAGATCTGAGCAAATGATATATATCTTTCCCTCCTCCTGTTGAAACAAACAGTATGACGTCTAGTTGGTGATCAAAAGTACGTGCTGCTGGGGAAAATAGTGGGAAAGTTAACAAAGACAGGTTACATAACAGCTAACAGTCACATTGTTCAACTTTTTTTTCCTGCTCCAATTTCTCTTTTGCCATTGCATTAATTAGACATTTAGGTAAATGATACAAGTGCCCCAATTTTTTATATCTGCCAGGAGAACAATTAGGCCATTAGAAGTAACAAATGGTCTGGGCTCATGCTGCCTGTTGAAAATTTTCAAGCTACATTATTTCTGACAAGAAAAAAACAAATAATAGTTGTTTTGGCCAATTTTTACCATAAGCAATGTCAGCTTTCTCAGATGCAGCCGGCCCGGGCTTTCTCTCTGTTGTCATGCCTCATTAAAGTATGCTGACTCTCGCGGGTTCCCATTCCTTTAGGTAAACAGTTATTTACATGAACTGCGACATTTTTCTTTGGTGACAATTTCTAATTGTTCAGGCAACCAAGGGTGATATATTAAACACTTGGAAAAAGGCTTCACCTGTGAAACAAATTACTTTAAATTAACTATCCTTTCAAAAGAAAGGCAAAATTTCAAGATGGACAAATTAGACCCTTCTCAGGCACATATGGTAAGTGTTTCAAACACGTCCCTGCTGGCCCCCACTCCAGAGAACAATTCTTCATGATGGAGTGGAAGACTTCCTGGCTCATCTGGGGGTCCTTTCCATGCCAGCATTTGCCTGCACTGTGCTCAGAAGGGATCTTGTGGGGCTGAATGCCCGTGCAGTTTCCCCAGCATTTGTGGCTTCACTAACTCCGTAGCCTTTGCTTCAGAAGTTTAACTCTTTCGAGGTATATGTTGATACAGACTCTCTCTGCAGAGTCTCCAATCCTTTGTTGCCCTTCATCCATGATTTCTGGCAACTTAAGAGGTCACGATGTATCTGTGTAAGTCTGTCCATGGGCCACACCCATGTGTCTTCTCTGCTGGGTCAAGTGTCCATACTGGGACAGGACAGGATAAGGTAAAATTAATCACCAACACCTAATTCTGGATTGTTTGTTCAGCGTAGGGTACTGGAGCAGGTGCACTGAGAGTAGCATATTAAAATTCAAGGTCAGATCCCTAGTGTACTGGGTTGAACAGTGTCCCCCCTAAATTCGTGTCCTTCCAGGAACCTTAGAATGTGACCTGATTTAGAAATAGATTCTTTGCAGAGGTAATTAATTAAAATGAAGTCATAACGGAGTAGGGTGGGCCCCTAATCCAATATGACTAGTGTCCTTACAAAAAGAGGAGAGACACAAAGACACATTCAAAGACAAAGGCAGAGATTGGGGAGATGTGTCTGCAAGCCAAGCAACACCAAGGACTGCTGTGCACACCAGAAGCTGGGAGAGAGGCATGAACTTACTTTCCCTCTGAGCCTCCAGAAGGAACCACCTCTGCCAACGCCTTCACCTGAGACTCCCGGCCACCAGAACTGTAAGGGAGGAAGTTTCTGTTGTTTGTTTTAGACGCCCCCAGGTTGGGTGAGTTTGTTATGGCAGCCACAGGAAACCAAAACACTCACTGGAAACAAATTTAACTGGGAAGGGAATAATAATCTCAACACCCAACAGTGTGGAGGGGGTGCAGAGGGAAAATGCTCCAGGATCCCAGAAGGCAGATGCCAGGGAAGTTAAGGAGAGGCCAGGCAGGGGCTTCCGGAGCAGGGTGCCAGGATGCTGGGCAGGACCATGGGACGTGGCTTTAGGTGGGAGAATGGGATGAGCTGGAACGGGGTCCCTCTGAGATGAAGCTGAGCAGGAGACGGCAGCTAGACTGCGTGTGTATCTAGCTATGCCCATGAGCGCTGGGGTTCCAGTCGCTGCAAACACGGTCATTTGGGCTATCCCAGAAGATCACAGCTTCCCATGGCTTTCTGTCCCTTGAAATCCACATATCAGGTGTCCCTCTTTAACAGTTTTCTGTTCAGTGTCATTTGAATGAATTTTTAAAAGAAGCACAAACATTTTCAACATGCAAAATCAGAGTATACTTTTAATATAGTTGGGGAAATTTAATGAGGACTTATTTGCCGCTACTCTTTACGGTGAACACAAGCAGACTGAGTGATCCTTAAAATGGGCCTGAACTTCAATGCCTGTTTCTGCTTCCCGTTGACATTGAGTGTACAAAACCCCAAGCTGACATCCACTTGCCTCTTAACCATGTCATGGATGAAACTATGAGGAGACCTGGCCTGAGCGTGGAGCTGCTGGTTTCTGCTGCTGCCCCTGGTGATTAAAGCGTAGACCGTGCTAGATCTTCACTTACTCGGCTTTGAGTTGAAAAGTATTCTCTATACTATTGTGGCCTCCCATTTCACTGCTCAAGCAAAGCAGCGAGGACTCTTCCTGTGTCTAGGGGAGTCTATGTCTTTGCACACTTTATATCATAGTGAGAACTTGAACTAGCAAATAAGGACATGGTAATGCTGAACTTGCAGGCTGTTCTTTATTCCAGGGAGTGAGTTAGCATCATCTGAAACAACAACCGGAAAAATGTCAGGAAGCTGGAGGAATAGGCAATGAAGAATCAAACTTCACTCTCCTCTCTGCAGTCTGAGAGCCCATCACAGACATTGGGCAAATACTCTCTCCTACAAAGAATGACACCTTGCCTGGGGAGGGTGGGCTGGACCAGGTCAGCCTAGGGACAAACCTCTCTTTACAGTGGGGTTTGCTTTGTGCACGACAGGAAGAGATACAGGTTTCTCAAACCAAACTTTTACACACAAACATCTGTGAGATGCTGCCCAACTTGCTCTCCTGCTTTGAGAAGATCAGAGTGCAGGCGCAGGTTTGCACCAGATGATGGAAAGGCAGGAGGGATTGTCTCGGTCTGAACATTTCTCCAAGAATTTCTGTCCAATTGCTCAGATTTCAGAAACAAGATCTGCTGAAACAGCCACTGCAATGGTTGGATTGTGACTTTAGATTTGATTTTTTTTTCTGGTGGGTTTATAACTAGGGTAATAAATATTTATCCTTCTGGGCTGCTAGAATCAAATTGCATGGGTAAATTTACCCCAGGCTCACCTGAAACTACTGCCCATGGCTCTGAACTGAGGCTGTTTTCCTTCTAAGGTTACTTCATTTAGGGGTCAGCCCTGAAGAGAACATCTGGTTTTGTTTCTTTCCAGAAAAGAACATTGTTTCTTTCCAGAATATGTATGTTCTTTCCAGAACATGTATGTTCATCTTTGTGAATATCAATAACTGATTTGTGCTGTCTGTAATAGAGGACCATTTTGGGGAAGTTGATTCTCACCATTTACTAAGAAATGAGGATGGGGCATTTTTTGATCATCCATATTCTGCATGTCTGAATTATTTTTAGAGTTAAATAGAATTCATTGAAATTAGTGTTTTCCTTCTTCCATAAGAACTTTGGCTGATATGTCTAAGAAATAAAGAGGAGTGGATAAAGCACAGGTCAGAATTTGGAAAAGATCCTGGAAGGAGTAAATCTGAAATCTAAACTTGCACATGCGAAGGAGCCAGGGTGGGTCGATTTTTATACCTGAGCTTTTCTGCCTTTTGGAAGGTTGCCTGATGAAGCTCTAATAGGAATTTCTAGTAAGAAACTGATTAAGGGGAGGGACAGTGGGGAAAGCATCAACCGCATGCAGGTGTCTGGACCTGCAACAGAGTTACAACCCAGCAATCCATCAACAAACAATGGCGGATGGCTCAGTGAGGCGACAGAGCCCACACTGTCCCTCCGAGCTATTCCAATCTCTTAGGAAAAAGGGGCACGACTTTGCTTGGCCTTTCTCATGTCAGTGACAGATAGCTGGGTCCACAGCAGACTCACATCCTGACAGGCTCTGTTACCACGTTTGCTCCTGAGAGTTCATGCCTGTCTCCATCCTCCAGCCCAGTGGGCTCCACTGCCAGGAGCCCTCGGGGGATAAGAAGCCGAGCATAATCCACAGGTGGGATTTGCTCCCAGGCATTAATTATGCTGTCCTTCCTTTAAATCTATTCATTCATAAGTAGTTTTTGAGTGCTTACTCGAAAGCGCCAGGGTTCACCACAGTTCCAGAGTACCCGAAGGTGACAAATGCTATGGGTTGAATTGTGTTGCCACCGCCCCCCACCCAAAATGTTCAATTTCTAAGCCCCAATACCTCAGAAGGCAACCTTATTTGGAAATAAGCCTGTTGCAGATGTAATTTGTTAAGGTGAGATCATAATGAAGAAGGGTGAGCCCCTAATCCAATACAGTTGGTGTTCTTGAAAGAATGCAGTGTGACGCCAGAGGCAGCTATTGGAATGATGTTTCCACAACTTAAAGACACCCGGGGCTTACAGACTTCAGAAGAGGCAAAGAGAGATCTTCCCCTGGAGGCTTTGGAGGGACCCTGGTCCTGCTGATACCTTAATTTCAGACTTCTGGCTGCCAGAACTGTGAGATAATAAACTTATATGGATTTAAGCCACTCAGTTTGTGGTACTTTATTATGGCAGCCCTAAAAACTTATATAACAGACAAAATGTTCAAAATATTTTTATATGTTTATGTATATATGCCAGGGGAACTTGATCAGCAAAGCACAAGACAGACGACAATGACAGAAAAATCAAATATAAAGGTAGCATGATATAGCTGGCAGAAGACCTAATACATCTATTATTCTAATAAATAGGAATGGAATAAATTACTGCATTAAAAGGCAAAGATTTAAGTCTAAATAAAAGGAGATAATCCAACCATATATAAGACTACATGGTGGCTAAAAATATACAAGTCTACTGCATACCAGAATGAATTAATATGGCAATAAAATGAAAAAGTCGTTAAATGGAATAAGGATATATATTTTGTATTGGCATCCATTATGACTAATGATGAATTTTGTAAGAGGTTGGTAACGTGAAACTAGTTTAGTCTCAGAGTTGGCTGAGGCCCCAGGATGTGGGACTGCCGGTTCCTGCTTTCCAAAAGTGAGGGGTCAGCCCACCTGTGCAGGAAGTGCAAACAGGGTGGTCAAAACCCAGTTTTCCGGCTCTTGGGGAATTAAAGGTCCATGATGGCGAGAGGGGAGGGGGATTAGAAGGTTATTTCTCTGGAGAGAATTGTTGGTTGCTGTGGGTTCCTCCCTAACCTTTGTGCCAGTGTGGGCTTCTTCTCAAGCCCTCGGGGAGAGGCTCCTGGGAACTTGCTGTGTGGCCCCTGCAGCTTAGGGCCTGAAGGCTGGCTGCAGCCTTGGAGCTCCAAAGGGTGAAAGGCTGTGGCTGCCGCGCCCTGCCAGGCAGTTAATGAAAGGAGGGCTGCGGTTAGGAGTGACTGCAGCCACTGGGCATGGGGCTAACCGGCTGTTTTGCCATGGCCCAGGCTTTAGGTCGAGGTCCTGGCTGAGAGGTGCTTAAAGGTGATTGACCCCCGGTGTTGGAGAGAGAGAGAGAGAAGGGAAGGAGGAAGATAAGGAGGAGAAAGGAGAGATTGAGACCTGAAGCCTGGAGGTGCCAGGGCTATAATCCCTTCCCCTCTCCCTCCTCCCTCATTTGATCCCTGGAGTGGGCAGATGGCAGCAGGCCTGGGGGTTGGGGGGACAGGGGAGGAGCTGGCAGAGCAGAAAGAAGGAGGCAGGGGCACTGACTCCAGGCTCTGTCTGCGGTAGGTGTGAGCTGTGGGAAGGATCGGCTTTCATTTTATGTGAAGCTAGGAGGGTGAAAATATTACACTGGACAGATGAGTCTCTGAACTGAAGCTATTTTTGTAACCAGAAGTGACCAGGGGATTTGCTCTTACCTAAGAATGCCAGAAACGTCATAGGACTTGCCCTAGATTGAGTCTGGAGAACAGAGAAGAAGCAGCCTTGGAGTGACTGGTGTAGGTGGAGACAGAAGGAAGTTGTTTCTCCATGTTTCCTGGGTGACCTGCTTCAGTCTAATGAATATAAACTCTAATAGCACAGAGCATTAGATGTTAATAGTGACTACAGATCAAGGAAATATTGGTAGATATTTGTGAGTGACAAAAGTACCATTTTAGTGGGGGAGTTTGACACTTCTTGTTAGTATCAAGTGAAAAATATTATATGATGTAAGAAATTTCAATAATATAATTAGTATATGGAATATTAATAGTATAATTAATATATAATAAAGTTTATACCTCCCAAAAATAGACACTATTTTTAAATGTCCATAGAACATTTAGAAATTTATCACATGTTCTAAAAGAAAACATCCATATATTCCCCCAAAAGGACTATATGGACACAGTCTGTCATGGCAATGCAGAAAAATAATAGCAGTTTATAAAACAATATCAACAAAACAACTACTTGGAAATTAAAAATATTTTCCCATGAATGGAAAAGATAGGTCAGTAAAAATGGGAAAAAGAAACAAACCTCAATTACAGTTATTGAAATAAATAATATGAGCATGGGACATAAGAAGCCTCATGGGATGTGGCCACAGCTGTATCAATATGCAAATGTGTGGCTGTTAATGTTTTTAATATTATCAACAATAAAAAACACCATTCCACTCAAGGAGACACAAAAATCGCATAAGTTGACCTGAGAATAGTAGGAGAAAGGAGGTGATAAGAATAGAATTACCTATTAGAATGTTATAGAAACATTAAACAATGTTTGGTGAATAAAATTGACTGCTGGTTTTTTGAAAAGACAAAAAAAGGAGCATATCTTCCCATTAATAAGAGCAAAATAAAATGCAAAAATCACTTTCCCATTCACAGTGTTGGCTGCAGGAACATATATGACTAGATGCAGAGATGATGATCAACGTAAGACAGAAAAACCTGAATAGACTCTTTCACCATCTGAAACTAAAGCCCAACACTACAAAGCAATTTCCCCTCTACCACTCGAAACTAACAATCACCACTGGTTTCAAATGGGATTTTCACTTCTTTCCAACTTCCAAGCTACAATTAATTCCTGGGCAGAGAAAAGGAGGAAATCTTTTCAATTCAATTTGTTAAAATGAGAAGATATTTGATGTCAAAGCTAGATAAAGATATTTTTAAACCCACCGTAAATCAATTTAACCTATGAAAATAGATATGAACATCTTAAATTAATTTTGAGCATAATGAAAGGAGGAGGTTATTCAAAATGATGACTAACATTCACATAAGTGGAGCATGTGCTTGTGCAGTAGATCTCATGGAATATTCTGGAAGGTCCCATGGCCTGGGCAAGTCAAGGGAGTTGCTCATTGTCATACAATCAGGAAGTAGTAGAACTGAGATTTGAACTCAAACTTTTCTGACTTGAGATTCCAAACATGAGAATGATGTCCTGTGGCTATTTAATAGTACTCCCAGTATGCAACAAGGAATCATCCGAAGATACCTGGTAGCACCTATTAACTTTTTTAGGGCACTGGAAAAAGCACACATGAACATCTTGTTTAATGCAGAAGAGTTATTTGGTGAAATTTAACATTTGTTCTGGATAATAATAACAAGGAAAAAAAGGATGTTTCTTTAACATGAAAACAATATTGATATAAGACCATCCCTCCACTTTCCAGATTTCTCTAGGATCATGTCCTCTGCAGTTAGCAACAACACAAGATGAAACGCCATGAAAGCTATTTTAAAAGGCTACTTGTAAGTTTTAGAGAATTTCTTTAAAAATGTAAGAAAAGTGACCCACAAAGGCTAGAATGGAGGAGATAAAATTAGCATTGTTTGTAGTTGATGTGACTCTATTTATGAAACTTAAGGGAATCAATGAAAACATATTAAGATTAGCTAATTTTTAATAATATTAACTAAGACTAAATATTTTAACTAATATTAAACTACTGTGCAGAAAACAATGGATTTTGATGTTACATAAACAACTGAAAACATATAATAACAAAAAGACCTTATTTATACTAGCAACTGAAATGTAAGATATGTCTGAATAAACTTACAAAATGTCCTAGAAGAGTATTAAAATATCTAAAACTTTGCCAAGGGAGAGGAAAAAAAGACTTAAATGAATATAAAGAATAATATTCCCGTATGAGAAGATTTAGTAGTGCAGATGTTAACTTTCGCCTAATTCATCCACAAATTCAATGAATAGCCAGTTCTAGTCCCAGTGAGATTTGGGGTGGAACTTAACAAAATGTTTTTAAAGTTCATCTGGAAAAATAAATGGCTGAGAAGAGCCAAGAAAATTTTGAAAAATAAGAATAATGAGAGAGGACTTGACCTACTAGATATTAAAATACTGGCGTGATTAAGACAATGTGCTTTTGGTGTGGGGATAAATGAATCAATAGAACAGAAAAGAAATTTCAGAAAGAGGCATAAATAATGGAGTATACAATAAAGATGGCATTTTAGAGGAGTAAGAAAAGGATAGGTTAATTGGTCAACAGTTTAGGGTAACTAGTTAAGCATTTGAAAAAAAAATTAGATCTCTACCTTACAATGAAACCAAAAATAGGTACCAGAAAGATGAATATTTTAAGCTTAAGAATAGATCTACATTAGTACTAGAAAACATCTATGTAGAAGTTTATCTACTCTTACTGTGACAAAAGCTTTTTAAAGTGTGGTATCACATGTAGAAACTAAGAAAGAAAAGCACATAGATTTGAATTTCCAAAAATGCACTTCCAAGTTAAAAAATTATAATGCAAATAATAAATTATGATGAAATTTTTGCAACTTATATTACAATTCCAGTGTTAACATCTTCAATTTATAAAGAATTCTTTTAGTCACTAAGACAAATATAAGCTGCAAACCCTCATCATTAGGAATTTGTCCTGGTACTCACAAAGGCCTCTTTCCTTCTTTCTCTCTCTCTGCACTCATGTGCACATGCACACACACCAGTATTTTCGTTCTGGTACTGTGGTATTGTTAAGGTAACAAGACCCAAATAAAGACGATCAATGTGTCCAGCATGGGGAATGGTTAAATAAATTCTGGTACATCTATATGATAGATACTATGCAGTTGGGAAAATAATATGGTTTGTGGTTATATGAGAAAATCTCTAATCTATGTTATTAACTATGAAAGCAAGGTAAAGAGCTCTCTCTCTCTCTCCATGAGTGTGTGTGTGTGTGTGTGTGTGTGTAATGTGGTTTATATGGTAGAAAACGACAGTATTTTCAGTGACAATCTTTCGAAAGAGGAACTGGAGTTGGTTTTGAGATTAGAAAGAAGGCATGCTGTTGAATTTTCTAATATCTACATATTTTGTTTTTTTAAAGTCAATAGAGATCATTGGGGTGAGACTATGAAGAAGTTTAGCTTTCTTCCTTATGCTTCTCTGCAGTTAAAATAACAAACTAATAAATATTAAATAAAAAATTAAAGTATGGAAAGAAAAAATATGCAGAAGATTTAAAAGAGTAATTAAAGAGGAGAAATATAAATGGCCAATAAGCATAAAATCTCTAAACTTGCCCAGTAATAAAATGCAAATAAAAATATTGTTTTACTTATAAAATAGCTTATATAAAATTTTAATTATAAAAACATTTTAATGGTAATATCTGATGCTGGGAGAGTATTGGATAATGGACACAGATAAAGGTAAAGCATGTTCGTACAGTCTGTTGGTTAAAGATTTCATGGTATTTTAAATTCCACTTTAAGATTTATCCTATGGAATTAATTATAGATGTTTAGAAAGACTTGGCTTCAGAGATTTTTGATGCAGCATCTTTAATGATGGAAAAAAAATGCAAACAGTGGTATATTCATGGTACGTTCATACCACGATATTCTAGGCAACCACTCAAGATTGTTATGAGAAAAAGTTAGAAAAACTATTTGTTATAAAATATTTAGTGTAAAATGCAGGAAATATAACAGTATGAATGGCTTGATCCAAAGATTAATTTTAAAAGTGTGAATTCTCATGGAAAAAGGTAGAAAGGAAATGTGCCAAAATGTTAAAATGGATGTTTCTTGACCATGGGATTGTGAGTACTTTTTATTTTTCTTCTTCTTATTCTTAAATTCCTGCAATCTTGATTCCAGGATAGCTTCCAGAGAACGGGGCATTTCATTCATTCTTTAATATATTGCATATCTCCTGTGTCCTGTGCATGATGCAGCTCCTTCAGCCTAGGAATTCACAGTCTAGTGAAGAGAGACACACCTGGAAGACAGCAGGGAGCAGGAAGGCCGTTCTAAGTTCTGCAGACCAGGGAAGAACAGCTGACCTGGTTTGGGGCAGATAGGCATGACAGGGAGCAAGATCTGAGCTCAGTTTACCCCTGGACATGCTTAGAAAGGCTGTTTCAGGCATCTCCCAGGTTCCTGGCTAAATCTTTCAAATGTTCTCCAATTCTATAGCATGCAAACACTAAAAGGGCATGAATTTCATCTGCAGTTTCTGTTCTTGCACACACAGGCTCAGGAGTCCTTTCTGGAAGAATGCGTCAGTTTGCCATGGGACATCCCCTGATCCTAACCCCAGCCTCAGGAGCAAGAGGCACCTGTCTTAGAGTGAGCAGCCAACGGGGAGGTCCTTGCTTCTGCACTTGTAATATAGGCCTCCTGGGTTAGGCTGTGAAAAAGAGCAGAGGCTAGGTGGGAGAGGACCCCATGCGATGATAATAATGAGATACAGCCCTTCTCCATACCACCAGTAGTAATTTTATTATTTCCAGATTTCTTTGAAAGGCAGCTAAGGTCTGGCCAGTTCTGCAGAAAATATTTTGGACAGACAGGAGGCTAAACCCAGCTCTTTCAGCACAGTGCCTTGCAGACGGCAGATGAGCAGTGAATAGCCTTAGGATATTGACTGAAGTGTCGTAACACCTTGGCCTTGGCATTGACCTGCTGTGCCCTGCCCTTGCCTGGTCAGGCGCCTCCCGCTTTGCCATGATGGACATCACACCCTCCACAGGGAGCCAGAACCCTCACAGCCCTGTATTCTCTGCCTTGAAGGTTTTCCCAACTCCTTCGTAAAATTTGACTTCCCCTTTAAATCCTACCTTAAAACGTCCATTGCCTTCAGTGTCAATTGCTTTCCCCCATTCTTCTTGGGAGAGGTGGCTGCTCTTTTACCACACTCTATTGTCAGTTTTCTGTTTCCATGACAGCTCATTGACCATGAGGCTTGATTGTTCCTGGGGCAGATACTCAGTAGTTGCTCTGAGAATCAATTGGCTTCCTCTCTTGTCTTGAGCTAGTTTAGGCTTTGCACTTCTCTATGCCCCTCTGAAGAATTCACCCTCTATATTTAAGCAGAATGGCTTAGCAAGGTAGTGTGTCCTGAAATAATATACTCCTTCTCCAAACACGCACACACAGTACATGCATGCACACGTGCACATGGGTGAGTATGTGTGTGTTTTAATCATTGCAAAACTGCAGAGTTCTTAGACAAACATTCCTGGAAAACGAAGTTTGTTATGAGACCTCGGGGAGACAGGTGCTGAGAAGCAACAGCCCTGCAGCATTTTCTCCTCAACCTTCTGCAGTTGAGGAGCCCTTTGGAGCCAAACAGAAAGGGCCATCTCAAGGCTTGGCTAGGCGCAGCCCGGCTCCCCAGTAGGAAAGCAGGTGTGCTTGGCTATCTTCACCCAAAAACCTAGGATCCTAACAACACAGCCGCACGATGTAGGTCTTAGCAAGGCACTTGGTGAACAGAGCTCCTATGCCTTGGGGCTGGTCAGCTTCACCATCTTAGCCTTCTCCTGCTGAATAACGGAAACCTGTTTTAGTTTTTATTTTGTTGTTAATTTCATGCCTGATGCTAAATCTGTAGTGAGTACTTAATCTTGTTAAGAAACATCCACAAAATATTTATTACTGGGAAACTGATTTCATAGGCAATTGCATCCTACTTTTTCAAAAAACTTTTATTTTATGCCTTTTTGTGAAATAATTAAAAACATCATTTTAGTTTTGATCTTTTGGGGATTAAAACTATATTTAATCATGCAATGCTTTTTTTTATTATTTTTGTTCTTGTGTTATAGCAAATGTGCAGTGGTTTTTATCTCCTCTTTGTACTTGCAATAACATATTATTTGACCATGAATCACTTTAATGGATTGAAACATAAGCATGTGAATTGAAAAATAGATACATTAGTCAAATCAATAAATAAATATGAAAATATATTTCTACGATGAAAAACCATCTTGGCTACTGTGTCCTCCAACTTGGACAGAGAGAGCTGAAATATATGGCCGTAAAATATAGCTTGCCATGTCAACTAGCCAGTGCCTGCAGCCTAAAAGGGATTTTGAGCACTGAGTAAGTAGTATTTCATCAACAAAATCATAAAGACATTAAAATGAAGGGATGATGGAGTGCTGCAGGACGTTTGTGAAATCACCCTTCAGTCTGAGGCTGGAGTAGTTTAGTATTAGACATGGCATACTTTTCATATAAATTTGCTTACAAATAGCATGCCTTAACAAGCAGTATTACCAGGCTGCCCCTGTAGCAAATATATTTCTACTATTGTTGCTAAACAAACTCTGCATGCACTCTATGGTATAGCTAGGGTAGAAATAAATAATTCATCTCTGGTCTAAAAAAGTACAACTATTACCATCTTCACCCAGAGCATTCATCTTTGTTAATTAATGATTTAACACAGCTCCTTTTAGCTATTCAAAAGCCAGCTACCCAATTTTTATATACTTCTCTTCATGTGCTGTCTTTATTGGATGAAATCCCCTATTAGTCATAATCAATGTTCGATCTCTAATTTCATAAGATAATAAAATGGGCTGCATGGATTATTAGTAGTTACATTGTGTAACTTATCAGTTATTTGTCAGATGAATGTCAGAATATAATTAACATGCATTATTTTAACGAATACAACTGAGAAATAAAGATTTTAAGTGACTTGCCTTTCTCAGAAAGTAGGCACAAAATACAGTAAGGAAATCTGTATTTGCATTTATTTACATATCTGTAATTTTTTTCTGAAGCACGTAGCGTTAGTTTAATATCTTTCAATTGCAAAGTGCTATAATTTGTTGTTTGATTATAGTTTTACACACGTTAATAAGATCAAGAAGCGTTCATTAAAATTTGTAGTTCTATCAGATGGAGAAACTTTTATAGAACAGATGTGAAATTAGGTAGGGGAATTCTAGATTTGGGGTTGGATGGATGTCTTAGAGTTCCTGTGATTTGCACCCCGTTTGCAGTCATCTTTCCATAAACCATCATTGAGTGAATGGCACAGCCACCAGCTTGGAGGAGAGAGAGTGTTTTCTCAGCCTCTCTGAGACCCACCTCTGGAGCTTCCTGCCTGCTCCGTGTCCTGGGTCCTGGGTCAGCAGTGTGTGACAGGGCACAGTCATCCTGTTGAACCCACCCCATACGGTGAGAACATCTGGGATGGGCCGTTCAGACTCTCCTGCTCTCTTTAGTTCAAAGCAGTGCTATCAGGCTGCAATTGGTTCACCCCAACTGGGAAACAAGCAACACCTCCCACTGAGAGTTTTATTTATAATTGGTAGTTTATTTTTCCATTTTCCATAAGGATTGTGATGTGACCTATCCCAGGAGGTGGACTTTGGATCCCAGGAGGTGGACTTTGGAAAGCAGAAGTTGGGGTTCACAACTCACATCATGCTCCAACTGTGCAGCCTGGCATCCTTGTGCAGGAAGCCCCCCTCCACCCTCCCTTGGGCCGTCGGGGGCAATGTGAAGGCTGGATGCCCTCCCAATGGGTGGTGAGTCTCAGGGGTTGTGAGACAGGAACCACGCAAGAACTCGCGTTGGCCTTGAGATCTCATCCCTGCTGAGCCACACCACTGGGCCTCTGGAAACTGGGGTCTGGAACCCCTCAGAGAACCATGAGGTTGTTGCCTCATACACATTTCAGCAATGAGAGCCAATGGCAAAGCTCCTGTAACAAAAGGCAGGATGGCTCTTCCCTCCTTCCCGTGCCCTGAAGCCAGCTCCTGTCCCAGCAGATGTTGGCACCCTCCAGTGCCTGACCCACCATCTGGCTACCACTGCAAGAAAGATATGTTTTGAGGGTCATCTTACTGCCCCAGATTCAATGGCACCAGTTTCAGAGTGCATTTTTAATGAAACATTTTATTCAGTGTAACTGATGTGACACTGAGACTCCCTTCCTTCCTTCCTTCCTTCCCTCCCTCCTTCCTTCCTTCCCTCCCTCCCTCCTTCTTTCCCTCCCTCCCTTCCTCCTTCTTCTCTTCTTTTTTTCTCTTTCCCATATTCTCTGGTTCATTTCCTGTCTCGTTGTTTCTGGTTATGGAGTGGACCACCCACATGCAGGTTGCAGAGATGGGTGAATAAAAGTCAGAAACAATTCAAGGTAATTGTGGTGAAACCTTTGTAGAACATCTGCAAATGGATTGCATCTGTGAAATACACCAGCATATGATTTTGGAATCAATAGCTCAGACTTTTTTTCTTTTCAATTGAATTTTATGGGGATGGGGGCATAGAGAAACCCATCCAAATAAAAATTATTTTGGAATTACAGATACATTAGCAGTATTTAAATACCAATGGGGAATAGTGTATGCACATAAACATTTAAAATAATGCCAGTAAAAATTATAGTGACTCATTGTATAGACCACCCTGCGTTGCTGGTTTTGAGCACAGAGCTATTTCTGGATCAACATTGTGCTTTAATATATCAACCTCAACATACTGTTGTCATTAAAGTTCCTAATAAATGCAATTTAATTTTTAATGTGGCAAATTGTGTATTGTACAGATGCTGTGTTCTTGTTTGGAGGAAATCTTAGGGTCATTTCTTATACAAAGCACTTTCCACTCACAGCAGAGCCAGACTTACGGCTTCAGCTGTATTTCTTGTGTCTGTGTCCTCATTCCCTGAGTGTGAAAACTTTATTGCTCATTATCTACTGGGCTGTGATGAAGTGATAGATGATTTATTGGGAGCCAAAAACTGTGTTTCAATGGTGAACATTTTTATCCTGTTGTGATGCGGTTCTGCCAGCCTCCTCTAACTGCCGAGGCAACAAATAAAGAAGGCTTCATGCTGGAGGGGCTGGCGCTCCTCATAAAGGTCCACATTTCACATCACACTCTGTTCCTAATTTGATTCAATTCCCTTTTGTTGCTTAAAAATTCAATTTGTTTAATTGAGCTGTTTGACAGTAAAATCTGAATTCCATGCATTTTAACCATTCATATTAAATTTCCCTCTGTATAGTACTTTTATTAATGTGCTTTATAGGCGGAGGCATAATTTAAATTTGGTGACCTCACAAGCTTATAAAAGGATTTGACTTCTTGTTTTTTCTCAAATCTAAATTAAAATGAATGAATGCAAACCAATGGTACAGTTGTGGTTTCTTTACTCAGTTTAACGAGTCAAGGAAAGGGACCTGGGGTATGAGAGTATGAGGTGTGAAGGTGTGTACGTGCATGCTTTTTTAGTGTATTTTCATATTTTAATAGATGACATAATATGGGGGTAGCAGTGAAAGTCTAAATGACCTGCCTTTAACAGTTAAAACAGCAAGTCTCTATCTTCCATTAAAATTGTAGGTGAGGTATTGTATCACGGAATATACAATGTCTGCTTTTTACAGGGTTACACATTTATTGACATTTAAATAGCTGAACATCTTTTCCTTTAGGATTAATAAGATACACAGAAACTAACGTAAGATTTTTGAGGTTTACTAAACTTCAATCAGTAAAATTTAATAGCAATATCCGAGTCATTATGTGTGTGTAGAATGCCGTGTGACTTTACAAACACTTTTAAGCAATGAATTATGTTACAAGAATGGGTTTCTGTGTATCATTATGTCCAGGTAAATGCCAGAATGATGACATAATTGGTCGTTGGGAGTAAAATACAACCCCTGTAAAATGTTACTAAGGTAAATGTGGAAGGATTGTAATTCATTATACATAAACATGACTTCTAGGTATTTACCATCTTATGAAATATAGACTAACTTGATCTTACCCGTCATTGTTTCTCTCTTGCCTTTGTTAGTTCGTTCAGCAATGGAACCATGTCTCGGCTTCAAAATAGCTAATTCCTTTTTATTCAACCGTTTTCCAGGGCACCCCGGTGAATTTCACGTCTCTTTTCATACACTGGAGACCAAGTATTCTGTAAATGCTAAATCCTAAAAACTGGCCTTAATAAGAATGGTAGTCCACCAATTTCAGACAATGATAAATTTATGACTTTGGATTAAAGGTCAGATGTCTATTTCAGACATTAAAACAGCCCAATTTCATAATACCCAGCACCTTAAGGAAAGACATTTTTGCACACTGGTGCCTGTGAGTTCCTGCTAAAGACATATAGTAATAGTTAGGAAGTCAAGAAGCTCATTCCCTACCTGTGCAGTGCGTTTTCCTTTCGCCCTAGGCAACTGTTTAACTTTTAACCCTCTTGTTCACACAGCGTACATGCATAAAAGTACAATGTACCACATAAGGAAGCGGGTCTTGCAACATTTGTTCTATGCTGTTTGCTGTAAGACACATTACTCATGTTTTCAGACATTTTCGGCTGTCCCAAAGTAAGAAGTCATTTTCTGCAAATGGCTACTTCGGCTTTAAATTTGTTCGGTTTCAGGTCATCTTGGCCCCTCCAACATCAACAGGGATCTAACTAAGAGAAAGAGGCTGGCATAAAAATGCCTTGGAAAGGTTTTAGTTTGGCCATTCTTTGGCCAACTAAACTTTGGTGTTTGATTTTTTAGTATTTAATCAGGCCTCTACTCTTTGACCCAGCCACTCCCCAGTCATGTCCGGGCCGAACTGCTTTATAACCACGAGGTGTCTGTTTCCCTCCTAAGACTCTTGAGCTTCCTCCTCTGATGAATGATCTTGACCATCACTTTGTGTTTTCTCTTCTGCTCTTGGGCCCAGCACTGTGCCAGAGCAGTGGTGGCGGGGATGACGTCCCATGAGGCACCTGCACAGCACGGGGCAAAACCATGGACCCCCGCGGTTAATTAACAGCAACGGAGAATTGAGAATAGATCATGAAATTGTCTGGAATTAGGGCTCTTTCTACTCATGGAGTCCATTATTCCAAGCTTGGGGTAACCGCTTCATGGACATTCAAAGCTATGGGGGAAAGTGAGGAAGATGAGAAACTCCACAGAATCCAAACCCACTCCTGGCTCCTCCAGGTGAATGGGTGAGAGGCTTCAGGAGGAAGTTCCTCCCGGAGGCCTTCTGTTCCTGCTGCAGGACCCGCAGCAGCAATAGGAAAATAGTAATGTGTCTAACCTTGTTTACCCCTGCACACCCTGCGTGCATTCAAGGTGTTCGTTTCCCCTTCTTAAATTTTTTCCAAAGGCCATCCCAATTCGTGTTGTGGAAAAGGATGAGATTAAACGGGTGAGGTTTCCTCCATGAATATTCCTGAGTTGATAAAGGTGCATTTTTCCCATTCTATCCAGAATCTAGCCAGTGGGAAACTGAGAAACTCATAAAAAAAATACCTTATGTATTCTAGAAAGGGACTGTGCTCTTTAATTGAAAGAAAAACAACAAACAGGTCTTTGGGATATGGGTGAAATATGCTATTTAAAGGGAAAGTGAAATTACCTTGACTGTAGCCTTTTTTTTTTTTTTTTTGGATAAAATTCAAGATAGACTAGCTCCTTCCTAAGTCTGCTTTGATCTAAATAATAAGCTTTTGAGGTGCTAATGCATAGGCAATGGGGATTAAAGAAATAAAGATGAAGATTATACAGATGGGTAAAGGAAATTTAAAAGGCATTTCCTAAACCTTGTAGCTCTCCCCGCTAAAACCTTCATGGTAGCAAAAATCAAAGGAGAATGTTAAAGAGTCAACAGTCAGGAGCCTCTTTTTTGTCTGGGAAGTAGATGATTAACTGTAGAAAAGACAGTCACGCTGGGTTTTTTTTACCTCTTGCCCACCTCCTGCTGAATGAACAGGAGAAGTCGCAGATTGGAGCCTTCCACACACTGGACAACTGAAAGTTGACTCTAGATTTTTAATATCCTCAATGTGATCATAAACCTATGGAGACTGCACAGAATTTGTGTTTGTTTCTGCAACTTTCTGAATCACCGTCTTTTTCTATAGTTTGTTTTTCATCATTCCCTTCCCCCTACCCCCAGAAATAAGTTTAAGGTCACAGTTGTGTTTTTATTTATTTATTTTTTTATTATTGAGACAGAATCTCACTCTGTCACCCAGGCTGGATTGCAGTGGTGCGATCCCAGCTCACTGCAACCTCTGCCTCCTAGGTTCAAGCGATTCTCATGCCTCAGTCTCCTGAGTAGCTGGGATTACAGGCATGCACCACCACGCCAGGCTAATTTTTGTATTTTTTGGTAGAGACAAAGTTTCGCCATGTTGGCCAGGCCAGTCTCGAACTTCTGGCCTCAAGTGATCCGCCCACCTCAGCCTCCCAAAGTGCCGGGATTACAGGCGTGAGCCACCGTGCCCAGCCTGTGTTTTTAGTTTTGGTAACTGCCCATAATATGAGCTGTGTGCTTGCTCTTCACCTAGTAGAAGAGGGGTGGAGTGCCCTGACTTTTGCCTCAAAAAAACACTCAAAATCTACATTAAGATAAAGTGGTCCAAAGACGATAAAAGTGTCAATTTGTAAAGCTAATGTTGAAATTTAATATCATTTCTGAATTGTCAATTACCATTTATTTGGACAAGGCACAGTGCCTGGTGCCTAAATGACATTAGATGGCCGAATGACAGCCCTGTTACACGTGGGTGCTGAACTGTGGCAGCTCAGGGGAAGCCAACCTCAGCAATTCCTGGGGTGGGGAGGATGTGATGTGTGAGTCATGCCTTGAATGAGAAACATTTAAATTGACAAAGCCTGAGGGGAAGGGACATTCCAGACTGAGAAGCTAGGTTAATAATGATCTCCTTTTGTAATTTGATGTCAGTAATATGCAAATATTCTTTGGGCATCATAAAAAACTCAATTCCTGTTTAAAGTAAGGTCTCCTTCAGTTTGAGAGCACACACTTTGCAGCTAGTGAGACTCAAGTTCAAGTCCCAGCTTCGCAATTTTCTGTGTGTGCCTAGTAATCTTCCAAAGTTTTCCTTTTCTCAGCAATGGGACATAAAACAATATCTGCTTCACAGTGTTATAGTGAGGACTGAATGACATAATGTGGCTTATGTAGTTTACGGTCTGACCTAATGCAATTTAGCTTTGCATGTAACTGTGTCATATGTTAAAGCCGTTGCCTATGTTAGTGAGTGTGCCGCCACCGATCCACCATTAGAAACCTGTGTTGCTGCTGGTGGCCTCAGCACAAGAAAACTGGCTCAGGCACAGAATAAAGTGAAAAGCTGGTGCCAAACCCTGGGAAGTGGATTCCCTCTGCTCCCTATTTTTCAAGTTGGGTTATTTCATTGTTTTGTAAAAATGTTAAATATTTTTTATAAATAATTAAAGCAATGACATGACTAGTATACATCTATACTCTGCCACCTGCTCACCACCCAGTTTTATATCATTATTACTGTACCTGGCCAAACAATAGATCAAGTATTAAAGGAAACAAACATGCAAGAACTCAAAAAATAAGATAAATATAAATCCTTATAGAAACAACTGGGCACATCTAAGCCCAGCCAAAGTTACATGATATATAAATTATATTATAATTTTATATAAATATTATTATATTAATAGTATAATTATTAATAGTATAATCTATATAGAATAGAATTATATTCTATATAAATTTGTTATAATTTATAATATACAATAATATATATGTTATAACATATAATACTATATAATATGTAGTTATATATAATTTATGTATTATAATATATTATAAAATTTATATAATATATAAATGACATTATATAATTTATTATATAAAATTTATATATAATATATACATGACATTTATATATAATTTATATACAATAAATTATATAATATGATATATATAATATAAATTATATGTAACATACATAACATATAACATAATTTCTATTATAAATGATAATAGAAATTATACATTTATTATAATGTATTTATATTAGATTATAAATATAAATTATATTATTTTCCTGGTGTTTATTGCATTTGTACATTTATATATGCTTTTACATGTATTACTTGATTTATCATCTTTAAAATTTACATCTTTGTTCTCCTTATGTAAAGATGAGAAAAATTGGGAACTTACAGTATTTCTAAATCCACTCTTCCTCATCACTACCCAACTGTTGAAGCTGTTTTTTATATAATGTAGAATTAGACATACATGTACATATGTACAGTTAGAAAATACATATACCTATACATATTTGTATTTTTTTCTTTTATCAAAATTCCCAGTGTTGTCACAGTTTAATGCTCCTGATAAGTGGGTCTGATGCTCATGAAGAGTCCTTGGCTGATGGTTGTTCCATTTACTTTGGGCTAGGCTGAGATGTGCCCTCTAGTTGTTTCTATAAGAAGGGCTTATAGGTATTATATTTATTGAGTTCTGGCACATTTGTTTCCTTTAATAGTTGGATTATTGTTTGGCCAGGTACAAAATTCTTGGGCTACTACCCTCTCTCCCAGGGGTTTCAGGTGGCCGTTCATTGTGTTCTTGCACTACCCGGCACTTAGAGCTGATTAATCCTCTATGTCCCCAAAGGATTCTTTCTTCTTTTGGAGGATCAACAGCTTCACTAGCATGTGACTCAGTATTGATTGCTCATATCATTTTTCTTGGTCCATAGCATATGCTTTCAATCCATAGATTCAAGTTGCCTTTTATTTCTGAAAAGTTTTCTTAAATTATATCTCAAAGGTTTGTTTTCCTTTTCTGTTTCAGTTTTTCAGTGCTCTGCTTCAGGGATACCATTTATGTGTTTGTTGCCTATCTTATTTCTGTCTTATCTAGGCATTATTTTTCCCTCTACTTTTTGGCCCACGTTTCCTTATTTCCACTTTCTTTGCTCCGTTCCTCAGTCCTGTCCTCCATGTCTCTTCCTGTGTTGCCAGAAATGCACATTCCTGACTGCGGTTTGGTCAAGGTGGTCTTCATTTCTGTGATGGTTTTATTTTTTCACCCACTCTTAGTTTTCCTCTTATTTCTTCTCCTACTGTTGGCAGTCAATGTATTTTTTAAACTCCTGTAGCTCCACTTTGAGATTTTACATTAAATAAGTGATTATCTCATTAAATTTTTAAAAAATTAGTGCGGCATATTTGGTACCAATTTTCATCTGCTCCACAGAAACTTCTTTCTAGTCAGTGTTCTTTACTTACCATTTGTTTTCCTGTTCATTTTATTCCTTTTCAAGTAGCAATTTAAATATATTCTGTGCTTATTTGCTTATCCATTTTTAAAAATTATTACTCATCTTGGAAGGAGGTGAACTATTCATGGGCCAGCCTTTTAAAGAAGTTTAATGTTGGTAAGGACCAGGGCAGCATCCTGGCAGACAGACTTCTCCTTTATTATCAGCAGATTTCCTTAAGATGATAAATCTTTTTGGCAATTACCTCTTTCCAACCAAAGAAAGCAACAACTGCAAGCCTGCTTCTAACAGGATCTCCCCGACTCTGCCTCTCCAACCAACAGCTTCCTGCAAATATGGCCACTGACATGTCTCCTCATTCATCCACCTCTCTTCTCCTTCTCCATGGTATTATACAGAATACGGGGAGAATTCTATTACAAGCTGGCAGGCTCGACTCTTTTGATTCCAAACTAGGGATGTCAGATTTTGTCTCCCATGGTGAATTGCCTACTCAGAAAAAAACTGGGGCTTGAAAGTCTTCTCTGAGCTCTGTGGCCACAGCCAGTAGTGTTTTGTCCAGGGATTGTTCCGTATTCCTTACTCGGCTCTTCACTGCACTGGGAAGTCCTTCAGATGTGGGGATGTGGGGTTATAGAGGAGTTCTGGTTTAAAAAAAAATTGTTTGTAGTGTTTTGTTTTTCATTCTGTCATTTTAAGGGTGATTCATTAGTGAGTATAGAAGCTATTTATCTTAACCCCATTTTAAACCTGGATATAAACAGTGGCAACTTAATTCAGGTTCCCAGGTGATGGGTGAGGAATTAAAAAGCTACAATTGTGTTAAAAAGCTACAATTGTGTTACCTGGCAAAGGTGTAAAGAACCGATAAAGGTCCTAGTGTTTGAGTTTTTATTCATTTAATTTAATATTTGTTTTGTGTAGTGAAACTGCTGAAAGTATGCTCCATTTCATAAAACAAATTCATTGATTTTTTTACTCCCTTAACAAACATCTGAGCACAGCCCCAACCAAGCACTGCTTTAGGTACTGGTGGTAAAGTAGTAAGCAAAAAAGACAAACCCTACTTTCTTACATTTAGTAAATGTATTAGTCAATGTTAGAACATTAGTCAATGTTCTCCAGAGAGACAGAACCAATAGGATGTGTGTGTGTGTGTGTGTGTGTGTGTGTACACACACAGAAAGAGGTTTATCATAAGGAATTGGTTCATACCATCATGGAGTCTGGCAAGTCCTTTGATCTGCAGAGTGAGCTGTCAAGCTGAAGACCCAGCAGAGCCAGCAGTTTAGTTCCAGTCTGAGTCTGAAATCCTGAGAACCTGGAGCGCCAACAGTGTAGTTCTAGTCTGAAGGCTGGTGGGCCTGAGACCCGGAAGCCCTGACGTTTTAGTTAGAGCGCAAAGGCAGGAAAAAACTATTGTTCCACTTTGAAGACCATCTAGCCAGGAAGAATTCTCTCTTACTTGGGGGAGGGTCAGCCTTTTTTATCTATTCAGGCCCTCAACTGATTAGTCGAGGCCCACCACATTAGAGAGACCAATCTACTTTACCCATTTACCAATTTAAACTTCAATTTGATCAAAAGCACCCTCACAGAAACACCCAGAATAATGTTTGATCAAGAATCTGGGTACCCCATAGCCCAATCAAGTTGACAACATTAATCATCAGAGGTGTACCTTTGTCAACTTGACACATACACACATGTCCTCAAACCATACTTAATCTCTAAATAAAGTCAATGACAAGGTCATAATTCTGCCTAACATGATACAACTATCCTGTGTACAGCTGAAAATGCACTAACCTCTTCTCCCGAAGAGGAGGTGAAATCCTTGAGTGATGTTTACCTTTCTCCTGATATCTTCTAACTTAAATATTGTGAGGTAATTTCAACAATATTTAAATATTATGATATAAAGCCAATGCATCTTATGTTACACAATAAAGGGATAAGAGAGGGGAGAAAAAAAGACACACACACATATTCTTAAGAAAATAAAGAAGAAATATTCATGGTAATTACAGTCTTTATTTCTGTAACTGGTCATGTGATTGTAGCTGGTATTTGTAACCACCTTTTTCCAGTGCCCATTCTGAATTTCCTCTGTCCTCAGCAAGCACCTCAGCTGGTTATGAATCTTTTCCTGGTGGGGTGACCCAAACCTTAATTCCTGAAGAGTCTGGGCTATGAGTCCTGCCTGCATTCAGTTGCTGTAGTTTTCCATTGACTTTAATCATAAGGCATGATCATACTAAGAGACACCTTGGACGATCTCCAGTATTCCAGACATACTCTTCCTTATCTCCGTTGTGGAATAGCAGTCTAACTTCCCCTTTGTAATCCAGAGCAATCACCCAGCCAGCACAGTAAATCCCTTCTTTGCCTGTTGATTTAGAGTTATGAGGAGCCCAAAGTGTCCAGGTTGCAGTCTTAACTTCCAGTTCAATGGAATCATTATGTCCCCTGGTGGAACCACTCCTTCCACTAGAACTAAAACCTCTAGGCCTTCAGAACACAAGTCCATCAGCACAGGAAGAAAAAAATTTTGCTAGTGGTTTACTAGGGGTAATAATGAATGGTGCCACTCCCATTTCCACCTGTGAGTTTTGAAAATGGGAGAAACAGCCTCATATATTGGGCACTAATTCAGAAAATATACAGAGAACCTTGCCTCCCAGAGAACCTTGCCCCAGCACTGCAAGGTATTGTCACCTAGCTGATGGTGCAACTGTGACTTCAAAAGACCACTATACTGTTCTATCAAACTGGTTGCCTCAGGATGGTGGGAAACAGGGTAAGACCAGTAACTTCCATGAACATGGGCCCATGGCTGCACTTCATTACCTGTGAAGTGAGTTCTTTATTGGAAGTAAAGCTGTGTGGAATACCATGACATGTATAATAGAGCCTTGAAGTCCATGGATAGTTTTGACAAAAGCATTGTGCAGAAGGAAGACAAATCTGTATCTAGATTAAGTAGTCAGTAATAACAAAATGCTGTCTCTTTCATAAGGGAAGCAGTCCAACGTAATCAACCTGCCACCAGGTAACTGGCTTATCACTCTGGGGAGTGATGCCATACCAGGGGCTCAGTGTTGGTCTCTGCTGCTGCTGCATTGGGCACTCAGTAGTAGTCCTAGCCAGGTCAGTCTTAGTGCATGGGGAGTCCATGTTGCTGAACCCATGCATAGCTTCCATCCCTGCCGCCATGAACACTTTTCTCATGAGCCCATTCAGTGATAACGAGGTGGCTGGAGAAAGAGGCTGACTCTTCTCCAGAGAATGGGTCATCTTATCTTTTTCATTATTGAAATCTTGATCACCCTGGCAAAAATGTACAGATATTTGTGTCCCAAGTGAAGGGTGGTGACTTGCATGCTCAACTTTATGGCTTGGTGGGTGCATATCATTGAGAAAGAATGAGATTCACTTATGTTTGCCTGCCTTGAGTAGATGGGGGTGTCTGATATGATGTCATAGATGGGAGCTTAAGAAAAATAACTTCCTAAATGGCTGCCTTTTAGCAAGGGCTGGAAAGACTGGCAAGAACTCATGGGCTAGTACCAGTGGGTTCTCCCCTGTGGGAGCAGGGGTAACTGGGTGGGGGGGCAGTTTGGTGAGAGCTTCTCCCAAGTTCACACCAGAAATGAAGGAAGCATGAGGAGAGGACGATGCTCACTGCCTTGTTCCACCTGCTTCTCCTGCCACTTTCGTGCTCAGACTCCAAAGTTTCCCTATTGTCCTGACAATCAAATTCACATTCTTCATGACAGTGTCTGAGGCTCTTGCCAAGTTTCCCTGGCTTGTGCCTTCAGCTTTGTCCCAGGCTCTCACTTAGTCTCCCCATTCCCCCACAGGGACATTCCAGGCTCAGGGGACCTACTGTTGCCTCATGGCTCAGCACCCCCTTTCTGACCTGCACTATTTTGCACATGCTATTCCTCCTTCTTGGAATACCCTTCTCGCCTCTGTGGATATCAGAATTATTTTCATGTTCAAAATAAAAGTTATTATCTCTAAAATCTTTTCAGGCTATTGAACTCATATTTAGTCACTTACTCCTCAGGGTTTTCAATAGTAGTTTCTCTATACTCTTATATATTGTTTTCTGTCATTTGACCTTTCTTCTAGTTGGTCTGGTAGGCTATAAACACTGGGATGGGGGAGAGTGTACAAGCCTTGAAACTCAGCTGACCAAAGCTTGAATTCAGATGCCATCACATTCTGGCCATGTCACTTGAATGTCATTTAATATCTTTAAGCCTGCTAAGTTATTCTTCATTTATCAAGGAACTTTAATACTAATATCTATAGATAGTGTAACATCTACCTTCCGCAGTAGAGTGGAAGCTCAATAAGGGACAGGAGGCAGGTCTTTCCTATTCATTCCTATATTCCCAGCATCTAGTACAGTGCCTGACATATAATATATAATAACATATAATGGGTGAATATAATTGGTGAGATTGTTGTAAACAGTGAAACAGGTAATTGACACAAGGTGCTTGGCACACAGCAGGCTTTTGCTGTATGGTTTCTCTTATTACTCAGTTGGACCTGGCTACTGCTCCACCTTGTGAGAGATTTTGGAGGCTACAGAATTAGTTTTATTATTGTGTTCTCAGCTAGACCTTTTCACACATGGTATGTGCCTCAAGCCATTGAATATAATTTCATGAACATTGCAGTGAAAACAAACCTCAGGCAGACAACAAAACAGATGAGCATTCCTCCTTTCTGGATCTTATGGTTATCTATGTCCAAATCGTAATACTGTAAACCCAGTAGCCATTTCACATGCATGCTTTATCATAAAGATAGACTAATAGCTTACACTTGTTGAGCATTTAGTATGTGATAGGCCCCATTCTTATTTTATGTTACTTTTAACATGGTATTATTTTTAAATAGGGAGGAAATCACTATTACTATACTCCATAATAGATAAGAAAGTGAAGCCCAGAAAGGTCATGTAATTTTCTCAAGGTCACACAGTTGGGAAGAGTGGAGCTGAGATGAAAACCAGGTAGTGTGATGGTGGGATGTGAACAGAGGGGATTTAGACCCTTTGCAAGCAGCTGAACCTGTGACAAGTTGGACAAACATTGACATAAGTCTGAAGGCAGTATCTTTCCCATGAGGTTTTGCAAACAGGAGCCTTAGAACTGTAAGATTTAAAGGATGGTGGGGGGTGGGGGGGGTACACTAGGAAAGACCTGGGCTGTGGAGTCTGCTATTCTTGGCTTTATTTATTATTTGACATGTGACCTTGGGCAAGTCACTTTTCCTAGCTTCAGTTGTCATATCTTAATAATGGACCCAGTATTATCTACCTAGTTGAGTGGTAGTAGCAAGTTTTGATCATGATAAAGATGACAGTTTCTCACCAAGGCAGAAATCAGCAAAAGTTAGTTTCATTCTTTCCAAGTGGTCATTCCCTGATGGAACTTCTCATCCCCGGGAGGTCATCTGCACAGGATGCACTGGGCTCCATCCCTCCTCCTTTGCAGAGCTCACCCTCACTTTCCAAAGGCTTTGCAAGATGCTGGAAATAGAGGAGAATTGCCCATGTGCTTTGTCTTAGGGTAGCTTTGCCCTATCCACTCTTGAGGAAGAAACAGTGTGATATCTGGCCTACTTAAGCATCATACGGAATCAGGATGGGCCCAGTTCTCCAACCCTCCAGCCCTCCTCTCCTTGCTGGTTGGGACCATTTGACCCCATTGAGAGGGTTCAGCTCTGTCTGGCCTGGGAATCTGCCTCTACTCAGGGAAAATTCAGCATTACCTTCTTGATAAAATGCTTGCTGCTTCTTTTAGCTCCTCTAGGAAAATGGTGCTAAGAAGTAGTTTGCATATATGAGTCAACCAAAGCACTGGTTAAATGCACTCTATTGGATTCTTCACCCATGCAATTAGGAATCAGTAGGTCTCAGGTGAAGGCACAGGTGTCTGGGTTTTTAATGAGCAGATGCAGATGGTCTGCGCATCAGCCTTTGAGGAATACCACTCTGGATATTGGTGGAGTGGCCAACTGGTCCCTGTTTGCCCAGGACTTTCCCAGCTTAGCACTGAATATTCTGCAGGATGGCACATGTCCCAGGGAACCCCTCTGCAACTTGCAAACTGGGACAAATGATCACCTTAAACATACAGAAATTCAGGCTCTGAGGGACTTCTAGGGACCTACCTGAGCTTGGGGACAGGACTCTGAGTCCTAGTCCCTGCTTGCCTGGATTTTCTAAAATTGTTTCTAATCAAATTCCCTAATGTCATGCTCAACCAGCCCACTGCTGGGGACACACAATGGCAGATGGCTGGCTCCCTGCTGCTGTCTGCTGACTGAGATACGGCTGCGGGCAGCTCTGTCCTCTCCAGGTACCCACTCTGCCTGCCAGCTGCACACAGCCTCATGTCTCCCTAGCACCTGCCCCACCACAGAGCATGCCACGATCCCCGTGCTGCTCCCCTAGGCTCCCCAGCGTCAGCCACTTTGTGCATTGTGAGGTTGTGTGGGAAGGCATGGCAGCATGGCCCTTCCTGCAGAGAATAGGAGCTAAGCTTCCACGCAGGCCCTGGTTTTCCAAGTTGAGCTGTTGCTGAGCCTGTAGTATCTCCTCCATTCATTTGGAGTCACTGCCCTGCAAGTATCTAATTCATTACTCATTAAAGCAGTTTGAAATAAGGCACAGTGTGTACTAAAAGGTGCTATATAAAACCAAATTAAATATATTTTAGTACAAGCGTGCTCAGCCAGTTGTTCCCAAGAAAACCTGATAATTAGGACTCTAACTTGGTATGATGGTGTAATCTAGCCCAGAAAAGATGCTTATTATAGCCATGCCATTCATTCAGGCATTTATGAAAATGTTTCAATTACACAGAAATATTTTAGGAGTATCTAATTTGGCTCTAAAAATCCAACCTGGACTGAAGGTTGGCATTCAGCATCCAAGCTGAATGCTTCAAAGAAAATTTTTCCACAGACTTTGTTTTTCCTTCCATATTCTTTCTTCTTCCTCTCTGTCCCCTTTTACTCTCTCATGAAGTCACTTTTGCTTTATCTAATTTCAAGCAAAAATAATTGGTGATTATGGTTTTTGGGCTCCCTGAATTCAAAAATAGCTTTCTTTTGTAGAGCCCTTGCCTTAGTCAGCTCGGGCTTCTGTAATGAAATACCATAGACTTGTGGCTTATACAATAGACATTTATCATCTTACAGTTTTGGGGGCTGGAAGTCCAAGCTCAGGGTGCCAGCAGTGTTGGGAAGAGCTCTGTTCCTGGCTTGCAGATGGCTGCCTTCTTGCTATGTCTTCACCTGGCAGAGAGACAGAGGGAGAGGGGGAGAGAGATGGAGGTGGGGGGGGGGAGAGAGAGAGAGAGAGAGAGACAGAGCAAGCTCTCATGTCTCTTATAAGGACAATAATCTTGTCATGAGGACCCCACCGTTGTGGCCACATCTAACCCCAATCACCTCCCACAGGTCCCATCTCCAAATACCATCACATGGAGAGTTGAGGCTCCAATATATGAATCTGTGGGGGACACAAACATTCCATCCATAACAGCCATATTTTAAAAACTGTTTCCCCTCAGTGTGTTCTGATTCACTTGGGGTTAGTGATAGCATTTGCAAAGTCAATTTTTTTCACAAAGATACAGAAAAATCAAGGGCAAAAAGTGTTCATTCTGTTGATGAAAAGAGTAAAACTCTGTAAAATATCTGGAGATTTATTTTGAGCCAAATATGAGTGACCATGGCCCTTGACACAGCCCTCAGGAGATCCTGAGAATATGTGTCCAAGATGGTCTGGGTACAGCTTGGTTTTATACATTTTAAGGAGACGTGAGACATCAATCAAATACATTTAAGATGTTTGTTGGTTCGGTCCAGAAAGGCAGGACAACTTGAAGCATGGGGGCTTCTAAGTTACAAGTAGATTTAAAAATGTTCTCATTGGCAATTGGTTGAAAGAGTTATTACCAGTAGAAAGGAATGTTTGGGTTGTCCCAAAGTTTCATCATGCAAAAGAAGCCTCCAGGTAGTAGGCTTCAGAAAGAATAGATGGTAAAGGTTTCTTATCAGACTTAAGTTCTGTGTTGATGATAAATGCTGGCTGGATTTTCCTGAAATCCAAAAGGGAGGAGGGTATAGCAAGGTCTGTCAGATGCCACCTTCCTGTCATGGCCTGACCAAGTCCTTCAGGTTAACTTTCCTGTACCCTGGCTGAGGAAGGAGTCCATTTAAATGGTTGGGGTGGGGGACCTTCAATTTTATTTTTGGTTTACAATCCAGAATGGCCAAAGGCCTTTCGCACCCAGGTGCTGAGGCATGGGTCAGGGGCTGCCAGGTGAGCCCCCGGCTATGAGCCTCGGGCTTTCTAAGCACGGGTACCATATCAAGTTGTGCACTAGGTGCTCCCTAAATGTGGCTATCAGGGCTGGCCTTACATGGTGGGTATGTCCTGGAGTAGGTCAGAGACTGAGGTGGACACACCGAGCTGGGCTAGTTTTCTCTTTTGCTGTGGAGGCCTCAGCCCGCTGCACAGTGTCCCTGATCACTCCCACATCAACTGGTACCCGCCACGGGCAGCCATCAAAGTGGGCACCATTAAAATATCAGAACCTACTTAGGAAATTCCTGAAAATGCACCCGAAAACCTCTGTGTCAAACTGTAAAGACCCTGGCAGTGGCGCTGATTAGGCTGGGGTGTTCAGCGGGTGGGGAAGTGCAGGCCAGGTCAGGCACCTGGGAGCTTCTGGGGCTTTAATGATATTTGCCCATATGCACTGGTGACAGTCGCCATTTTTACAAAGTTGATGTCTTTAATCCTTTTAACTCTGGGCTATGATGGCTTTTGAATATTTACATGCTGATATTCTGTTGCTGGTTTATTCAGGTTCTTTCCTGGCATTCTCTTCTCTTCTTCTGCCCATTTCTTGCCCAGTTATACATTTTTCAGAAAGCAAGTGCAAAATAAAAGGCAACTTCATCCTGTCATTTTGGGGGGATGAGTGGATAAGCGGGATATGCACTTGGGTGCTCCCCAAGAAGTGGCATCAGATGCTCCCTGTGAGCTCCTCAGGCCCAGCCTCAGTTTCCTTCTTGTGTTCTCCCCTGACTCCTCTGGTGCATAACAAGTGCCTGGAGCACTAGTGAATTATCCCTGTGAATACACCTGTCTTAAATAAGTGTGGGTCCCACGGAAGATGCAGTCACTCAATTATTTGGGTGACATGCTCTGTGCTGGGCTCTGAAACCATAATACAACTGGCAGTTGGCTCAGAGTCTAGTGAAAAAGAAGGAAAGTGAAGTAGGGATTTCAGGAGAATGTGGTTGCCCATAGAGTCTGTATGCACCGGCACAGGGGTAAGGAGCCACTGTTCTTCCTTTGTTCGTGAGCTAACTGGTTATCATTGCTGGGTGCACAGTGGTCCAACCAAGATGTGTGGATCCAGCCAGCGGGTAGCCCCGCAGGTCCAGGCTTCCACCACTTCCATGCCCAGCCTGCCATCTAGAAGCTGAGAGTGACCCAGTCTATGCAGATGCTAGGTGAGCCCAACGCTATGATGGGTGTTTCCTAGTCCTCATTCTGTCCTTTCCCCTGAGACACATGGACATGAAGACAGGGTGGAAAAAACCAAGATGGCCTCAGTCTTGGTCCACAGACAAATAGCAAATGAAGAGTCTAAGCCATATGGAACTCTGCAGCCTCAGGAATCCGAAGATCACAGTGAGGATACTGCTACTTTAGGGACCTGACTGGAGGATGACTTCCTGTGACAGTCAGAGGCTGGAACTTCTTGGATCCCTCTAAACATTTCTGGGAATCTTGGGTGTGTACCTTGTTGACGGTGAAATGTCAGATCCAGCGATTTCCCTTCTCCGAGTGGATGGTCAGATATGGTTATCCCTTAGGATGGGTTTTCTAAGAAGTATTTGTGCACCTGATTTAAAAAAAAAAATAGTCTTATGGGCCGGGCGCGGTGGCTCACGCCTGTAATCCCAGCACTTTGGGAGGCCGAGGCAGGCGGATCACGATGTCAGGAGATGGAGACCATCCTGGCTAACACGGTGAAACCCCGTCTCTACTATAAATACAAAAAATTAGCCTGGCGTGGTGGCAGGCGTCTGTAGTCCCAGCTACTCAGGAGGCTGAGGCGGGAGAATGGCGTGAACCCCGGAGGCGGAGCTTGCAGTGAGCCGAGATCGCGCCACCGCACTCCAACCTGGGCGACAGAGCGAGACTCCGTCTCAAAAACAAACAAACAAAAAAATGTCTTATGAAAGCCTAAAGTTCTTCTTGAAACAGAAGGAAGACCGAGTGGGTATTCAGGAGGGCACAGAGGTGTCTCTATCCATCTATCAGACCCTTTCAAGGGAAAAACATTGTTCTAAATACAACACACACATTATATTCTCAGCTGCCATTTATTATATCTGAAAGTACTCTTCCTGTTCTAGGCCTATGTCTCTCTGGTAGCTTAGCAATTCATAATTATTGGTCATTGTAGGAACATATTTTAAAAATGCATTGACTGGGTGATTCACTGAGAACTCCGTGTCCAGGCTGCAGGCAAAGTTTTGGTTTAAATGGAAATGGAGAGGCTAAAAGTTGCTTTAAAGCTTGCTATGAGTTATTTTAACTCAAAATTACTCAGTATTTGTGAGTTTAAATTAGACAGACCCACAACTGCATTTCAACATGGTTTTCTTGTGTGTGTTTAGGAACAACAGTCTCCTTAAGTCGCAGTGGCAAATAGCCAGAGGAAAGAGAGGTGTTAATGAGACTCAGTGCAGATGGAAAAGGTGCAGGACTGACAGCTTTCCGTAGTGCAGTTGGCACTGAATCGAAAAGACAGGGGGTGGCACGGAGCTGACCGATCACCTTAGATAATGATGAAAGAGTAGTGACAGTGGAGGATTCAAGGACCATGGAGGAATCACACTGGGCCAGGGGGGCAGGAACAGAACCAGGATGGGAGAGGTACATCATCGGCTCTTTGGCGGTGCAGGTTCTCGGGTGAAATATGAGAACGCTGATAAGCCGACCCAGCGATATTGATACCAGGACTTGTGAGCGGCAGGGCTGGCAGTGGTGCTGCACTAAGTCCGGGGTATTAGGCAGGAGGGGATGTGTGGGTCAGGTCAGGTGCCTGGGAGCTTTCAGGGCTTTAAGAAAGGATGTTTGTCCTTATGCATTGGTGACTGTTGCTATTTTTACAAAGGTGCTGTCTTTAATCCTTTTAACTCTGGGCTATGAATGGCTTTTGAATATTTATTTATTTATTTATTCATATGTATTTAATTTTTTGAGATGGAGTTTCGCTCTTGTTGTCCAGGCTGGAGTGCAATGGCGCGATCTTGCCTCACTGCAACCTCCGCCTCTCGGGTTTAAGCGATTCTCTTGCCTCAACCTTCTGAGTAGCTGAGATTACAGATGACTGCCACCATGCCTGGATAATTTTTGTATTTTTAATATCGACAGGGTTTCACCATGTTGGCCAGGCTGGTCTCAAACTCCTGACCTCAAGTGATCCACCTGCCTCCACCTCCCAAAGTGCTGGGATAACAGGCGTGAGCTACCTCGCCTGGCCTGGCTTTTGAATATTCAGATACTGACATTCTGTTACTGGTTTATTCTGGGCCTTTCCTGGCATTCTCCTCTCTTCTTCTGCCCATTTCTCTGGACAGTTACACATTTTTCAGAAAACAGGTGCAAAATAAAAGGCAACTTCGTCCTGTCACTTTTGAGGGGGTGAGTGAATAAGTGGAATATGAAAGGAAGTGGTGTCATTTGGTGGATGGAAACTTTGGGGATCATCCTTTACTTTCAGTGGACTCTGCTCTTCCAGTAGCTATGGAACAAATTTCATTTTCCCCATAACGCCAGAGTTGAGTTCCTGCTGGTCCTATTGACCGCCCAGACGTGGGGAAGACAGGGTGAGGTGCAATATGTTTATACCCAATGGCTGCAAAAATAAAATTTTACCTCCTGATGTCTTGGGGTATAGGCAGCCAGAAGGTCACAGGTGGAAATTTCTGTGTCATCAGTGGAAGGCAAGACATTTGTCCGAGGGAAATCCGTGGAGACCAAGTGGGGTCATAAGGGGGACATCAACTGAGGCACTCTTGAGCAACCCAACCTCCTAAGCAGGTCTGATATGAAAATGGACATTTCTGTATTACCAGCAGGTTTTAACATTCAGGGGATGAAGCAAAAGGGAAAAATTCTATTACTGCTACCAGGTGACATAAAGTCACCTTTCAGATTTCCCTGCAGCACAAAATAGAAAACAATAGGATTTGGGCAGTGTGCGGCAGAAATATTCAGCCCCCACACTTCCTACTGATGTTTACCTATGAGGGATGTGATTTCAATGGGATTTGCTTCATGGTTTCTGTCTTAGCCCATAGATCAAGTTGAGTTTATGGAAGATTGATCAATTTCAGTTAATGTTAAAAATTAGCTCGAGACCATGTTGGAGAAAAATAGTTCTTTTCTGCTATTTCCTAGTAATGACCTGAAATGTGAGCTGCAATCTTTCTCTTGCTTGTACTGCTTGGCTTTGTGAGAAATTCCCCTAATGGGTGAGATTTAGCATCATCACCCTTGAAATTAAACGCTGGTGGTTAAAACTTCATCTTTGTAAGAAGAACTTGACATTAATAATTTTTATACCTTTGATTAAATAACTAAAAATACATTATTATTGGGTTAATAATTACTCCAGATATGTGCAGATTTTTGACCATTTCATTGCATTATTATAGCACAGAAGCAAAATTTCACTCATATATTTGACTTAAATGGCAGTCTTTGGGGGTTTGATTCAGAAATTATAAGTTCTACTGCAATTTACATGTTAAGTTCTGTAACCCCGTGATAGTTCAACCATTTGTTAAAAAAAACAGTAGGTGGCCTGTGGTCTGATTTTCAATGAATAATTTTATTTTACATCCAGCACAAGGTCCAGCTGAATGTTTCATTACATTAAAATTTCACCAAGTAACATAAACCTTGTAATGAAAAAAACCTTAACATTTATAGAGTGCCCAGATAATTTTTGAAAACATTCCTCCAAAATGTGGTTGAGAAACTACAGAAATTTTGTCACATAACATCCTTAGACATGTTTTCATTTAAATTATTTAAGCTGTGATTTTTTAAAAATCATTTCCCAGTGAGGAACCTTAAAGAATTCCATGGAAATGAAGAATTAAATGATTACTTAGCACCTGGTTTCTGGAACATACCCCCAAATTATTTAAACAGGGTTTTATCTTTCTGTATTGTGATTCATTTCTTTTGGATGTCTTTTATTATTTTAAATTAGCTCACAATTTATTGCTGTTGTCTTGTTCATCTCATGTTTGTTTAATTAGCAGTGCTTCTCTGTCATGTATTCATAAAGTGTGGAAATCAACATTACCATGGCAGTTCCTTGTCTCCTGTGAGGAGAAGTCCCAGAATTACCCGTGCCATCTGAGATCCCAAAATACCCATCTTGCCCACAGGCACCTGTAGGGTCTGCAATGTACTGACATTATTCTTAGACACACTGCCAGAGACTTCTAGGAATGGTGTCCCAGCAACGACCAATCGGTATCCACCTATGATCCCGTGCTCCCGTATACATTGGGGTAGGGACTACTACTTCTGGGAGACATTGACAAAGAAAAAAAAAACAAAAACCGCTAGTTTCTGTGTTCAAAGCAGAGGGGGAATGAAAGAAACAGCCAACAATGCCACCCAGCCATTCACAGGTGGAGAGAGAGAGAGAGAGCTCCTGGGAACATTTGGAAGCCTTGTGCAGGCTCCGAAATACTGCCTGTTGGATGGAATGGTTCTTCTTTGGGGCCCTGAGAAAAACCCGGAGTCCCCATGTTCGGGGAGCAGAGAGAGTGGTATTTCTTGGTGAGGAGAAATCTAGCCCTTTTGTGCTCTTGTGGCGTGTTTGGGATGTTGTTGGTTTTCTTACTTTGTATTTGTATTGCACATGTAAGCATGTGTGTGTATGTGTAGTGAGAAGGGCTTCTTTTTCCTTAACACAATCTGAATTGTTAGTACATGTGGCCTGGGGCCTTTAAGAGGAAACAAAATAGATGTATACATTTAAACGCATAGACAGAACTCAGACACGCCTGTAACACTCACTGTGTGCGGTCGTGTTGCCCTGGGAAGGCTCCGCATCCCTAGCACACTGCGGAACCCCAGCTCACAAGCCCGCTCTGCTCTGTCAGCTTCTCTGGGTTTCTTTCACTATGTGCTGTCCCCTGACTGCCACTAAAGTGCCACTAATTGGGATGTGAGTTCAAAGGGAAGTAGGAACAAATTAGAAAGTCACGGATTTCCACCCTGGTAGAGACAGAATGAGGCACATAATTTAATCACCACTAGAGGTGAATCCATGGCAGAGAGATGAAGCCTTCACTGGATGAGGTCTGTGACTTTCTCTTTCACCAAAAGAGAAAGTCTTACTCAATAAAAAAGTCTACCACGTGGAAAAAGGAGTCCCATCTGCCCCCTTCCTTCCTGGCTGCAGCGGCACTTCTCTTTAGACTCAGCCTCTACTTCTCTGAGATCCTTGGTGATAAACCCAGAAATCTTTCTTGAAAGACAACTCTCTGGTGGGACGCTACTAATGGGAAAACAAAAAGCCTTGAGTAGTAATATACAACAGACAGTTCATACCGTAATATATACAGCAGACAGTTCATCCCGTAACATACAGCAGACACTTCATACCGTAAAATATAGCAGACAGTTCATTCCATAATATACAGCAGACAGTTCATACTGTTCTTCCAAATGCCCATCCCAGGAATATGGGACTTTTGAAAATATCTCAAAAACAAAAAGATTTTTTTTTAATTTTATTTTTTTTTATTTTGACAGGGTCTCACTCTGTCACCAGGCTGGAGCACAGCAGTGCTTGTGCGATCATGGCTCACTGCAGCCTCAACCTCCTGGTCTCAAGCAATCCTCCTACCTCAACTTCCCAAGTAGCTGGGACCATAAGAGTGTGCCACCACACCTGGCTATTTTTAAAAAAGTTTTGTAGAGATGGGATCTTCCTATGTGGCCCAGGCTGGTCTTGAACTCCTGACTCAAGCAATTCTCCCTCCTAGGCTCCCCAAAGTGCTGGGATTGCAGGTGTGAGCCACTGTGCCAGCCAAAAGTTGTTTGTTTGTTTGTTTGTTTGTTTTTCAGTAATCGGAATGAATAAAGGGAAACCTGTCTACATTTTGAATCTAAAGTGTCAGGGAAAGTATCGAAGCTCACAAGAGGCGAGGAGAATGTGTCCCCAAAAGTGATGGGTCATGGTCATGCCCCGAACCAGCCCTTGAGAGCAGTTGTCCGTAATTAGACCAGAGCTACAGTGGGGAGGACGCAGCGACTTTCCTTGCTGAGTTGAAAGTCCCATATGAATTATGATTTCCAGAGAGATTTTTTGCACAGAGTGACAAAATTTCGCATTCTGTAACAATCTTGTGCTGTCATAACTGATAGTTTCCTACAACTGAGATGGACAAATGGTCTTAAGAACATGCCCACTCTTGTCACTTTCATTTTTGAGCATTTTCTCGTATGTTTTGTTTTTTGAATGTTTTACAATTGAAGGTCTTCTCCATTTGAAAACTCTTTTTCTTCCCTCCTTCCTTTTTCTCTTTTTCTGTCTCTCCTTCTCTTTCCAGGTCTTTTGGGTGGATCCAATTCCCTCTGGGGAAAAACTACAGAGTTGAGTCCCAGGAAGGGAAATGAGGAGTCCACAGAAAAGCCAGTGCTCTGTCACCTACACACAAACCCCAAGGGTTGCAGGTTCCCGGCGCCTGGTTTGCAAGAATGTGCCATGCATATGTTTGGTTTGTCTGCTTTTGTAGCAATGATTGATTCTGTCCTTTATGATATCCCCTGCACAGAAGAGTTAGAACCTTTTGACATAATGTAGGTCTAGTAAAAAAATTTCTGATCATTAGCTAAAGAATAAGGGCCATCTTCTGCACACAAACACAGATACAAGGGCATTTCCCACTAGACTTCCAGCGCAATTTCTGACAAAGCCTTGTGGGCATTTTGAGAGACCTGGGGCTTTTCTTACTCCCCATTGTTGTGCTGCAATGAGGTTTTGGGCGTTGCTCCCGCTCATAGAGAAGAAATATCTGTAAAAGATGATGGACAAAATATTAATTTTAGGATGTAATTATTAGCTGACTGCTGAATATCTTGTAAGATCACTTTTGACTAGTCATTAGGATTTTTTTGTTTAACTTATTGGCTAAAGAAACAGTGAATGAGGACACCACTCTAAAATCCTATGTTACATTAAACTTCTGGTGAGAATTCTCCTTTCAGCCCTGAAAAACTTACTTTCTTCTACATTTTCCTATTTTCTCTCTTATGACACTTCTTTTGCCCCCTACATGAAATTAAGCAAAGCTCACAGGCAACATACACAAATGGGTCATGTTCACAGGGACATTTTATTACTCTACTGAATTTGAGAAAAATTTCAAAAAATGCTTACATTTTGTCTCTTTTTCCTTGTTCAGAATACTCAGAATTTCCATTTCTGATGGTTGAGAATCCCAAGTAAATAATCCATGATCACGATACAAACCTGAGATACTTTTTATGTAAATTACTGTGCTAAGTGTTTGATGCCTAAATAGCTCCCACAGAGAGGACAAATAAATAGTCAAAAGTAAAAAGGCAAATTCACTTTAAAATATATTGGCCTACTAGACCATATATTCTGTCTGTTTCATCTATATTTGCATAATGCAAGTTGGATATTGCAGGCTGATGCAAGTTATTTTAAGTGGTGGCTTAGAGAGAGAGAGAGAAAAAAAACCCTTAGAAAGTGTGAATAAATTGTGGGTAAAAACCTCCATTTATCCTAGTGTAGATAATGTGCCCCTGTGTACAAAAGATATTTTTGTTCAATTTGGATGAATATTTTTTATAACCATACTTCTTTAGTTTCATTGTATATCTTTTCTAGGAAAGGAAAAAAAATACCCTCTAGAGCAAAAGAGGTTTATCTCCCCCTGTTTTGAAACAGTTTTGGTTATGTAGTGTTCTGTAAGAGTATCGTCCCCTTCCCAACCCCCATTCAATTTTCCCCGAGGCTAACAATTTTATATCCAAAGTAAATCTAGCTAAAATTAAGAAACAGAGCATACAGCTGCCCTTACTCATGGCCCACAGATGTTACCAAAATCTGATTAAAAAGCCCTTAATCTCCTGCTGCACCTTTTCATTAGTGTAATAATCATTTTTGCCAAATATCTAACAGAGGGGAAAAAAGGAGAAGGAGAAGAGAAGGTTCAGATCACCAGGATCCTTGCAAATGCACGTGGAACCTAGTGGAGAAAATGAGGAGTCGAGGCAATCCATGTGCTGAAATATTTTTGCTTCTTTTTCTAGAAAATGTGCAATTTGGTCAGGCAGAAAAAATTGAACAGAGCCTTCCAAGCAATAAATCACTGGATTGCTGGTGACATTCATACAATGCGGATATAGTGTTAACTGTAGGAGTCAGACAGCCCCTCCTGCACCCAGCCTGTCCCTAAGAGGTGACCTTGTGACGGTGCGGTAATCAATCATCCTGGCGTAGGACACACTGTTTTTGTTTAATATTACACTATTGGAATATATAGTAAACAAAGTGTAGAGGAAATTTGGAAAGCAAGCGCTATATAAGGAATGCTGTAATATGCTTGCTGCCTGTGGAGAATCACCCTGCTCCCTGCAGCCTGTGAACCCCTCGTTTACCAACTCCACGGCCTTAGACACAGCGTCCATCTGCATCTCCAAGGCGGTGCTTCCGGTACAGAGCACCCGGCATGCAGACCGTGGTTACAATTTTAAGGGAAATGAAACCAGAAGTTTGTAGCGATACAGTTTGCAACCTTCAACGGGAATAGATTTTTCAGGCTCAGTCTTAGTTTATTTGTTTGTTTTTCTTTTTGCACTTCCACTCAGTATTTTTCTGACCAAAATGCTTGGAAAGAATGGAATTTGATTTCAGAAACACAAATTCTGGCATACATCTTGATCAGTTCACCTCTCCTAGGATATTCCACAAGGGCCATGAACCAGGAATGGAGTTTAGTGTTTTACACGCGAATATGAGCCAACCTCCTCCAGGCCCATGTCTTCTGTTTAGAGAATCTATTGTCTTTAAGTGAGTTACACGCATAAAGTGGGACCATGAGGCCGTATTAACCGGCTGGGTCATTATCTCCAGTGTAGGCCACTCTGGGGCCAGACAGATCTACAATGCCCATTGCTAATGATAAGACCAGATTTTTTTGAGATTTTTAAAGACAAAGAGGTTTAAGTAAATTAATCATGAAAAGTAAAAATATCGTCTTTTTGGTTTTCCTTCTTAACCGTTCAGCATTTCCTCCAGGTGGTAAACCCCTTTGGATAGGATGTCATAAAGTGCATTTATATAATTCTGTATGTTAAGAACATGCCAACACTCCTTACTGAAAGAGTCATGGAATTGCATTTGTTAGGGGTGTAACATCAACAGTGGGAATTTTGAGCCTAAGTTAAGAGGAGAATTGGGCTCTGAACAGACATAAATGGGGAACTTTCCACAGCCCATTGAGTGGCACGTTTTCGTTCACATCACATTCACACATTTGCTCCCCAACGTATTGGAGTGTTCCCTGATTTTCATGGAAAATCAGAAGTCAGAAACAGTCAGTTGATGTTTACAATGTGAGTTCTGGGGCCTTTAAATGAGGATGATAATCATACAATCCAAAGAAAAACAGTGGTAGAGTCTTTAAAATCAATGTCATGAAATGTATTCAGAAAGACTCCACAGCCACACATTTCCCACGTGGCACGGAGCTCATTTCAATCACTGGAAATGAGGTTCCAGGATGACACATGCGAGTTTCTCTCGGAGAATGGTGGAGGAGAAGCTCTGTTCTGGGGACGGGGGTGGGAGACGTCAGCCGAGCCCCATCACACACCGGACTCAGGGAGGTGGGAGAGGTGGGAGATTCGAGAGAGATGCTGGGTCTGAGAGAAACCTCAAGACTGTTAGGCAACACTAAGAAAAGTCTGGAAAAGGTGGAAAATTGGAAGCCACACATGTTCATGCAAAAGGGCCTGGCCATTGGAAAAATCTGCTTGGTTTTCTCAATGTAGGTTTCATATTGACTTAAGTTTAAGTGATTTGGTCAATTTGGTCAGTTTTTGATAGTAAATTAGTCAAGATTATGTGTGTGCGTGTGTGTGTGTGTAGAAAGCTTTTATGAAGCCAGAAGGAAACCTCACTTCATTTTTATACCAAGCATCCTTAGAAGAAGCAGCACACAACATATCTGCCAGTGGACGGAGCATGGAGGAATAGGGAAGCAGAGGTAAATTGCCCCGAGTCTGGCACCCAAATTGCCTCTGGGAAGCAAGGACAGAGACTGGGGAGCAGAAGGAAGATATGTGAGGGGCACACACACACGAACACAAGCACACACAAAAACACACTTGCACACATAAACACACATGAACACATGCACACACACACTTGTACACATGAACACACATGCACGTGCATGTGCGTGAACACACACACACACACACACACACACACACACACACACACAGAGTCAACTCTTTGTTGAGCAGCAGAGGACCCAGAGCACAGTCCCTGCCACCTGGCAGCAGGGTCCCCCCAGCTACAGGAATTATTTGCTGCCTCCATATGGCCAGTAGAAGGCACTTGAGATAAAAATGCCCCCTCTTTTCCCTTCCTTCGAGGTAATCCAGGAGCCCCAATAGCAACACTGTATCTGCTTTTGTTAATTCAAGATATTCAAAAAAATCGGTTGTTCAGTAAACATGCGGTCTTCTAAACCATCTTTGAGGAAAGAAATTGTAACCCATGAAATATTACAAACTTTTAAGTAGTAAAACCTCTTGAAAAGCTCTGTCGGTTGGAATCAGCAGCGTTCATTTCTTCTCCTTGAGGAAAGGTGTGTTGTTTTGTGCTTTGTGTTTGTGGCGGGGAGATCGTATCTCCTGTCTGACTAATCTGGCTCCGTGGATGAACTATACGGTTTTATTAAACATGTTCTCCTTCTTGCCCTCAACACTTTCTTCTTGTTGTTGCTAAACCTTCCTGGGGCAGCTGTTCTAGGAATCACGTCTCAATATACAATTTTATTCTTGAAATTCCCCCCAGCAGGGGCGAATTGAGAGCAAGTGGCTTAATATGCAGCAAGAACTCTATAGACAACTGCTTCTAATTTGCATAGCTTTAGCTGTGCTAAAATTCCAGTCTCCAAAGGATAAATGAAAAAAAAAAAGAGTCTATCTTTGTGTGTTTAATTATCTGACTTTAAACTAGCTAAGTTATATTTGCTACAATGAGCATTTAAAAATTTTGGGCGAAAGGAGTGAGCAATTTCCAAATTACTGATAAAAAAATTATCTGATCAAGCAAAAAATATGGCAAAAATAAGACCATAGAAATTCATTTGCTAGGATAGTTAAAATGAGAGATGACATAATTTATTAGCACCTTGTAATTCTGCTTAATCCACCAACATTCCCAGAAGTACCATACTTAATATAAATATGTTTATGTAGTTTTTAGAAACAGAAAGTTGAAGTAGGAGACAGAATACCATCTCCTCTCATTAAAGATGGTGTGCATTTATTTTATAGTTAAAACTGTGCAATATTTATTTGAAGGGGTAATCATATATTTAAAAAGGAAAATCAAACCATAAGATTCATTGTTTAGCCTGGAAATTCCTCACAAACAATAAAAATGGAGAGTTTATTAAAAATGTGGTGTTCTCCACCTTATGGGGAGAAAGGAATGTTATTCTTCAAACTTGCTTTTCCTTCTAAAGTCTTGAAGGGCTGGGCTTGTGTACTGTGTGACTCCAGAAACAATTTATTGATTTAAAATGGTAGCAATGTGCACTTTAGAATCTTACCTCCGAAGACCTTGAACATGAAATATTCCAAGCAAAATAGCAAGAAGAGAAATGCTGTTTAAAGCAATTGAATGTGAATATGTTCCCAGATTCATTTTGGAGGGCGTGCATTCTAAATATCTCTCACAAGGGTTTGTCCAGGGAAAATAATTCAGACTTTGATCAGTTATGTTTCAAAGAATAAACAAAAATTAAAGAATTCGTAGAAGAGTAAAATATGTGTTACTCTCAGGTACCTGGTACCGGAAACAGGGCAAAATGTTTAGAGGATTTGATTTTTTTTTGTTTGTTTGTTTCATCAATTGCTATTGTCAAACCTGCTGATATCCACCTTTAGAGAGAAAAAGAGAGACCTGTAGAATTATTTCTTTTGTAGTAAAAAATACATTGATAAGCTTCATCAACTATCTGCATTTTCAATAGTTTTTCTAAATGTCAAAGGCATTCCCTTTGCATTAAATAAAACCGAGATGAAAGATGTCGCTGGCAGGTTACCCGGAATTCAACACACAAATACTATCAGAGTGGCGGGGGTTCCGTCACAGAATCACATTACATACCTATTGCAAAGCTTGAACTCTTTGGGGAATGTTCATTTTCGCTCTGGTACCGTCACCGAGTGCCACCTCCTGTAACAATAATGGGTGTCAGGTAGAGTTTGGATGAGGCAGGATTAAGCTATCACCCCCCCTGCTGTGTGTTAATTTATTGCCTCAGACATTTTCATATCTGATTCATTTTCACCCACTCCACCGCGATTGCACAAAGTTCTCAGTCTCTGCCAGTCCAAGTGGCACTGGAGTGCGAATAGCTGGCACCGTGAAATGGCTTTCTTCACAGCGCGGGGCCCAGGTACGTCCTGGGAGAGCGCAGCTGTGCTCGCGCCGCAGAACCGGGAATCGCACGCGGCGTGCAGGGCCAGCCAATATGCTCAGGTGTGACACAAAAGCCAAAATCTGGGCTTTTTAGTAAACAAGAAAGGAAATTGTGATGCTGCCGAGATCCCAGTGCTAGACGTCTTTAGGAAATGGTGTTATTTCCTCAAGAAAATACAGGGCACAGCTGCCTGGAATTTACATCAAAAATACCTTCTCCCTAGTTTTGTTGGACGATTATGTAGAACCTGCTGGAAAGGTGTTTGTTTCTGTTTGTCAGCTGAATGCACCGCGTGTCCCCTCTCTCTCTGGTTTTGCCCCAGGCTCAGTCATCTGCGTTGCTGGAGTTGGGAGCAGAGTTAGACACTCCAGGGGGCCAGAGAAAAGACTTGGGAGAAGAGGCTGTGCTTTGGTATTCCTTCCCCTCAAAAATTATTTATGCTGATTAAAAACACACAAACCAAAAAAGCAGAAACACTTAATTTGGACAGTTCAAAGGGACGAGCCAAGGAAACGTGTTTGCCAACGCGAGCGGCGGTGGAGTCTAAGCCACTAAAAGGGGACACATTGCAAAGCCATGTGGACGTGGCTGATGGTAACGGGCACATTCTTCTATCTGTCAGCCTGCGTTTGCACACAGCTTCCCAGGGAAAATAGCAAGTTTCCGATAAAAGCACCTGGCGAGGCTCTTGGGCTGGGGGAAAGGCTCGTTCCTCCCCCTCTGCAGAGGAAGAAAGGATCCTTGCTTCTGAGGATCATTGTAGAGGCAGTGTTGTGCCTCAGCCCACCTCTCCTGATATGCGGAGGCTTACAACCCACCTGGGAGATCCAGGTTTGAAATCTGGCTTGCTTTTATATCGAAGGCTCCCATTTAAAAAGCTGACAGATAACTGGAGCAAATTTTTACTCTTTTTCCTTCAATGAGCAAACACAAACCCACGTCATTCCAAACACAATAATGCACAACCAGTGAGTGTCTTCAGGGCTGTCCTCTTGGGCGACCAGTTTTAAAAACCAGGCCATGACTTTTGTTAGCACAACACGCTTGGCTTGCCATTTAGGAAATACTAGCCGAGTCACATGTTATCAGTAACACAGAGCAAGCACTGCCCAACATTTACAGGAAGAAGAAAGAGGCCTCAGAGCCCCATTTTTTTTTGTTTTGGTTAAAATTAAAATGCTACTGTGAAGGTATTGAACGGCACAGGGCAGACACTGATGTGTAACACACAGATGTACAAAACTGCATATGTGCATATGATATCTGCATAACTGCTGTCTAGGATATTAACGCTAGATGAAGCAAGCCTTTTAAAAGTAAACAATTACTAAAGAACCAAATATACTTAATCTGGGGACACACGTGCCCCTTCAGATGAGCAGTGTAAATGTCTGTAGGTAACTGGAGGCAGACTTGTGTCTACAGAAGTCCTTCTTTCTGCTTTATTGAATTTCTCCTAAGATGGCAGACTAAAGTGATTTTAACACTTATCAATTGGATTTATGGTTTCTGTGTCATCCACCCTGCTTCTGACATGAGGAAATGTTCAACATGAGGGACTCATTCAATGATTTTTTTTAACTACACTATAAAACATTTTAGTCTCCTTTCTTTCTGAAATCCATAAATGGCTAATTTAATCTCATAGTTATACAGTTGGACTCCGTGAGTTTCATCTGCTAATTATTTGGCACCATTTGAATGGTTTAAATCATTATGATGTATTGTGTGACTGGGATGGCCGTCTTAATTGTGGAGATAAACTCTGGCCTGCAGCACTGGGCTTGTCCTGGCTTTTTGGTAAAAGTATAAAATCTTGGACTGTGGGAGCTACAGTTTGAATGAAGCCACATTTAGAGCACACTGCATGTCTGATCCAGAAGGATTCGGCAGGCTCGCCCATGGGAGGGTGGGTGAAAAAAAAGACCTGGAGTGGGCAGGTCACCATAACTATTTGCACACTGATTGTATGGTATTTCTGAAATTTTAAGAGAGGAAACTCATATTTAACAAAAGTGTTTTTTAAAATCTATAAAAACATCTTTTTTTTTTTTTTTCCTGCTGAAGAAACTCTCTCTCAGTAATAATCTCTTCTTTATTTTCCAGCTGGAATAAACGAGGCAAAAATAGCTCACCTCTAGTTTTAAGCCCGAGAGCTCTCACCTTTCAAATGTGATAACCAGTTCAATTTCAGCATTCGTGAAAAAGATGGCTGTGTTTATTTTTGGCCTTTTTGGAGGCAAATGGTTGGTAAGACTTAGGAGAGGAGAAGAGTTGAGTATTGTGCATGTGGAAAGCCATTATTTTTCCCTCTCTCTCTCTCTCTCTCTCTCTCTCTCTGGCTAATTAACAGCATGCCTGTTAGCTGGTTATATTTTATCTGCAACTTAGGGGCTTGCTGCGGTTTTCTGGGAGGCTGCTGCTGATTGAGCTGAACGTTTGTGTGTCTGGTTACAAGGAGACTGCTCAGCACAGCGGGGACAGCCTGTTGTACCTCGTGCATCGACTGTGCATTGGCCGTGGATGTTCCATTTCATATATCATTCCCAACTCGCAGCTCTGTTTCCTGAAGTCAAATAACCCTCTCCTTCACACCCATTATCACAAATCATTTTGTAATCCAACTCCCCAAGTTGCGTTAGGACGCGGGCAGAGCGATACAAGTCACAGTGGTGGTGGAGTTACTGGGATGGCCTGACTCTGGATTCAGAGAAATGGCTCAGCTCCCTACCTGGCTGAGACATCGGCACCACAGGCCACTTAGACTGTGATGTCTTTTTAATTTTTCATTTGGAAATGATAGAAGGGGGAGGGAGAGGGTGATCAAGCTTGGCAGGGCCTTCACTTCTCACCCTCCAGGTCTCTGCCATGGGAGGGAACCGTGCAACAAGACTCTATGCCGGCTTCAGTTTCAGTCCCAGCAACAAGGGACAAACCATGGGCAGGCACATTTGGGGGCCGTGAGCACCTCAGCACACCCTCTTGCAGTGTCTGCTGCTACCAGGATCACCAGCTGGTCCTCGTCACCTTGTTGCTGTGGCAACACTGGGGCTTTAGAAGTGTGCCGCATGACTCTCAGGAGATGGCTTGTCCTGGGACTTGTAGAAGGCCCTCAGGCCCACCACCTTGGGGGCTGCAATAAGTTACCTGCATTAGGTCATTTTTTCAAACATCAACACCCATGCTGGGTGGGAAAGGGCTCTGGGGACAGTGAATTTCTCTGTTTCTATATTTTCAGTTTTCTGAATATAATTTTTTATAGATGTATTTAAGGATACTTCTATAAAAGTATACCCTTAAATACATCTATAAAAAGTTTTAATCTAAAAAGTATATAAATAAACTTTTTAAAGAAGAAAAGCATAGCAGAGTAGAAAGTGGCAACTTTTCATTTTCTTTCCCATCAAACAATGTGATTCACACAAACGGCTTTTTCTTTCCAAAGGCTTGGTTGTCCATACCTATTAGGGAGATCCATGGTGTTCAAGGAACTTACATGTAATATGTCATAGCAACCCAGGTAAACCAAGTACAAAAAATACTCCCAGAAAGGTACCAGTTTCCGTGCCAAAGAAAAGAAAGAAAAGAGAACAGATATCTGAACTAATATTTGGAACTGATCCCCCTGCACCCCCTTTGTCATTAACTGGTTATGGGGTCGGGGAGACAGAGCAGCCCCTCTTTAAGGTAAGGATGCATGTAGGGAAATTGATGCCTCCAATTCCAACATCCCAGGTTCAAATTTCTCAAGGGTTGGTTTCTCTTTGCTCTCTTTGCCTGCCGTAGTATTAACGACAGAAGAGAAGACAAAGGATTTACACTCTTAGCCTCTGTTGTGGTTCCTGAATCTTCTCATCTGATAAAGATGATGAGTTTGTTTTTTGGAACATCAGAGCAGCCTTTCTTTGGCGAGATGACAAATAAGATAAGTGGCTGTCTCCATAATCTATTTTGTTAGTCACTGCAGGAACCCCTTCGCTCCCCGCTTCCAAGAAGCATGCCACCAGGGGTGAAGAAAAACGACTCTTTGGGGGCAATAATTTGATCCTAAGTATGATGCTCTGCACGCAGCCCGGCAAGCAGTCCTCCTCATTGCCGCCGGATGCCTCTATGGCGGGGTTGAAAGCTGTGCTTGCCTCTCCTCTGCCAGGAGAAACTGAGACCCAGGGAGGTGGCATGGGTCACTCTGGAGCTGAGGAAAAGCAGGCATGCTGTTGAGAAAGAGGCAGGATGCAGGTCATCCCCGGCCTGCGAGGGCTGAGCTTCTCCTGCAACTCATCAGCTACATGTTGCGCTGACAAGTGCCCATCAGTGACACATCAGGTCAATGCCTCTAGGCCCTCTCTTTCATGGCCCCATTGAGCTGTCCACTGACCTGGTCCAGACGACCCTCCCCATCACACCTCAACCTCATTAGTGAGAGCTCAGCTGCGAGCGCCTCTTAAATGGCATGAGTTTGAATATGGATTCTGGGTCTTAGCACTTGTCCTGCTTCCTAAAAATGGAAGCTGTTGGAGTTCATGCTCTAGCTTTGGAGTCCAGATTGGCTTGGTTCAGAGGAAACTAGCTGTGGCAGGCTGGCGGCTAGCTGCCTCACAAATACCCACATTCTAATCCCTGGAACCTGTGCATATGTCACATTACAGGGTAAAAAGGACTCTGCATGCATAATGCAAAGGCTCTAGAGATGGAGAGATGATCCTGGATTTTCTGGGTGTGCACAGTGGAATCACGAGGGATCCTTAGAAGAGGGAGGCAGGAGGATTTGAGTTAGGGGTAGGAAAGATGAAAAGGAAGCAAAAAATAGGAGTGATGCAGGGACAGGCCACCAGCAAAGGAAGGCTTGTACCTCAAGATGGAAGAGGCAAGGACGTGGATTTTCCATGGAGTTCTCCAAGGAAAGGCAGCCCTGTAGGCCCCTCGATCACACACTTCTAACCTAAGAACTGTAAGAGAATAACTTTGCGTTGATGTAAGTGATTAAGTTTGTGGTGATTTCTTACAGTGCAATAGAAAACGAATCAGCTAGCATAGAATGTGCTCCACTTGAGAACGTGTTGTCTTTCCTTCCCAGGGGCCTCCTGCTCTGTTCTTACCCAGCCTCTGAGTTCGTGATCTTTCTCTGACTCTAGCAATAACCATGTGGCACATTGGGAAGATGGAGCTCTAACTCTGACCTCTGTGGAAGGCACGAGCCAATCCAAATCATTTCTGAGGTTCAAAAGAGTAGGTTTTAAAGTCTTGGTGTTTAAAAAAAAAAATGTGTGCCTTTGTACTTACTGATTGGCTGCCTGTATAGTATTTCTGGCTGGGCTAAAGCCCAGGAAGGTCTCAAGAGAAAGGCCAACCACGTGAGGTTGTCTAACTAAAGATATTTGGATAAATTCTGGGTAAGCAACTGAATTTTTAGATGCTCTTCCAACCCAAACTTGGGAGCTGTGTGAAATTTACACATCATTCCTTAGTGGTCTGAGGGAGCGGCAGAGAGTTGTGAAATGGGAAGGAGAAGAGCTTTGAGAGCAACCCGGTCACGACCCTGGAGTAGGGAAATTGCTTAAAACCCAATCGTAAATATATCCTGCTCCTCGGATGCAGAGCCGTACAAAGAGAACAGTGCTGAGTGCTGAAGGGTGCACCCCGAGCAGCCCTTCGGGTAGTTTTCAGCAAAGCTCTGGCCTTTTCCAGTTCATGAGCCAACAAGGTGACCATGCTGAGCAAAACATCCTAACTCGAAGGAACTCCTCATGGCTCTGACATCCCCCAAAATAAACATTTTGGAGTGCCACAAAATCTCCCGTTAAATTACAAATCCTTCTCGCCCTTTAATAATCCAGGTCCCGATTTCCAGGTTTCCCCACCATTTGCTAAATGTATCTTCTCATGAGGTTTTGTTCAACCGCAGAGGTCTGGAAAAGCCACTAAAACTGAGCCGCACGCATTTCTGGTGAGCATCTCCTTTTCCCTCAGCCTTTCCGAGCAGGGGCTTCTCTATCCTGCTGGATGGCATGAAACATCCTTAGGACCCCACAGAGAGCTGGTAGCAAACATTTTTGTACCTTACCCTTATATTTTGACCTTTCTAATCTATCTCGTATGGGCATAATTTATTTCTTAATTTTTGACAAACTGGTTAAACAGTAAATAAAACATTAAGTAATGGTAAAACTTCTTTATGGGATCCAACTTATGAAATATACGAACACAGACCCAAATGCTACTACAGAAACACGGTAAGGCATCCACTGACCTTTGAAACCATATCTTTGACTCTGCATAAATTGTATGAACTATTGCAGGAACACAAAATAAAAATGTGCTAAAAATAAAAACTCAATCCTGATTGTTGTAGCTTCATTTTGCACCATTCCAGCTGTTCAAAATGGTTCGAGGATGGTCAGGCAGTCCCTGTGCTGTTGAGATTTGCAGTCAAATGAGCAGGAAAGAGGAGCAGTCCTAGTCTATGATTCTGAACCATCGGTGAAATACTTGCTGCTGATTAGCATAACATAAAAACCTGAACTAAGTGACGCTAAGTGATTGTAATAGGAATGCTCTGGGTTTTCTGGGTAAGCTTCGGCTTTCAGCAGTGCCATAGAAAAAGAACTGATCTCAGTTGTAACTCACGAAAACCTGGTACTTGACTCCATGCATTACATCAAGAGCCAAAGCACAGACTGACTCAGAGACACAGGATGGGCTGAGCAGATACTTCTACAACTCGAATATGGAGACAGCCACAAATGCCATGAAATAACATATTTTTTTATTTTTTATTTTTTAGAGTCAGGGTCTCACTCTGTCACCCAGACTAGAATGCAGTGGTGCCATCATGGCTCACTCCAGCCTTGAACTCCTGGGATCAAGTGATCCTCCTGCCTCAGCCACCTGAGTAGCTGTGAGTACAGGTGTGCCACCACTCCCAGCTATGAAATATTTTTTTAAAAAATCAATGCCCAGAAACTGGAAATAGAACAAGAAGGATAGTGGATCAGACATTCGGAAGAATCTCTGAGAGACAGAAAAGGATAAGAATGTACATAAGGGAAGGGCATGAAGGAGAACCCCTGAGAAAGGGGACAGTGGAAACTGAGGGCTCATTGGTGTCCCTCAGGGTCACCATGCTGACAGCTTTGCAGGAGCTGTGCCACCTGACAACCCCCTCCTCACCCAGCCCTGAGCATTGGGCAGCATCAGTGTTTGCCCCAGATGGAGTCACAGGGGGGTCTCGGGGCCAGGGAGGTGCAGGGACCCAGGAGAGACACTGGGCTCCATGCCCCCAAAACACAAAAGAGAACAAAGGGAATTGAGGGAAGTCATGGAAAAAAGAAATAATGGGAGAATATTTCCCAGCGTTGAAGAAGTACCCGAGTCTTCATATGGAAAGACTGCTAACTGCTGAGCAGGGTAGGTGAAAAAAGCATGTGCATCTAGCCTGGTTACTTCTGAATTTCTGAGCACTGAGAATAAAGGGAAATTACTAAAGGCTTTCAGAGAAAGGGATAAAAAGCACAGGTACTTAGGAAGAACCAAGAATCACAAGGACGTGGGTCTATACTCAGCAGCCACACTGAGGAAACGCTGGAGCGATATTCCCAAAGTTCTGAAGGAGAAAGATTTTGACCCTTGAACTGTACAACCAGCCAAACTGGCATCCGATATGAGAACAAAATAAAGGCAACTTCATCTGCAGGGGCCCTGAACAATTGCTCTCTCTAGACCCTCTCTGGAGCAGTCACTGGAGGAGGGACTCCAGAAGGAGCCAGGCTCTGGAGCAATCACTGGAGAAGGGACTCCAGAAAGAGCCAGGCTCTGGAGCAATCACTGGGGAAGGGACTCCAGAAAGAGCCAGGCTCTGGAGCAATCACTGGGGAAGGGACTCCAGAAAGAGCCAGGCTCTGGAGCAATCACTGGGGAAGGGACTCCAGAAAGAGCCAGGCTCTGGAGCAATCACTGGGGAAGGGACTCCAGAAAGAGCCAGGCTCTGGAGCAATCACTGGGGAAGGGACTTCAGAAAGAGCCAGGCTCTGGAGCAATCACTGGGGAAGGGACTGGGGAAGGGGAAGAGCCAGGCTGAGCATACAAGGCTGCTTTGTAACTCTGCCTTGAACTTAACATAACTTTCTCTGCAGCCTCTCAGAACCTTAATTTTCTTATTTGTAAAATGGGGGTAACAAAAACCTCATTTGCAAGGCTGTTATGAGGATTAGAGAAAATGAGTGTGTACCTACCATAGTGCCTGCTACGTGAGAATACAAATGCTCAGGCAATTAATGAATCAGCCACTTTTTCTGTAGCCATCCTCACCCGCCACCATTGGCTATGCTTAGGTTCACTGGTGCTCAGGACAGAGCCCACATTAGTTCTTTGAAACTGTCATCTCCAAGGAAAGCAGAATTCTATAAATGCAATTAAAATGAGTTTATACTTTCTAATTCTTAATTCTTCCACAAATATAACTTGGCAAGATCCCTCCCCATATATTCTGTCCCTTTCTTTTCTGTAATTTTATCTAGATCACACATAGTTGCCTATGATTTTTGTGCAGCAATGATACTAAACACACACCTAGGATTCACTGAATTTAGTAATCTTAGGACCATTTTTACTTGATAATCTCTGATTCTTTGCAAAGCGTTTTATATCTGACTATTCTTTTAGAGAGAAGAAGCAAGCAATGGGAAATGTCTGTCTAATTGCATTATGTTTTTAATATAAATAACGTTCAATTCCTTTTCTGTACAGCCCATTTGAAGATGAGTAACAATGAAGTATATCTAAAGAAAATGGATGTTTTAACAAGTTTTGACATCCCGAAAATGATGGACATTTTACGTACAGCTGACTGGAGTGGGTAAGGATGAAGTTAAGAAAAACGTAACCTGAAATAATGTGAATTGTTTTTTTTCCTGTGGTGGTAATGATGATGACGGAATTTTAAGAAAAGTGTCAACTTTATATTAAAAGAAAAAAACCAAAATTGTGCAGCTTCTATGGAAAATAGTATGTTGATTTTTTTAAACATGAAACATAGACTTATACAATCTAGCAATTCCACGTCTGGGAATATACCTAAGATAATGGAAAGCAGGGTCTTGAGTAGATATTTGTACACTCATGTTCATGGCAGTATTATTTAAAATAGCCAAAAGGTGGATTGATGGATAAGTGAATACACAAAATGTGGTCTATACATAACATGGAATATTATTCAGCCCGAAAAAGGAAGGAAATTCTGACATTCGCTACAACATAAGTGAACCTTGAGTACATGATGCTGTGTGAAATGAGGCAGTCACCAAAGGACTAATGCTACATGATCCCACTTATATGAGGTACTACGGCAGTCAACTTCATAGAGAATAAAAGTAGAATGGTGGCTGCCAGCTGTGGGTAGCGGGGAGAATGGGAAAGTTAGTGTTCATTGGGGACAGAGTTACAATTTGGCAAGATGAAAAGACTCTTGGAGATGGGAGGTGGTGATGGTTGCACAACAATATCGATGTGCTTAATGCCACTGAACTGCACAGTTAAAAATGGTTAAGATGGAACATTTTATGTGTATGTTACTACAATTAAAAATAATTTTAAAAAGAAAAATAAAAAAACAAATTGGGCTAGTTTAAAGCTATTTAAGGTGTGGTTCTTGACATTGATACACATTAATTAGTACATATTTTATTAAAGAACCTGTGGAAAATAGTAAATGGGAGAGGTCTCTGATGGACAGTCTAACACTGTACAGTCACGTATGGGAGATGGTGTGGATGCCCTCAGTGCCACCCCCTGGGCCCTTCTCAGAGCTGTGCCCTCGTTCCCCAGCTACCAAGGGTTGGCAGCTAAGAGCTCACAGCTGCCTCTCCTCCAGAGACCTGTTCTCAGCTGATGACAGTCTTGTTGCCAGGGGGATTTCAAATACTCCTGCCCCAGAGATGGCCCACAATCTTCTGTGGCTAGCAGTTTTTACTCAACATTATAATTTTCATCCATGTTGTTCCTTGTAGCTGTAGAATAAAGAATTCATTTTCAACACCGTAGATGACATTCCTTTGCGTGAATATCCACATTTATTTATCCATATCCTGTCAATGGACATTTGAGTTGTTTCAGTTTTTTTTTTTTTTAAATTTTCCTATAATGAATAAAGCTGCTGTGAACATATGCAAAATATGCAAAGATTTCACTGGGGTGTGTACCCATCATGAGATCTGCTGGGCTATAGGACCTGCAAATCCCCAAATTTGCCTGATGCTGCCAAATTTTTTCCTAAGCGGTTGTCCCAATTTTCACCTCTACCAGCAATATATAACATCTTTTATCGATTCCCAGCTTTCCCGAGACTTGATGTTATCAGACCTCCTTAGGTTTGCAAATTTGGTGGTAAAATGCTTCTCATTGCCACCTTAGTTATGTTGACTACTAATGAGACTGATCCCTTTTTCATTTATTTGTGTCATTCATATTTTTGCAAAGTATCTGTTCATTAATATGCTCACTTTAAAGCTATAGATAATCCATTGTATGAATCTATCTATTATCAGTAAATTTTTTATTTTTCTTTTTTTTTGAGACAGGGTCTCACTCTGTCACCCAGGTTGGAGTGCACTGACACAATCTCAGCTCACTGCAACCTCTGCCTCCCGGGTTCAAGCAATTCTCCTGCCTCAGCCTCCTGAGTAGCTGGGATTACAGGCACCCATCACCATGCCTGGCTAATTTTTGTATTTTTAGTAGAGACAGGGTTTCACCGTGTTGGTCAGGATGGTCTCGAACTCCTGACCTCAGGTGATCCACCTGCCTTGGCCTCCCAAAGTGCTGGGATTCTAGGCATGATCCACCACACCTGGCCTATAATCAGTAAATTTTGTAAAGCTATAGAGTCCAAAGTATGAATATGCTACAATTTATGCATATACTTTCCTCCTTTGGTAAGCTTTTGGTTTTCACAAACATTGCTACTATGAACATTGGTAGACACTTTTTTTTTGGTGCACATGAGCAAACATTTCTGTTGGAAATATACCAGAATGAAATTTGGGGTCATAGTGCATGCATATATCCAATTAGTAGATAATGCCAAATTGTTTTTCAAAGCGACTTACTTGATTTACTCTTCTACCACCAATGTGTGAGAGTTCTAGTGGCTCTACGTCCTCGCCAACATTTGGTGTTGTCAGTCTCTAACTTTAGCCATTTTGGTGAGTGTACAGATCATCTGTTGGGTTTTAATTCAAATTTCTATGATGACTAATGAGAATGAGAAGTTTTTCTATATTCATTGGCTATTTGGATAAACTCTTATAAAAGGCACCTTCAAGTTTCTTGCCCATTTTTCTGTCTTTGTCTTAGTGATCCAGAGGAATTCTTGATGCATTTTGGATATGAAACCATTGTCAATTTTATGTGTTACAGATCTCATTGGGTTGTTTCTCTACTCTGTCAATGTAGTTTTGATGCATAAAAATACTTAATTGTAATGAATTTGAACTCATCAATTCTTTTGTTTAGGTGAAGAGTTTTCTCCTTATACTGTTTATTCTTATCCTATTTAAGAAAACTTTTTCTAAGCCCAATTCATTGAGATATTCTGTTGTGCTATTTTCTAGAAGCCTTACCATTTTTCTCTTTATGCTTAAGTCTATGATCTGTTTGTAGCTGGGTATATAGGAGTTTGTTATATACATTTGTCAAATTGTGCTAATAAATATTCATGAGAAAATGATAAAAAAAAGATACTTGTTTTGGCTTTGCATAATAAGCTACCAGATGTTTTTAAATAGTTAATCTGGGTCAAATATTTGTCAAATTTGTATGTATCTATTGATAGAATCATATGGCTTTAATATTATAAACCAGCAATGTCACAAATGACATTAATAGATTAAAAAATATATTATCTCTGCTTTTTTGGACATATCTACTCACCATGTTATATCTCTTTTGATAGACTTGGTGGGCTAATATTTTGTTTCAGTTTGTGTACTAATTCTCATGAGTGACACTGGCTTGTGATTTTTCATTTTTCTTACTCCCCTGGTCTAGATATCTTTTGGTAACCAGGCTTGTCTGGTCATAAAATGAGTTGAAGAGTATTAACTCATTCTAGTCTGCATAAGAGTTTCCATACAATTAAAATTATCTATTCCTTGAAAACTTTGTGAAACTTTCTGAAAAACCATCTGGGCCTGGTGTTTTTGGGATTTTAAAACAATCTTTAGAGGTCAAAGAACTTTCAATTTTTCTACTTATTCTTGAGCCCGTTTTGGTTAGGAACTTTTTTTTCTAGAAATATTCCCAATATATCTAAGTTTTAAAGATTCGTGGCATAAAGTTGTTCATGGCAGTTTTAAAATGTCTTTTAAATATTTTTTAAGAGCTATACTTTGGTCCCATTTTATTTTCAATTTTTTTTGTCTCTTACATTTTTTCTTGGAAAATATTGTCTGTTTTATTTGATTTGCAAAGAACTGGCTTTCATAATCTTCTTTTGAAATACTTTTTACTCTTTTCTTCTATATATTCTCTATATTTCCATCTTTTTCCCTTTTCTCATGTACTAATATAGGCCTGAATATTCTCCTCTACTTACTGCTTTTTTGTGTCACACAAATTTTTATATGTAATATTTTCACTATAAATATTAAGCACTTCTATTATGGTTTCTTTCTTGATAAACATGCCATTTAGAAGCATTTTTTAAATTTCCAAAACATAGGGTTTTTAGTTTTTGTTTTTTTTTTTTTTTTTTTTGGTTATTGGCTTATAACACATAAGCATTTGCATAATTCCTATGATTATTTGTATAAGACTAATTTTGAAGATTTGTTTTCCCATATGGTGACTTGTTTCCTTGTATGCATGAGAAACGTTTGATTGTGAATTCATATTTTATAGATATTACTCATTGAAAATACTGGTGGTCTAATTAAGTATATTTTTTTCTATAGAAGATTTTCATTAGATTTTGCTTGTGTTGGGAACCATGAACCACCACTGACTTGGACAAATTTTAGCCTGGCCCCAGAGTCTCAGCCTGAATCTATAAGTGTTAGTTTCAGCTCCTCCATCCTGTCAGTGAACCAAAGCTTAGTCCTAGAAGTGCAATGCTGACATTAGCACCCTGGCCATCCCTTGGCCCACACATATAGATTTCCTCTCCGCATAGGCCTCCTTCTCCCACTGCTTTGATTTCAGCTCACATTTTTGGGGCTCTGGCTATGTTCTTTACTTTCTGGGAACCCAGCAATGCATTTACAATTATGTTCGATAGAGTCTGGTTGGTTTCAGCAGAGGGCTCGCCTGTGTATCTAGTCCACTTTCCTGCCTAAAACAGAAGCTTTGGCTGCCAGCTTTGTGTGTGCACCTCTGCTTTTCTCTGCCGTGGTTTTGCTTCCTGCATGTGCAATCTGGACTTTTGCACAGCCAGGAAGTACTGTCTCTAATTATTTGCTTGTCAACTGAGAGAGAAGCCGAGCAGTCAATCCCCTTCACATACTCATCTCCTGCTCCAACGCATTCTTCAAACTCTCGATGCAGAGGCCTTATTTGAGTCCCCTCTTCTGTTTTCCAGGGTGTTTTTGCAGAAGTTTTGGCAAGTGTTCAATAAATATTTGCTGTTTGGCTGAGTCCAAATACTCCACTTTGTCTCCTAATCAGAATCTCTGATACGTTCACTTTTGTTTGCCAAAGAAAAGCAGAAATTAAAAACTTGTAAATTATGCAGACTAGGGATTTTAATATGCACAGGAAAGTTATGCTAGAATGAAAATCATAATTTATGGCATTAAAGAAAGAAATGATTTATTAAACTACATGGATTTTTTTTTCCATTTTGTAAAATTTGGAAAGAATTCAGTTCTGTGATAGGACATTGTGGTTAAAATTGGCTCTACCAGGTGTTCTAATGGACACTAAGAGAGTCAAGGAAGGTACGGCAAAGAGCCCCTCATGTGGCCTCACAATCCTGCCAGCAGGGGTTTCCCTGCCAGTGGGGTTTCCCTGTCTGTGGGATGCCTCCCCTGGAGTGTGGGCAGGCCTGTGACAAGCTTCTACCCAATAGAACACAGCCAGGTGATGAAAAGCCTGTGAATACATTCTGTAGGACTGTAATATCTGCTTTGCTGACTTTGGAGGAGCAAGTTGGCATGTTCTGAGGGTCCTATGGAGAGGGTTATGTGGCGGGGAGCTGAAAGCAGTGTCCGGTCAACAGCCAGCAGGAAACTGAGCCCTTCGGTCCTTAAGCCACAGGGAAATAAATGCTCCACTCTTCCCCAGTCGAGTCCCCAGAAAATAACCCAACCCTGGCTGACACCTTGATCACAGCCCTGCAGAGAGCCCAGCAAAGCCATGCCCTTGGAAACTGAGATGGAAACGTATATTGCCTTAAGCCACTAAGTTCATGGCAATACTGTTACACAGCTACAGATAATGCACACCAGAGGACAGAAGGGCTTAAAAAAATCTCCTCTTTAAGATGCTCTTCCAAGATTTTTCAAAGTGACATAGACAGTAGAGGGAAAGAACCAGTCCTTTCTTTATCTTTTGGCTTTAGACTCCAGAGCAGAATTATGTGACTATCAAATTATGGAGGAATTGGAAAAAATTGGAGGTACACTTAGAATGTGAGCCAAAGATTTTGGAAGAAGACCGAGCAGTGCCCAGTGAGTTCTGCTATTTGTACCCACAGCACCTCATGTTGTGCAGTGCATTGAATGAGCTCCCACTGTTTGAAACACAAGAATAGGCCATGATCATCGAGTGCTTATGGAGGAGCTAAAATCACAGCAACTCAAGCCCTCACTCTGGTAGAGGGAATAAAACATCTGTCTAAATACTGGAGGGATAAGATCTTCAAAATAAAGTTATTTGAAGATATCATGCACGGAACACCTTTCCACCTGCTTGCTTAATATAATGTAGTCATTATGGCAATAAATGTTTCTAATAAAGTATGAAAATGGATTGTTTGCTTTGCTGCTGTATGAACTCTCATTTCTCTTTTTATGATATTGAAGCTGACATTTGCTTACCCTTAATCAGTGGAATATTTAATCAAATCCAATCTGTAAGAAGCAAGAGGAATTTTTATTTTATTTAAAAGCTGTCCCCATGTAAAAGGCCTGAGAAATAGGACAAAGCCCACAGAACAAGTGTGACTGTAAGAGTTACACAAATCGGGGTGGGGGGAAACCTTTGAAGGAAAACGTGCCACCACCCTGTGGCCAGCAGCTGGGTGTGGTCACAGAGAGGTAGTTTTAAGTTTTAAATCAATGCCTCTGATGTGCGGTCTAGGAATTTACAGCAACCTCCATGAGCAAGGCTGCCTTTATTTTTGTGGTTGAATTGTCTCAAAAGTATGTGGATGTCTTTGGTCTTTAGGTAAAATGGGTTCATGCAATTCTCCTGCTGTAAAACCTTCAATAGCTCCCCCAGGGTCTATGGGATTAAGTTCAATCTCCTGAATCTAGCAGAGAAGGAGAGCCATAATCCACATTTAATCTTTTGTCTTCCAGTCTCCAGGGGTCCCCCCATAGACCCAAGCCCCACTGTGGTTCCAGGCATTTTTGGTAGCTCTTCCCCGAATGCATCATCCTTTCCTACCTCCGTCACTTTGCGCACCCTCGTCTTCTTTTACCTTACACCCACATTGTTCTTCTATTCCAGAGTCTGATGCAAATTTTACTTCTTCCCAGAAATGTTTCTTGAAATCCAGTTTGCTAGTCTTCCAGTCTCTGTGTTTGTGTAGCGCTTGTACACAACCGGCACCATTCCTAGGCCTGGCATTATTTGATTATCTTATTTTTCTCCAGGGTAGGACCCACACAAGCCATGTTCATCTCTTAACTCCAGCACATAATATGGCGTCTCTTACACAGTGAGTGCTTTAAAATATTGTTGGATGGATGAGTGGTTTAACAGATGGTGGAGGCTTTTTTTGGGGGGGAAGTAGTATCTGATTGCTTAGATATCATGAGTTTTCCAGCAGTTGACTTCATTTATTCTACTGCATTCATTTATTCAAGAAGGAGGTATTTTGGTTGTATTACTTTATACTTCAGCATTACAAAGCCCAAGAAACAAATGTTGACAGCTAGTAACTTCGTCTCACAAATGCTGATGCTGTGCTCTGCCTTATAGGGGTGTCCACAGTTCCAAGTTAAATTGCATGCAGTTTCTCTCCTCTTGCTGGGGGTGAGGCCTCCGTTACAGATGCCCCAATGACAAGTGCTAGGTATTCGGAGGTCCATGATTTTAAAACCAGTGTAGTGTGATTTATGTTCTTGTTCTGCAGGTAGCGTCCCAGCCTCACAGAAGCAAAACTTCCAAATTAGCCCTCCTCTCTTTGAATAATACATGCAGCCACAAGCACCAGTGTGCTCACCTAGCCAGCAAGGCACATAGCACCAATCACAGAGCAGCAGCTCTGCCTGGGCTGGAGGTGTTTCTGGATTATCCTGGATCAGCTTCAGATTTCAGAGCCATCACTTCCCCAAGGGCTGAAGCAAAGCCACAAAGCCCCAACATTATGAGTAAGAAACAATTGAGGCCAGACATAATCTCTTGCCACCCAACTGGGAACCTTTGTGATATGTGAAACATAATTACAGGACCATGATAAGAATCTTCAGAAAAAATATTTCTTTTTCTTTTTTCTTCCTTTTTTTTTTTTTTTTTTTTTTTGAGACGGGGTCTCACTCTGTGTCCCAGGCTGGAGTGCAATGGTGCCACCGTGGCCCACTGCAAACTCTGCCTCCCGGGTTCAAGTGATTCTCCTGCCTCAGCCTCCCGAGTAGCTAGGATTACAGGTGTGCACCACCACTCCTGGCTAATTTTTGTATTTTTTAGTAGAGATGAGGTTTCACCATGTGGGCCAGGCTGGTCTTGAACTCCTGGCCTCAAGTGATCCACCCTCCTGGGCCTACCAAAGTGCTGGGATTATAGGCATGAACCACCACTCCCAGCCCCCCAAAATATTTCTTATTAAAAAGAAAAGGTAAAATGTAAGCTTTTTTTTTTTTCGATTAAGAAGGACTTTTGTGTATTTGCTAATAACCAAGCTGCAGAATTGAAAACTAAATGATCCTGGGGTAGGAGTTCTAAAATGTGGAAATTCCCATGACTTATCATTTCCAGGCCCATGGCTGTGGCTGACCCCTGCCAGCCTGTATGACCTTATCCAAGGGGTATCTCTGAACCTTGGTTGGCCCATTTATAAGTCAGAAATATAGGTCCTCCCTGCCCTAAAACACTGAGATGATAACTCTTGTGGAAAGAGGCATTGATGGTCAGCAACATGAGGATGAGCATCAGATCCAATGGAGATGGACTTTCTCATGGTCAGTCTTCTTGTCCAGGGACTAAGAAGCCCACACAGAATCAATATGGTACACACTGAAGTCAATTTCAGTTCTTGGGACAGGTAGAGGCATACCTGTCCTGATGGGAGATAAACATTGGGGCGTGGTTGTACTAGTGCCCTGGGGCTGCTGTAATGTGGTACCCCACACTAGGGAGCTTCAACAACAGACACTTCTTCACTCATTGCTCTGGGGTGTGCAAGTCTGAGATCCAGGTGTCCTTCTGAGGCTGTGAGGGAGTCTGTTCCATGGCTCTCCTAGCTCCTGGAGGTCCCCAGCAATCCTGAGTGTTCTTTGTCTTGCAGAAGTGTCATGTCCATCTCTGCCCCCACCCCCATGTGGCTTCTGCCTATGCTCATGTCTGTCTCTGTGTCCAAATGTCCCTTTCTTATAAAGGCACCAGTCCTCACTGGATGAGGACCCATCCTAATTACTTCATTTCTTCTTTTTCCTGAGACAAAGACTTACCCTCCTCACACAGGCTGCAGTGCAGTGGTGCAATCATGGCTCACTGCAGCCTCGACCTCCTGGGCTCAAGTTATTCTCCCTAGCCTTAGCCTCCCAAGTAGCTGGGACAACAGGTGTCTGACACCATACCCAGCTAATTTTTGTATTTTTTGTAGAGAAGGGAGTTTTGCTATGTTGTCTAGACTGGTCTCAAACTCCTCTACTCAAGGAATCCTCCTGATTTGGCCTCCCAAAGTGTTGGAATTCCAGGCATGAGCCATGATGCGTGGCCCCTAATGACCTCATCTTAATTTGATCATCTGCAGAGACCTAGTTTCCACATTTGGTTATATCCACAGATACTTGGCATTAGGACACTTTTCAACCATAACACTGCCCATGTGGAGATTCTTTCTCCCGTGGCCAGACTCCATTGGCCAGGTAGCATTTATTACATGGATGGGCAGGTTCCTTGCAGTCCAGACAAGCCAGGATGACTGAGTTGAGCTTCCAGCATCTTCCTCTGCCACAGTGACCTCTCTAGAGTATAAATGGCTCTCAGATCAATCTTCCCCAAGCCCTACCGTCAACAGACTCACCTCCTGCCCAAGCCCCTGAAATCATTCCTTGTTGCTCAGGGCATGTTCTGAGTAAGGCACCTCCTAACCTAGCCCCTGTGCCCCTTTCCCTACTGTCCACAGCACGTCTTCTGCCCTCATTAGTCCACCATGCCCAGGACCCTCAGGTTTCTCTGGGAGCTTGCTCTTCCTGAATCCAAGGCCAGGGTGGACATTGCTTTCCCTGGGAGGACCTTCTCCCAGGCCCTTCCCACCCTGGGTGCTGAGCCAACTTCACATCCACTAATGTGATGACTGTTGCCCTGCCAGCCCCGACACCCTGTGGCAGGACCACAGCTTCAGCCGCTTCTGGAATCTCCAGTCTGGCAAACCCTTGGTGGGTGGATGGATGGATCAGTCAGTGCCCAAGATGGACCTGCAGTGGGATGTGACCAGGTGAACTGTGGTGTAAAAGCCCAAAGGCAGCCTTGTGCTCAGTCACATCACATTGTTCCTGCAGTGAAAATGCCTCAGCCAGGCACATGGCTCTTTCTGGAACTTTCTGTCCTTCCTGCTGCTCTGGGTGTGACTGAAGTGAGGTCCTGGGTGCATTATCTGTTTGCATTTCTACTGAGTTGTGTGTGTTGCCTGGATGTTCAACACCATAATGAAATTTAAACCACTGGGTCACCTCGTTCCAAGATCTTCACTCTGTCCCCATCAGTGCCAGGTTATTTCTGTTAGACAGGGCACAGTAGCAATGAATATAAATGAAAAACAGCACCTACAAGCACAATTTCACAGACAAGTCAATGTCAAACATATGCCCCTGGCTTCAAATATTCCATGTAATTAGGAAATTGTCCCAAATTATACCCAAACAAACACATTGTTGGTAAGAAGCAACTGAAATACATACTAATACTTCTGTCAACTGTAAATACCTCTCTACCTTGCTACTGCACTTCCTAAAGTATTTTCCAGACAGGAATTTTGCCTGTCTCTTGGTCCTTCTTCTCAACATCCAGGCTTGGACTCTGGAACTCCTCCATGTGTCTGTGTGCTGGTTGCAAGGCTGGAGGGAAGTCATATTTGGGAGCTGCTTGGGCTTCTTAGCCATCCCTAGCTGCGGTTTCCGAACTTCATTTTTTAAGCCAGAGAAGCCTTGTTCAAATTAACTATTGACATGAGCTCAGGATGAACAGTGGCTTTTGTAGAGGCAGGGCCTGGTACCTGGAGTCCACTCTTGGGTCACTGGTCTACCCTCCACAGACCTAAAGGGTCTTCATTTAAAACTACAGTTCAGGACAGCCCTTCTCTAGGGCAAGGACCTACATGGCACTGTTCATGGCAGATGAACTACCTGCTTCCATTCCATGTTCCCAGCGTCCAAGGCTGCCCAGCCTTCAGGAATAGGACCTTGTTGGAAAGGTCCTCCTGATATTGAAAGGCCACCGGCCTCTCAAAATTCAGCCTGCTTGTCCTCATGGTATCTTTGGAGAGCTCTTATGTCTGCTCCTACCTCCTCTGTACAAAGACAACTTTCATGTCCCTCCTCCCCAAGTCCTGACTTCAGATGAACCTATGGCTGTTTCAATCTGCCCCTCACACGACATAAGTTCTAGGTTCTCTGTTGCCTCAATTACGCACCTCTGAATCCAGTCTATGGTGTTAACTTTCCTCCGAAAATGCGCCACCCAGAAAGGACCACTCTGCTCCAATGTTGCTCTCCCTCCATCTGGAAGCTCACTGTAGCCAGAGCAATTCACTTTTTTGCCATCGTGTCACAAACGTTTGCATGAAAAATCGGGGAGGGATTTCTCATGCCAACATTTGTAAAGCTACACGCTGCCCATCTTGTGCTTGTAGAATTGGTTTTTTAAAAACCTAAATACAGAGCTTTCCAGGCTTCCCTCTTGGATTGTATTTGGTTTCATGTCATTCAACCTGGCTTGCTCTTTTTGAGCCTCACACTATAATCGAGCACGATAGCAAAACTTCCCTCCCTACGCTGCGTGGCCTACACACTTGCCATCTCAAGTGTCTGTGCAATGATGCTCTGGGTCAGGTCAGGACAAAGCCTTGCAGCCAGCAGCACATCACGGTGGCCTCCTAGGTGACATTCACTCATCAATCAGCACTGCTCAGCCAGCAGTGAATCCATGTTCCTGTGCTGGGCTCTGGCCCCTGGTGTGCATTCCTTCATCTTATTCACATAAATATAACACAACCGGGTCTTACCTGGATCCTTCAAATACTGCCGTGAGTTAAGTGGAACACGTGCTATAATTCCAATTTTATTAATGAGGGGGCCAAAGACCTTGGTTTGGGACTCAGAATTCATCTCTTTGAATCTGGGTAAACTGCATAGTTAGATTCTCTGCCCTTGTTTCCTCACCTGTAAAATGGAGATAATAACTGCCTTATGGTTTCTCTATCCTTGGTCATTTCAGCAAGGCCAGCCCTTCCCTGGCCCCCTCGGCATATTGGTAGGAACATAGCAAAGCCCACTTGGCGACACAGCCCATGTCTTCAGGATTTTCCCAGAACACGCTCCTCCTTGCCCACTTGGCTTGAGGTGCCCCGGTCTCATCTCCTGGGCTGTTTGAGTCTCTGTTTCTCTTCTTGTTTGCCAGCACTTTTTCAGTCCTCATCTCTGGTTTATGGTTATCATTATACAAATGCACCAAGACTTACAATGAAGTCACGTCCCAATTAACCCATCGTAAACTGAAAACCGCCTAAGTTGAAAATGCGTTTAATACACCCAACCTGCTGAGCATCATAGCTTAGCCTAGCCTACCTTAAACGTGCTCAAAACACATCAGCCTACAGTGGGGCAAAGTTATCGAACATAAAGTCTATTTTATAATAAAGTCTTGAGGATCTCATGTAATTGATTGAATATTGTATTGAAAGTGAAACGCACAATGGTTGTATGGGCACTCAAAGTACAATTTCTATTGAATGTACAAAGTCAAAAAATCGTATGTTGAACCACTGTAAGTGGGGGCCTATCTGTACTCTCAATTCCACCATCTTTGGCTGTGTGACCTTGAGCAAGGCCTTAGCCTCGTGTCTCTGCGTTCAAATCTGTAAGACAGAGAAGACAATACCTAGCTGGAACCCAAGCTGCACACATCACATCGTGGGCTCGACAGGTGACAATTCTCTTCTGCTTCTCTGGAGTCCCAAATGGGGTGCTGGGTGAGCAGCAGCAGAGCTGGAGCTCCCAAACCCTCCACCCAAGGTCCCCCAGTGCTCTGCTCTCACAACTCCCCCATAATGCCCTCAAGAGATGAGTACTTTTTCCAAATCAAGATGATTCAACCTTATGACAGTGTTCCTTCTCTTTCAGAACAGGAAGCAAGAGCAGCAAGTGCATGGGCTGGGCTGTGGGTGCACCTGCTTACAGCTGCTGTGATGCCTCAGAGGGTCACTGCCTCCTCTATCTTATGTGTCTAGAACCCTCCAGGGATCCATCTGGCATCCACATCCAGTTGACCAGGCTATGGTTTTCAGGATTGGTTCTTTCCTGTTTGGGAAAGGTGATCATTTTTTCCTTTTTCAGGCACATTTCTGGTTCTCCATGATTTCTCGAAGTGCACGAAAGGTAGCAGTGAGGCCCCTCTCAGGCTGTTTCAGTGCAGGCGAGGAGGTGCAGAGGAGGTGGAGATGGGGACATGGAAGGCACACTCCCCCTCTTCACCTCCTCTATATGCATGGAGACGCAGGGCAGGTATGTCTGCTGAGCCCACGATGTGTGTGTGCGGCCTAGCTTCCAGCTAGGTATTGTCTTCTTTGTCTTACAGATTTGAATGCAGAGACTTAGCAAGGCTAAGGCCTTGCTCAAGGTCACACAGAGGGCGAGTGTGCCTTCCTTGTCCTTATCTGTCTTGGGGCAGTGCTGACAGTCACGGGTGTGGCCGTGATGTTGCAGGCAACACCCTTCCAGAAGTGGCTAAGATGGCTGTGAAGTTCTGAAGGGTTTCAGTATGCTTCCACAGCTTCTAGCTTTGTTCCATGACATACTCCTTTCGTCCTACATCCAAGCAGGGCAAGTGCATAGCTGGGCCGTAGGGCCTTGTCCCCGGCTGCGTAACCCTCACTTGGGGGATATCTTCCTTTTCAGGAATCGCACTTCCAGCTCACCTTGCAGCCAGGCCTGGCCCTGAGGTCAGAGCAAGGCTGGCTCTCTAGGGCAGTGCCAAGGGCCAGCACATCCTGGACACCAGGGCTGGAAGTGCTCTGGGGCAGTAAGTCCAACTTTCTTGTTTACAGAGAAGTAAATGAGGGACATTCAAATTCTCACTAATTGTCACCTTGCCTGGGACAGTGCTGTTTGCAATGTCACTATGCAGTGTGGCTCATGAAACCATTTTTATGTCCCTTGTACATTCCGGCCCAGAGCAGAAATATTATTTCTGATAATATTACAGGTAGCACTGGTTGAGTAGATTGGTGAGGTGCAAGGTTGAGCATTTTATAGGCTCTATCTCATTTAAACTGTGCTATACCCATGGGCAGGGGTTTAATGTAGGGGGTGGAATTTGAGCTTTGAGCTGGCCTTCCTGGCACTGAAGCCCTCACCAGCTCACTGTGCGACTCTGGGAGCAGTGGATAACATCTCAATGCCTTGGCTCTCTTACCTGCAGAGGGAGGATAACACAAACCTGGTAGCACACGTATGCGCCTCTCAGACCCCCACTGCCCAGCAATGGGGGGTGGTCAGCAGGCAGCCTCCAGCCATCAGGAACTGCAGGGCCAAAACTCTGCCCTTCCTGGGCAGGTCATAGCAGGTGATGGAGTGAAGTAGGGTACGAAGGCCTGGCCTTCTGCTCCTGACGGGGAACCAACTCTCCCAGGCTTCAGTTGCCCCAGAACTCCTTGCTAAGTTGGTGGAGGCTTCGTCCCCTCTGTCCCATCCTACCCCTTCTTTCCCAGGTATTGATCCCTAATCAGTATTCTGCGCCCCACAGTACATGTCAGTGTCAGCTTCCAGAGAACGCCGCCTGCATCGGGCAGGACTTGCCTCACGGCCCTTCCGATAGATGAGCTGAGCAGGTGCCAGGCCAGGCTCCATCAGCAAGGATCAGCGTCACCATTATCCTCCTTCTGCAGAGGACAAGGTGGGGAGAGAGTTGCTCCGAGGTGAGGGACGGGTGTGCTGCCCTCCTGCTGGGATAGCAAGTTAGAGTATAGGAAAGCTGGGCAACCCAGCCAAAAGGTAGGAAGGGACCCTGAACTCCGGCCTGCCAGAGTTGGCCTGGGTGCCTGGGAAGAAGCCTCAGAGTCCTGGGCAAATCTTTCACAGCCAAGAGTGAGTTTCATCTTCATTCGTGTAGCAGGAGTTTCACCTACTTTCAGTGCCAAGCAATACCCCCTGTTAGGGGACTGGCACTGCCAGCCACCGCTGGCCTAAAGGGAGGAGTGGCCACAGGCTGTGGAGACTGACAGCCCTGGATTTGGGTGCAGAAGCCTGAGCGAGTTTGTCACTCTGCCATCTCAGCTCTTGCAGGAGCATGAAGGGGAGCCTCCCTCAGAGGTGGGGCCCCTCTCGGGCAGGAGGAAGGCATGGATGGGTTGAATGGGCCTGGGCCTCAGAGCCTGTGCATCCTGGAAGGTGTCTGGTGGGCCTGTTCCTGTTCCTGTTCCTTGCTTGGGGGCTCTTTACTTTCCACTTGTGCACCACCCCCGGGGACGCCCTGACTCGGAGAAGGACCCTGCCACCTGTACATTCCACTCGTGGGCTGCACCCGGGCTGCGCTTTGATATCTCCTTCAGAAATATTCCCTTCAATATGGACCAAAAAATAGAATTAAGATGGTGACCTGCTGCCACGAATTCCACGATGCCTTCCATAGCCAATTAGAAGTGAGTTTTGGATTATGCAGCATTTTGGATTTTCTGTTTCTCAATTCCAGTATTGTGAGATGATGTCAACTAGGCCAGCCCTTCTCTCCTGTTTTTTCCCACCTTCTTCTCTTGACACCGGGCACAGATCTCTCTCGCCTGTTTGCCTTCGAAGCTTCCCCACCTCCGTTCTCTGTGTGGTTTCCTTCCAGCCTCTCATAGATGAATATTATTCCCACATTGGAGGAACAAGTCCAAATCTACTTCCCAAAACATTACAAAATGGTTCCAACCACCATCACTCCAAAATATATCCTGGCAGAGAACACAGGCATGGTGTTTGTTTCCAAAAATGCTCCAGGGGAGGTGGGGTCAGCTCAGCTCTGCCCTTGCCCCCGCTGGTGAGGAGAGCTCTTCCTTCTGCCCCAGGGCCTTGGGCCTCCCAAAAGGCACAACCCAGCATCTCAGCCCCTGGGGTTGCAGGATCACCATAACCCTAAAGACCCTTCCAGTGCCCAAGGATGATCTGGAAAAAGTCCCTCTCTAATTGGCTTTTCATGATTACCTTGAATGGCCACCTGATTCATAAAGCTCAAGTCAATGGGTGAATCTGTGCGGCTTTCCCAGTGGCTCTGATCATTATCATAAACTTTGCTGCTAAACGTCGGCTGCCAACACATGGTAATGATTTATTACTCCCTCCTTCTAGATCCTCTTAAACTTGGCATGGCCCCGCTTCATCCCCCATTCCAATTCAAATGAGACCACCATACCACATGGAGAGGAAGGGAAGCCCTCCAGCTCCCCGCCATTGTATCATACAAATAGATTAAATCTCAAACTGTCCTGCAAAGTAACAAGGAACCTGGAAGAACACAAGCACAGTCCCCCGGAGGAAGTCCTTGGTGAATGAGAATTCCTCCACCAGATAGGAGAAATCTTTGTTCCCAGTGGGTGGCATGAAGCCTGGCTCCTCGTCCAGGTGGGTGTAGCATAGCGGGGATGCCCTTCTCATCAGTGCAGTGGCTGATGGCAGGAGCCTTCCTCCTGATGCCCTTTTGAATATACATGAGGATGGGTACCTTTTTTGTGTGTGTGTGATGGAGTTTTGCTCTTGTTGCCCAGGCTGGAGTGCAATGGTGCAATCTTGGCTCACTGCAACCTCCGCCTCCCGAGTTCCAGCAAGCCTCCTGCCTCAGCCTCCCAAGTAGCTGGGATTACAGGCGCCCACCACCACGCCTGGTTATTTTTTTTTGTATTTTTAGTAGAGACGGGGTTTCCCCATGTTGGCCAGGCTGGTCTCAAACTCCTGACCTCAGGTCATCCGTCCGCCTTGGCCTCCCAAAGTGCTGGGATTACATGCACGAGCCACCGCTCCTTGTCGATGGGCACTGTTTTATAGGCACAGTTGTATAAAAAAGAGTTATTTGAGATTCAGGTATATTAAAAACATTTAAGAATCTCAGAAAATCTTCTTGCACATTAAAGATCTGCTGATCAGCATACTCCTTGATTTAGGGTCAGAATATAATGGAAAGAGTCTCGGAGCCCCTGTCCTAGCACTGTGCCCTGGGCCTGGGCCTGTCCTCTGTGGGCCCAGCTTCCCTGTCTCTGAAATGGAGTGGTGGGCACTACAGTCTCTAAACTTCCACGAGCCTCTGAAGCCTTCGGATTGCACACAGCTCCTCCCTAACGGTGGGGTGGCACCTGGAGGAGCCGAAAGGAGACCTGAACTTTCAGTCTGGGCTCAGAAAACCACCACCGACTGTGTCCCCAGGATACGGGGCAGGGTCCCAGCCTGGGCAGGCAAGCTGATCTCACCAGGCTTTCTGCCTGGCCTCAGCAGCATGCAGTGTGTGGGCGCAGCTTCTCTGTGGCCTCCCCATGTGACGTGTCAGCATTTTACCACCAGAAGAGAAAGCCTGTTTGGGATTTCTTCCCATGCATCATTTCTTCACTGTGTTAGGCACGGTCAAGACGTATCTTCACTTACCCTGTTAAGGGAAGTATTGGGGACAGGCAGTCAATAGAAGTGCTGGCCGGTCTGTGGGATGGGCTGGAGCTGACCTTGAGCCCCTCGGTTGGTGGTTGCACATCCTTCGGGCTCCCTCAGAGAGACCAGTAACCTTCCTCTTCTCCTGGTGCCCCTCCCCTCTGCCTTCTCTACCCTGCTCCGCTTTTGTGTCCTGGGCACTCTCCACTTCCAGAGCCTCTGCCTGCTCCTTGCCTCCACCTGCGGGGACTGTACTGCTTTCTGAGTCTGTCCTGCCAGCAGGATCCCCCTCTGGACACCTGCATCTTGTCCCAGCCTGACGTGAAGAGGGGTGCACATGCAGTGGCTGTGGGAGGGACAACATGTGGAAACTATAGCAGCTTGCACAGAGGCAGGGAGGTCAGATGCCGCATGGTGGACCTCCATCACTGGCCTGCCCTCACCAAGGGCAGAGCCCCAAGGGGTGACCTGGAGGTCTGGGCAGGAGAAGGAGATGAATTACCAGGGCCATATGGGAAAGAGAGGAAGACAGTGCTCTCCAGACAGACTGTGATTGACAGGCAGGGGAGGGATCACCAGGTGGGAAGAGAGACTTGATGGAGAGCGCAGTGCTGGTGTCTGGAAACCTGGGCCTTGCCAGGTATGATACTTGCATTTACGTGTCAACTGGCTAGGCTGTGGCACCTGGCTGATTTGGTCAACACTGGTACAGGGGTCACGGGGAAAGTGTTTTGTAGATAATCCGTCGATTGGAGTAAAGGAGATTGTACTTGATAATGTGGGTGAGCTTCATCCAATCCCTCAAAATCCTTAAGACAAAAATCTCAGCTTCCCAGAGCAGAAGGAATTGTGCCTCCAGACTGTCATGCAGAAATCCTGCCTGGGATTCCAGACAGCCGGCCTGCCCTGTGGATATCAGACTTGTCAGCTCCCACAATTTAATGAGCTAAGTTCTTAATGTCTCTCTCTCTATAGATATATAGATACAGAGATGGAGAGAGAGAGAGAGAGAGAGACAGACAGAACTTTCTATGTCTCTGCCTACACACAGATGAGGTGGGGTCAGCTCAACCCTGCCCGTGCCTCCCTGGTGAGGGGAGCTCTTCCTCCTGTCCCCAGGCCCTGTGCCTCCCAGAAGGCATAGCCCAGCATCTCAGTCCTTGGGCTGCAGGATTCCATAACCTTAAAGACCCTTCCAGTGCCCAAAGATGACCTGGAAAAAGTCCCTCTCTAATTGGCTTTTCATGAACTCCCTGAATGGCCACCTGATTCATAAAGCACAAGTCAACGGGTGAATCTGTGCAGCTTTCCCAGTGGCTCTGATCATTATCATAAGCTTTGCTGCTAAACTTTGGGTGCCAACACATGGCAATGATTTATGACCCTCTCCTTCTAGATCCTCTTAAACTTGGCATAGCCCTGCTTCGTCCCCCATTCCAACTTAAATGAGACCACCATACCAAATGAGACATCACCCCCTGGTTCTCTGGGAGCCCTGACTGACCCAGCGGGAGTGGCGGAGAGATCCAGGTGGTCACCGCTCCCATCAGACCTAACACGCTGGCCGACAGCCTGCCAGGCTGGAGTAGCCTTGCCACTTTTTCAACACAGAGTCTACTCCAGAGGTGTTTTCTCTCACACAGACTCTCAGCAGAGGAGGCCTCAGCTCAACTTCCTCCGGCTCATCTACCCTCTGAAGTGATGCTTCACCCACATCCACAGACCCCAATTCCCCTCCTGAGCTCTGTCAGCCAGACCCCCAACAGGCAGGGCCTCCCACAAGAAAAGAGAGATGTCTCCACACATGCAATGAACCCTGTGGACTATGGAATGCCTTTGAAAGCCAACTACTCTCATGTGACCCTTGACTAGTCTCCACGAGGATAATATTAATGATTCGAAATTCTACCAGAAGCAGCGTTCACATAGATGCTGGCACAGTGACAAAACCTAAAGACACTTCTTTGAAGAGCCCCGCTTGCCTAACCAAATCTGTCATGTGGCCTTTCAGTCAAAAAGAAGAGAGTCCCATAGGCTCATGAAAGTCAGACCTTTGAGCTTACCAGCTAAGTTCAGATCTTCGGAGGGATTCTTAGCTCGTTGACCTGACAGGCGTGGGGAGGAATTTGATTCCAACCACCCCACAGTGGAGATGCACATGGTGACTGTGGTGTGTAATTACCCCGGGACTCCCAAGGGAGGCACACAGCATCTCAGAGGACTGCAGAAGGATGCCATTCCAACTCCAGCAAAGTGAGGCTACAGTATTTGTCCATCAATCTTATGCAATCTTGGGATAATTTCCCAGGCACGGTGCAATCAGTGAGTGACAGTGTGAGTGAATGGCTGTGTAGTTTGTGTAGCACAGAGGCTATAAGGTTCTTGTGACCCACAGCATTGAAATGTCTGCTGAACACGTAATTGACTTATTGACTCATTCCAATAGCAGGAGAGGAGGTGATTGGCCAGGTGTACCTTCACTAGTTAGGGGTATATTCCTGAATTCAATAGAGAAGATTGTCAGAAACAAGTCAAATGTAAACCTGGGGTATGGAAAAAAAATTCGCAGCTCCAGCAGGCATTTAAATGATAGAAATTACAATGGAAGTGATAGTGTTTTGAAGATTTGTTTCTATCATAATGTTTGCCCCAAGTGCAGGAAATATTTATACTAGCTAGCTAAAGACATAATCAGTGTTTCTCACTTTTCAACTACACAGTTGTCTGTTTTGTCACCCATTTAGGATACAGGTTTCCTGAAGGTGTAGGATGATGTGAGGGGACCATGACTATTAGTCAATGGCTATTGACTATAGACAATTAGTCCAGGGGGGTGGGAAAGCTAGATCGGGTGGTCAGAAGAAAGGGCACAGGACTACTGCAACTCACAAAATTTCGGAATAAAACTCAATATCCATATTATAAATCAACACCCCCAAGAAATGGCAGATGCTTGATGTCAGGCAGAGAAAGTGGACTGGTCAGGCTGAATCTCATCTCAAGAGGGGATAAGATTTCGTAGCTGCCACATTTGGAGGTGAGGCACAAACTGCTAATGGCATGATTCCGTTCCCTTCCACACCCCACATGCATACACAGATGCTCATGCCCATGTGTTCCCAGCACACCCCCCACACCCCATCCATCTTCCTATTCTTAAGTACATCCATATCCATTTCCATCCTCACCCCATTCCCCACCCCTTCCCCATCTGCATCTTCATCCATAGCCCCATCCCCACCATATTCCTATCGACATCCCCATTCACATCCATGTCTCTATCCACAGGCTCATGCCTATCTGCCTCCATCTCAACATCCACATTTTCTTTACTTATTTTTTTGAGATGGAGTTTCACTCTTGTTGCCCAGGCTGGAGTGCAATGGCATGACCGCGGCTCATCACAATGTCCACTCCTGGGTTCAAGAGATTCTCCTGCCTCAGCCTCCTGAGTAGCTGGGATTACAGGCATGCACCACCATGCCTGGCTAATTTTTGTATTTTTAGTAGGGCCAGGGTTTCTCCATGTTGGTCAGGCTGGTCGCGAACTCCTGACCTCAGGTGATCCGCCTGCCTCGGCCTCCCAAAGGCCTGGGATTACAGGTGTGAGCCACCGTGCCTGGCAACATCCACATTTTCATCCACTTCCTGATCCATCTACAATCAAGTCCACAGCCACAGCCATTCCATATTCATATTCACATCCTTGCCTGTCTTGACAAATGCAGCCACTGCTGTGGTTCCATTCAATGGCGCACACCTAGTGAAGTTGACAGCCAGATGGACAACTGAGGCTGCAACGTCTTGTCCACATGAATTTTTCTGTTTATCCCCCGAGAGAACCTGGTGCTTCCTGTCTCATAATTTGACTAGGTCTGCAAGATTAAGACAGCTTTTATTTTGTCACCTCAAATCACGGAATGCCCTTACATCACATGACCATTTGGATTCATGCTAGGGTCAGTCCTGGTGAAGTTTAAATGACTGAAAGCAAATGTGAATTTTCAAAAACTCCAGTACATCTGTGCTTCCCTCCAGCCCAGGCTTTAGTTGTTTCTATTCACTCCTTCAGGTTCATCATTACTTGGTTCTAACAAATCCTGGAACTTGGGTGGATGTATTACTTCTTGACAGTCACCACAGTATTTTTGAGACATGCATCTGAAAGAATATTCACCACCACAAGTATCATATTAACAAAGGACTGAAAGTATTACCTCATTGATCTCCAAAAGCTAATATTTCTGTCCGAACGCTGTTTGTTATTAGAATATTACTGAAATTTTGAGGGACCTGACCCATTCGTGTATTACTGGGTCGGTATAGAATCTGCTGAACTAGCAGAATTCAGTGTTTTCATCATCCAAGATAACATTAATAAGGGAGTTGGCCATTTTCCAAATCCTAATTATAGCCTGGGTAGACCTTTTTATTTTTGATAAATTTATGATTATTAGCCAATTTAGATGTTTTGGGGAAGAATCAATTATTAATTTTAAAACAGCTTAATTTCTTTACTTCTAGATACATAAACACAGTGAGCAAACAAATCAATAAATGGTTTGACTCTCAACTCTAGTTTGTCCAAGCTGTGGACCTCCGTAGGAGAATCTCACCAGACGCTCATTCTGCTGGTGTTTATTGAGCGTCTAGAGTGTAAGGCTCTATGATGGCTTATTAGTTTCCACAGATCTCTTCCGATGCCTGAGAGTGACGCCTTCTGAAAACCTTGTTTGCTATAGAATTTTCCATGAGAGAGGTATAAAAGCCAGAAAGAGCATCTCTCTCAGAAGAATTTTTCCATATGCCTGGGGTTAAAATTTGTAGCGGGAAAAGACTTTAAAATTGGTTCTGCCCCTGTGAGTGTGGTCATTGGATCCAGCAGGTTTTTCTTCTGAGAGTGTAGGTCACTTAGGGACATTGCAATAGAGATGTCCTCTTTCTCAAGTCATCTTCAGATGCCCCTGGCCTTAGAGGAGGCTGATGGGAGAATGGCTTGGCCTCTATGGTGGGATGCTGGCTGCCACATGAAGCCACGAGGGAATCTAAGAATTCCTTCTATGCAAGGGACAAAAGTTTACTTGTTTACCAGAGATGAAATTTATGTGCATTGAGGTAAATCTTAACCAAGGAATTTCCCTTCTTTATATTTGTGGACAGTTGTAGGAAGTGCCAAAGAGTACTGCCAAGTTCCAGAAGCATCTTGCCCCTGAAAATGCCGTGGCTTATCCAAGGGGAAAATTGCACATAGGGAGTAATTTAGTAAGAGACTCTCAATTAAAACTCCCCTGGCTCTATCTTATTTTTCTCCTTCACAGAATACAGTTTTCCCTGGATGTTTCCACAAATATGTAAAAAATGTTGGCAAAAAAAGAAGCATTCAAATATTTATCTTGCATTTAACAACATCAAGAGTTACTTGAGTGTTTTCATTATTTTAATTTTAAGGGCTGTGGTCTGTTATTTCATGCGAATGAGAGAGAAACATCTCTCTGTGGTTTCACTGATAAGATGTTTCAAGAGTTAAGAAGTTAAAAGAAAAACAAACATCAAACTTGGACATGAACATTCACTGTTCCTGATCCTCTTCCTGTTTCTCTACTTGAGATTCACATTAAGAATTTTTGGGCCTGGTGCGGTGGCTCACGCCTGTAATCCC